>NC_000005.10:49265342-49591369 GCF_000001405.40 Homo sapiens
AGTCTGTTTGTAAATTCTGTAAGTGGATATTCAGACCTCTTTGAGGCCTTCGTTGGCAACGGGATTTCTCCATACTGTGCTAGACAGAAGAATTCTCAGTAACTTCCTTGTGTTGTGTGTATTCAACTCACAGAGTTGAACGATCCTTTACACAGAGCAGAGTTGAAACACTCTTTTTGTGGAATTTGCAAGTGGAGATTTCAGCCGCTTTGAGGTCAATGGTAGAATAGGAAATATCTTCATACAGAAACTAGACAGAATGATTCTCAGAAACTTCTTTGTGATGTGTGCGTTCAACTCACAGAGTTTAACCTTTCTTTTCATAGAGCAGTTAGGAAACACTCTGTTTGTAAACTCTGCAAGTGGATACTCAGACCTCTTTGAGGCCTTCGTTGGAAACGGGATTTCTCCATACTGTGATAGACAGAAGAAATCCCATTAACTTCCTTGTGTTGTGTGTGTTCAACTCACAGAGTTGAACTTTCATTTACACAGAGCAGATTTGAAACACTCTTTTTGTGGAATTTGCAAGTGGAGATTTCAAGCGCTTTGAGGCCAAAGGCAGAAAAGGAAATATCTTCGTTTCAAAACTAGACAGAATCATTCTCAGAAACTGCTCTGCGATGTGTGCGTTCAACTCTCAGAGTTTAACTTTGCTTTTCATTCAGCAGTTTGGAAACACTCTGTTTGTAAAGTCTGCACGTGGATAATTTGACCACTTAGAGGCCTTCGTTGGAAACGGGTTTTTTTCATATAAGGCTAGACAGAAGAATTCCCAGTAACTTCCTTGTGTTGTGTACATTCAACTCACAGAGTTGAACGTTCCCTTAGACAGAGCAGATTTGAAACACTCTTTTTGTGCAATTGGCAAATGGAGATTTCAAGCGCTTTAAGGTCAATGGCAGAAAAGGAAATATCTTCGTTTCAAAACTAGACAGGATCATTCCCACAAACTGCGTTGTGATGTGTTCGTTCAACTCACAGAGTTTAACCTTTCTTTTCATAGAGCAGTTAGGAAACAGTCTGTTTGTCAATTCTGTAAGTGGATATTCTGACATCTTGTGGCCTTAGTTGGAAACGGGATTTCTTCATATTCTGCTAGACAGAAGAATTCTCAGTAACTTCTTGGTGTTGTGTGTATTCAACTCACAGAGTTGAACGATGCTTTACACAGAGCAGACTTGAAACACTCGTTTTGTGGAATTTGCAAGTTGAGATTTCAGCCGCTTTGAGGTCAATGGTAGAAAAGGAAATATCTTCGTATAAAAACTAGACAGAATGATTCTCAGAAACTCCTTTGTGATGTGTGTGTTCAACTCACAGAGTTAAACCTTTCTTTTCATAGAGCAGTTAGGAAACACTCTGTTTGTAAAGTCTGCAAGTGGATATTCAGACCTCTTTGAGGCCTTCGTTGGAAACGGGTTTTTTTCATATAAGGCTAGACAGAAGAATTCCCAGTAACTTCCTTGTGTTGTGTGTGTTCAACTCACAGAGTTGAACTTTCATTTACACAGAGCAGATTTGAAACACTCTTTTTGTGGGATTTGCAGGTGGAGATTTCAAGCGCTTTGAGGCCAAAGGCAGAAAAGGAAATATCTTCGTATAAAAACTAGACAGACTCATTCTCAGAAACTGCTCTGCGATGTGTGCGTTCAACTCTCAGAGTTTAACTTTTCTTTTCATTCAGCAGTTTGGAAACACTCTGTTTGTAAAGTCTGCACGTGGATATTTTGACCACTTAGAGGCCTTCGTTGGAAACGGTTTTCTTTCCTGTAAGGCTAGACAGAAGAATTCCCAGTAACTTCCTTGTGTTGTGTACATTCAACTCACAGAGTTGAACGTTCCCTTAGACAGAGCAGATTTGAAACACTCTTTTTGTGCAATTGGCAAGTGGAGATTTCAAGCGCTTTAAGGTCAATGGCAGAAAAGGAAATATCTTCGTTTCAAAACTAGACAGAATCATTCCCACAAACTGCGTTGTGATGTGTTCGTTCAACTCACAGAGTTTAACCTTTCTTTTCATAGAGCAGTTAGGAAACACTCTGTTTGTAAAGTCTACAAGTGGATATTCAGACCTCTTTGAGGCCTTCGTTGGAAACGGGTTTTTTTCATATAAGGCTAGACAGAAGAATTCTCAGTAACTTCCTTGTGTTGTGTGTATTCAACTCACAGAGTTGAACGATCCTTTACACAGAGCAGACTTGAAACACTTTTTTTGTGGAATTTGCAAGTGGAGATTTCAGCCGCTTTGAGGTCAATAGTAGAAAAGGAAATAGCTTCGTAGAAAAACTAGACAGAATTGTTCTCAGAAACTCCTTTGTGATGTGTGCGTTCAACTCACAGAGTTTAACCTTTCTTTTCATAGAGCAGTTAGGAAACACTCTGTTTGTAAAGTCTGGAAGTGGATATTCAGACCTCCTTGAGGCCTTCGTTGGAAACGGGATTTCTTCATATTATGCTTGACAGAAGAATTCTCAGTAACTTCCTTGTGTTGTGTGTATTCAACTGACAGAGTTGAACTTTCATTTAGAGAGAGCAGATTTGAAGCACTGTTTTTGTGGAATTTGCAAGTGGAGACTTCAAGCGCTTTGGGCCAAAGGCAGAAAAGGAAATACCTTCGTATAAAAACTAGACAGAATCATTCTCAGAAACTGCTGCGTGATGTGTGCTTTCAACTCTCAGAGTTTAACTTTTCTTTTCATTCAGCGGTTTGGAAACACTCTGTTTGTAAAGTCTGCACGTGGAAATTTTGACCACTTAGAGGCCTTCGTTGGAAACGGGTTTTTTTCATGTAAGGCCAGACAGAAGAATTCTCAGTAACTTCCCTTGTGTTGTGTGTATTCAACTGACAGAGTTGAACTTTCATTTAGAGAGAGCAGATTTGAAACACTGTTTTTGTGGAATTTGCAAGTGGAGATTTCAAGCGTTTTGGGGCCAAAGGCAGAAAAGGAAATATCTTCGTATAAAAACTAGGCAGAATCATTCTCAGAAACTGCTCTGCGATGTGTGTGTTCAACTCTCAGAGTTTAACTTTTCTTTTCATTCAGCAGTTTGGAAACACTCTGTTTGTAAAGTCTGCACGTGGATAATTGGACCACTTAGAGGCCTTCGTTGGAAACGGGTTTTTTTCATGTAAGGCTATACAGAAGAATTCTCAGTAACTTCCTTGTGTTGTGTGTATTCAACTCACAGAGTTGAACGATCCTTTACACAGAGCAGACTTGTAACACTCTTTTTGTGGAATTTGCAAGTGGAGATTTCAGCCGCTTTGAAGTCAAAGGTAGAAAAGGAAATATCTTCTTATAAAAACTAGACAGAATGATTCTCAGAAACTCCTTTGTGATGTGAGCGTTCAACTCACAGAGTTTAACCTTTCTTTTCATAGAGCAGTTAGGAAACACTCTGCTTGTAAAGTCTGCAAGTGGATATTCAGCCCTCTTTGAGGCCTTCGTTGGAAACGGGTTTTTTTCATATAGGGCTAGACAGAAGAATTCTCAGTAACTTCCTTGTGTTGTGTGTATTCAACTGACAGAGTTGAACTTTCATTTAGAGAGAGCAGATTTGCAACACTGTTTTTGTGGAATTTGCAAGTGGAGATTTCAAGCGCTTTGGGGCCAAAGGCAGAAAAGGAAATATCTTCGGATAAAAACTAGACAGAATCATTCTCAGAAACTGCTCTGCGATGTGTGCGTTCAACTCTAAGAGTTTAACTTTTCTTTTCATTCAGCAGTTTGGAAACACTCTGTTTGTAAAGTCTGTACGTGGATAATTTGACCACTTAGAGGCCTTCGTTGGAAACGGGTTTTTTTCATGTAAGGATAGACAGAAGAATTCCCAGTAACTTCCTTGTGTTGTGTGCATTCAACTCACAGAGTTGAACGTTCCCTTAGACAGAGCAGATTTGAAACACTCTATTTGTGCAATTTGCAAGTGTAGTTTTCAAGCTCTTTAAGGTCAACGGCAGAAAAGGAAATATCTTGGTTTCAAAACTAGACAGAATGATTCTCATAAACTCCTTTGTGATGTGTGCGTTCAACTCACAGAGTTTAACCTTTCTTTTCATAGAGCAGTTAGGAAACACTCTGTTTGTAAAGTCTGTAAGTGGATATTCTGACATCTTGTGGCCTTCGTTGGAAACGGGATTTCTTCATATTCTGCTAGACAGAAGAATTCTCAGTAACTTTCTTGTGTTGTGTGTATTCAACTCACAGAGTTGAACGATCCTTTACAGAGAGCAGACTTGAAACACTCTTTTTGTGGAATTTGCAAGTGGAGATTTCAGCCGCTTTGAGGTCTATGGTAGAAAAGGAAATGTCTTCGTATAAAGACTAGACAGAATGATTCTCAGAAACTCCTTTGTGATGTGTGTGTTCAACTCACAGAGTTTAACCTTTCTTTTCATAGAGCAGTTAGGAAACACTCTGTTTGTAAAGTCTGCAAGTGGATATTCAGACCTCTTTGAGGCCTTCATTGGAAACGGGTTTTTTTCATAGAAGGCTAGACAGAAGAATTCCCAGTAACTTCCTTGTGTTGTGTGTGTTCAACTCACAGAGTTGAACTTTCATTTACACAGAGCAGATTTGAAACACTCTTTTTCTGGAATTTGCAAGTGGAGATTTCAAGCGCTTTGAGGCCAAAGGCAGAAAAGGAAATATCTTCGTATAAAAACTAGACAGAATCATTCTCAGAAACTGCTCTGCGATGTGTGCGTTCAACTCTCAGAGTTTAACTTTGCTTTTCATTCAGCAGTTTGGAAACACTCTGTTTGTAAAGTCTGCACGTGGATAATTTGACCACTTAGAGGCCTTCGTTGGAAACGGGTTTTTTTCATGTAAGGCTAGACAGAAGAATTCTCAGTAACTTCCTTGTGTTGTGTGTATTCAACTCACACAGTTGACCGATCCTTTACACAGAGCAGACTTGTAACACTCTTTTTGTGGAATTTGCAAGTGGAGATTTCTGCCGCTTTGAAGTCAAAGGTAGAAAAGGGAATATCTTCCTATAAAAACTAGACAGAATGATTCTCAGAAACTCCTTTGTGATGTGTGCGTTCAACTCACAGAGTTTAACCTTTCTGTTCATAGAGCTGTTAGGAAACACTCTGTTTGTAAAGTCTGCAAGTGGATATTCAGACCTCCTTGAGGACTTCGTTGGAAACGGGATTTCTTCATATTCTGCTAGACAGAAGAATTCTCAATAACTTCCTTGTGTTGTGTGCATTCAACTCACAGAGTTGAATGATCCTTTACACAGAGCAGATTAGAAACACTCTTTTTGTGGAATTTGCAAGTGGACATTTCAGCCGCTTTGAGGTCAATGGTAGAAAAGGAAATATCTTCGTATAAAAACTAGACAGAATGATTCTCAGAAACTCCTTTGTGATGTGTGCGTTCAACTCACAGAGTTTAACCTTTCTTTTCATAGAGCAGTTAGGAAACACTCTGTTTGTAAACTCTGCAAGTGGATATTCAGACCTCTTTGAGGCCTTCGTTGGAAACGGGTTTTTTTCATATAAGGCTAGACAGAAGAATTCTCAGTAACTTCCTTGTGTTGTGTGTATTCAACTGACAGAGTTGAACTTTCATTTAGAGAGAGCAGATTTGAAACACTGTTTTTGTGGAATTTGCAAGTGGAGATTTCAAGCGCTTTGGGGCCAAAGGCAGAAAAGGAAATATCTTCTGTATAAAAACTAGACAGAATCATTCTCAGAAACTGCTCTGCGATGTGTGCGTTCAACTCTCAGAGTTTAACTTTTCTTTTCATTCAGCAGTTTGGAAACACTCTGTTTGTAAAGTCTGCACGTGGATATTTTGACCACTTAGAGGCCTTCGTTGGAAACGGGTTTTTTTCCTGTAAGGCTAGACAGTAGAATTCCCAGTAACCTCCTTGTGTTGTGTGCATTCAACTCACAGAGTTGAACGTTTCCTTAGACAGAGCAGATTTGAAACACTCTATTTGTGCAATTTGCAAGTGTAGATTTCAAGCGCTTTAAGGTCAATGGCAGAAAAGGAAATATCTTCGTTTCAAAACTAGACAGAATGATTCTCATAAACTCCTTTGTGATGTGTGCGTTCAACTCACAGAGTTTAACCTTTCTTTTCATAGAGCAGTTAGGAAACACTGTGTTTGTAAAGTCTGCATGTGGATATTCAGACCTCCTTGAGGCCTTCGTTGGAAACGGGAATTCCTCATATTCTGCTAGACAGAAGAATTCTCAGTAACTTCCTTGTGTTGTGTTTATTCAACTCACAGAGTTGAATGATCCTTTACACAGAGCAGACTTGAAACACTCTTTTTGTGGAATTTGCAAGTGGAGATTTCAGCCGCTTTGAGGTCAATGGTAGAAAAGGAAACTATCTTCATATAAAGACTAGACAGAATGATTCTCAGAAACTCCTTTGTGATGTGTGCGTTCAACTCACAGCAGTTTAACCTTTCTTTTCATAGAGCAGTTAGGAAACACTCTGTTTGTAAAGTCTGCAAGTGGATATTCAGACCTCCTTGAGGCCTTCGTTGGAAACGGGTTTTTTTCATATAAGGCTAGACAGAAGAATTCTCAGTAACTTCCTTGTGTTGTGTGTATTCAACTGACAGAGTTGAACTTTCATTTAGACAGAGTAGATTTGAAACACTCTTTTTGTGGAATTTGCAAGTGGAGATTTCAAGCGCTTTGAGGCCAAAGGCAGAAAAGGAAATATCTTCGTATAAAAACTAGACAGAATCATTCTCAGAAACTGCTGCGTGATGTGTGCGTTCAACTCTCAGAGTTTAACTTTTCTTTTCATTCAGCGGTTTGGAAACACTCTGTGAAGTCTGCACGTGGATATTTTGACCACTTAGAGGCCTTCGTTGGAAACGGGTTTTTTTCAAGTAAGGCTAGACAGAAGAATTCCCAGTAACTTCCTTGTGTTGTGTGCATTCAACTCACAGAGTTGAACGTTCCCTTAGACAGAGCAGATTTGAAACACTCTATTTGTGCAATTTGCAAGTGTAGATTTCAAGCGCTTTAAGGTCAATGGCAGAAAAGGAAATATCTTTGTTTCAAAACTAGACAGAATCATTCCCACAAACTGCGTTATGATGTGTTCGTTCAACTCACAGAGTTTAACCTTTCTGTTCATAGAGCAGTGAGGAAACACTCTGTTTGTAAAGTCTGTAAGTGGATATTCTGACATCTTGTGGCCTTCGTTGGAAAAGGGATTTCTTCCTATTCTGCTAGACAGAAGAATTCTCAGTAACTTCCTTGTGTTGTGTGTATTCAACTCACAGAATTGAACGATCCTTTACACAGAGCAGACTTGAAACACTCTTTTTGTGGAATTTGCAAGTGGAGATTTCAGCCGCGTTGAGGTCAATGGTAGAAAAGGAAATATCTTCGTATAAAAACTAGACAGAATGATTCTCAGAAACTCCTTTGTGATGTGTGCGTTCAACTCACAGAGTTCAACCTTTCTTTTCATAGAGCAGTTAGGAAACACTCTGTTTGTAAAGTCTGCAAGTGGATATTCAGACTTCTTTGAGGCCTTCGTTGGAAGCGGGTTTTCTTCATATTCTGCTAGAAAGAAGAATTCTCACTAACTTCCTTGTGTTGTGTTTATTCAACTCACAGAGTTGAATGATCCTTTACACAGAGCAGACTTGAAACACTCTTTTTGTGGAATTTGCAAGTGGAGATTTCAGCCGCTTTGAGGTCAATGGTAGAAAAGTAAATATCTTCGTATAAAGACTAGACAGAATGATTCTCAGAAACTCCTTTGTGATGTGTGCGTTCAACTCACAGAGTTTAACCTTTCTGTTCATAGAGCAGTTAGGAAACACTCTGTTTCTAAAGTCTGCAAGTGGATATTCAGACCTCCTTGAGGCCTTCGTTGGAAACGGGATTTCTTCATATTCTGCTAGACAGAAGAATTCCCAGTAACTTCCTTGTGTTGTGTGCATTCAACTCACAGAGTTGAACGTTCCCTTAGACAGAGCAGATTTGAAACACTCTATTTGTGCAATTTGCAAGTGTAGATTTCAAGCGCTTTAAGGTCAACGGCAGAAAAGGAAATATCTTCGTTTCAAAACTATACAGAATGATTCTCAGAAAATCTTTTGTGATGTGTGCGTTCAACTCACAGAGTTTAACTTTTCTTCTCATAGACCAGTTAGGAAACACTCTGTTTGTAAAGTGTGCAAGTGGATATTCAGACCTCTTTGAGGCCTTCGTTGGAAACGGGATTTCTTCATATTCTGCTAGACAGAAGAATTCTCAGTAACTTCCTTGTGTTGTGTGTATTCAACTCACAGAGTTGAAGGATCCTTTACAGAGAGCAGGCTTCAAACACTCTTTTTGTCGAATTTGCAAGTGGAGATTTCAGCCGCTTTGAGGTCAATGGTAGAATAGGAAATATCTTCTTATAGAAACTAGACAGAATGATTCTCAGAAACTTCTTTGTGATGTGTGCGTTCAACTCACAGGGTTTAACCTTTCTTTTCATAGAGCAGTTAGGAAACACTCTGTTTGTAAACTCTGCAAGTGGATATTCAGACCTCTTTGAGGCCTTCGTTGGAAACGGGATTTCTTCATACTGTGCTAGACAGAAGAATTCCCAGTAACTTCCTTGTGTTGTGTGTGTTCAACTCACAGAGTTGAACTTTCATTTACACAGAGCAGATTTGAAACACTCTTTTTGTGGAATTTGCAAGTGGAGATTTCAAGCGCTTTGAGGCCAAAGGCAGAAAAGGAAATATCTTCCTATAAAAACTAGACAGAATCATTCTCAGAAACTGCTGCGTGATGTGTGCGTTCAACTCTCAGAGTTTAACTTTTCTTTTCATTCAGCGGTTTGGAAACACTCTGTTTGTAAAGTCTGCACGTGGATATTATGACCATTTAGAGGCCTTCGTTGGAAACGGGTTTTCTTCATGTAAGGCTAGACAGAAGAATTCCCAGTAACTTCCTTGTGTTGTGTGCATTCAACTCACAGAGTTGAACGTTCCCTTAGACAGAGCAGATTTGAAACACTCTATTTGTCCAATTTGCAAGTGTAGATTTCAAGCGCTTTAAGGTCAACGGCAGAAAAGGAAATATCTTCGTTTCAAAACTAGACAGAATGATTCTCAGAAACTCCTTTGTGATGTGTGCTTTCAACTCACAGAGTTTAACCTTTCTTTTCATAGAGCAGTTAGGAAACACTCTGTGTATAAAGTCTGCAAGTGGATATTCAGGCCTCTTTGAGGCCTTCGTTGGAAACGGGATTTCTTCATATGATGCTGGACAGAAGAAATCTCAGTAACTTCCTTGTGTTGTGTGTATTCAACTCACAGAGTTGAACGGTCCTTTACACAGAGCAGATTTGAAACAATGTTTTTGTGGAATTTGCAAGTGGAGATTTCAGCCGCTTTGAGGTCAATCGCAGAAAAGGAAATATCTTCTTATAGAAACTAGACAGAATGATTCTCAGAAACTCCTTTGTGATGTGTGCGTTCAACTCACAGAGTTCAACCTTTCTTTTCATAGAGCAGTTAGGAAACACTCTGTTTATAAACTCTGCAAGTGGATATTCAGACCTCTTTGAGGCCTTCGTTGGAAACGGGATTTCTTCATATTCTGCTAGACAGAAGAATTCCCAGTAACTTCCTTGTGTTGTGTGTGTTCAACTCACAGAGTTGAACTTTCATTTACACAGAGCAGATTTGAAACACTCTTTTTGTTGAATTTGCAAGTGGAGATTTCAAGCGCTTTGAGGCCAAAGGCAGAAAAGGAAATATCTTCGTTTCAAAACTAGACAGAATCATTCTCAGGAAACTGCTCTGCGATGTGTGCATTCAACTCTCAGAGTTTAACTTTTCTTTTCATTCAGCAGTTTGGAAACACTCTGTTTGTAAAGTCTGCACGTGGATATTTTGACCACTTACAGGCCTTCGTTGGAAACGGGTTTTTTTCCTGTAAGGCTAGACAGAAGAATTCCCAGTAACTTCCTTGTGTTGTGTGCATTCAACTCACAGAATTGAACGTTCCCTTAGACAGAGCAGATTTGAAACACTCTATTTGTGCAATTTGCAAGTGTAGATTTCAAGCGCTTTAAGGTCAACGGCAGAAAAGGAAATATCTTCGTTTCAAAACTAGACAGAATGATTCTCAGAAACTCCTTTGTGATGTGTGCCGTTCAACTCACAGAGTTTAACCTTTCTTTTCATAGAGCAGTTAGGAAACACTCTGTTTGTAAAGTCTGCAAGTGGATATTCAGACCTCCTTGAGGCCTTCGTTGGAAACGGGTTTTCTTCATATTATGCTAGACAGAAGAATTCTCAGTAACTTCCTTGTGTTGTGTGTATTCAACTCACAGTGTTGAACGATCCTTTACACAGAGCATACTTGAAACACTCTTGTTGTGGAATTTGCAAGTGGAGATTTCAGCCGCTTTGAGGTCAATGGTAGAATAGGAAATATCTTCCTATAGAAACTAGACAGAATGATTCTCAGAAACTCCTTTGTGATGTGTGCGTTCAACTCACAGAGTTCAACCTTTCTTTTCATAGAGCAGTTGGGAAACACTCTGTTTGTAAAGTCTGCAAGTGGATATTCAGACTTATTTGAGGCCTTAGTTGGAAGCGGGATTTCTTCATGTTCTGCTAGACAGAAGAATTCCCAGTAACTTCCTTGTGTTGTGTGTGTTCAACTCACAGAGTTGAACTTTCATTTACCCAGAGCAGATTTGAAACACTCTTTTTGTGGAATTTGCAAGTGGAGATTTCAAGCGCTTTGAGGCCAAAGGCAGAAAAGGAAATATCTTCGTATAAAAACTAGACAGAATCATTCTCAGAAACTGCTCTGCGATGTGTGCGTTCAACTCTCAGAGTTTAACTTTTCTTTTCGTTCAGCAGTTTGGAAACACTCTGTTTGTAAAGTCTGCACGTGGATAATTTGACCACTTAGAGGCCTTCGTTGGAAACGGGTTTTTTTCATGTAAGGCTAGACAGAATAATTCCCAGTAACTTCCTTGTGTTGTGTACATTCAACTCACAGAGTTGAACGTTCCCTTAAACAGAGCAGATTTGAAACACTCTTTTTGTGCAATTGGCAAGTGGAGATTTCAAGCGCTTTGAGGTCAATGGCAGAAAAGGAAATATCTTCGTTTCAAAACTAGACAGAATCATTCCCAAAAACTGCGTTGTGATGTGTTCGTTCATCTCACAGAGTTTAACCTTTCTTTTCATAGAGCAGTTAGGAAACACTCTGTTTGTAAATTCTGTAAGTGGATATTCTGACATCTTGTGGCCTTCGTTGGAAACGGGATTTCTTCATATTCTGCTAGACAGAAGAATTCTCAGAAACTTCCTTGTGTTGTGTGTATTCAACTCACAGAGTTGAACGATCGTTTACACAGAGCAGACTTGAAACACTCTTTTTGTGGAATTTGTAAGTGGAGATCTCAGCCGCTTTGAGGTCAATGGTAGAAAAGGAAATATCTTCATATAAAAACTAGACAGAATGATTCTCAGAAACTCCTTTGTGATGTGTGCGTTCAACTAACAGAGTTTAACCTTTCTTTTCATAGAGCAGTTAGGAAACACTCTGTTTGTAAAGTCTGCAAGTGGATATTCAGACCTCTTTGAGGCCTTCGTTGGAAACGGGTTTTTTCATATAAGGCTAGACAGAAGAATTCTCAGTAACGTCCTTGTGTTGTGTGTATTCAACTGACAGAGTTGAACTTTCATTTAGAGAGAGCAGATTTGAAACACTGTTTTTGTGGAATTTGCAAGTGGAGATTTCAAGCGCTTTGGGGCCAAAGGCAGAAAAGGAAATATCTTCGTATAAAAACTAGACAGAATCATTCTCAGAAACTGCTCTGCGATGGGTGCGTTCAACTCTCAGAGTTTAACTTTTCTTTTCATTCAGCAGTTTGGAAACACTCTGTTTGTAAAGTCTGCACGTGGATATTTTGACCACTTAGAGGCCTTCGTTGGAAACGGGTTTTTTTCCTGTAAGGCTAGACAGAAGAATTCCCAGTAACTTCCTTGTGTTGTGTACATTCAACTCACAGAGTTGAACGTTCCCTTAGACAGAGCAGATTTGAAACACTCTTTTTGTGCAATTGGCAAATGGAGATTTCAAGCGCTTTAAGGTCAATGGCAGAAAAGGAAATATCTTCGTTTCAAAACTAGACAGAATGATTCTCAGAAACTCCTTTGTGATGTGTGCGTTCAACTCACAGAGTTTAACCTTTCTTTTCATAGAGCAGTTAGGAAACACTGTTTGTAAAGTCTGCAAGTGGATATTCAGACCTCTCTGAGGCCTTCGTTGGAAACGGGATTTCTTCATACTGTGCTAGACAGAAGAATTCTCAGTAACTTCCTTGTGTTGTGTGTATTCAACTCACAGAGTTGAACGATCCTTTACACAGAGCGGACTTGAAACACACTTTTTGTGGAATTTGCAAGTGGAGATTTCAGCCGCATTGAGGTCAATGGTAGAAAAGGAAATATCTTCATATAAAAAATAGACAGAATGATTCTCAGAAACTCCTTTGTGATGTGTGTTTTCAACTCACAGAGTTTAACCTTTCTTTTCATAGAGCAGTTAGTAAACACTCTGTTTATAAAGTCTGCAAGTGGATATTCAGACCCCTTTGAGGCCTTCGTTGGAAACGGGATTTCTTCATATTATGCTAGACAGAAGAATTCTCAGTAACTTCCTTGTGTTGTGTGTATTCAACTGACAGAGTTGAACTTGCATTTAGAGAGAGCAGATTTGAAACACTCTTTTTGTGGAATTTGCAAGTGGAGATTTCAAGCGCTTTGGGGCCAAAGGCAGAAAAGGAAATATCTTCGTATAAAAACTAGACAGAATCATTCTCAGAAACTGCTGCGTTATGTGTGCGTTCAACTCTCAGAGTTTAACTTTTCTTTTCATTCAGCGGTTTGGAAACACTCTGTTTGTAAAGTCTGCACGTGGATATTTTGACCACTTAGAGGCCTTCGTTGGAAACGGGTTTTTTTCATGTAAGGCTAGACAGAAGAATTCCCAGTAACTTCCTTGTGTTGTGTACATTCAACTCACAGAGTTGAACGTTCCCTTAGACAGAGCAGATTTGAAACACTCTTTTTGTGCAATTGGCAAATGGAGATTTCAAGCGCTTTAAGGTCAATGGCAGAAAAGGAAATATCTTCGTTTCAAAACTAGACAGAATCATTCCCACAAACTGCGTTGTGATGTGTTCGTTCAACTCACAGAGTTTAACCTTTCTGTTCATAGAGCAGTTAGGAAACACTCTGTTTGTAAAGTCTGCAAGTGGATATTCAGACCTCCTTGAGGCCTTCGTTGGAAACGGGATTTCTTCATATTCTGCTAGACAGAAGAATTCTCAGTAACTTCCTTGTGTTGTGTTTATTCAACTCACAGAGTTGAATGATCCTTTACACAGAGCAGACTTGAAACACTCTTTTTGTGGAATTTGCAAGTGGAGATTTCAGCCGCTTTGAGGTCAATGGTAGAAAAGTAAATATTTTCGTATAAAGACTAGACAGAATGATTCTCAGAAACTCCTTTGTGATGTGTACGTTCAACTCACAGAGTTTAACCTTTCTTTTCATAGAGAAGTTAGGAAACACTCTGTTTGTAAAGTCTGCAAGTGGATATTCAGACCTCTTTGAGGCCTTCGTTGGAAACGTGTTTTTTACATATAAGTCTAGACAGAAGAATTCCCAGTAACTTCCTTGTGTTGTGTGTGTTCAACTCACAGAGTTGAACTTTGATTTACACAGAGCAGATTTGAAACACTCTTTTTGTGGAATTTGCAGGTGGAGATTTCAAGCGCTTTGAGGCCAAAGGCAGAAAAGGAAATATTCTTCGTATAAAAACTAGACAGAATCATTCTCAGAAACTGCTGCGTGATGTGTGCGTTCAACTCTCAGAGTTTAAATTTTCTTTTCATTCAGCGGTTTGGAAACACTCTGTTTGTAAAGTCTGCACGTGGATATTTTGACCACTTAGAGGCCTTCGTTGGAAACGGGTTTTTTGCATGTAAGGCTAGACAGAAGAATTCCCAGTAACTTCCTTGTGTTGTGTGCATTGAACTCACAGAGTTGAACGTTCCCTTAGAGAGGGCAGATTTGAAACACTCTATTTGTGCAATTTGCAAGTGTAGATTTCAAGCGCTTTAAGGTCAACGGCAGAAAAGGAAATATCTTCGTTTCAAAACTAGACAGAATCATTCCCACAAACTGTGCTGTGATGTGTTCGTTCAACTCACAGAGTTTAACCTTTCTGTTCATAGAGCAGTTAGGAAACACTCTGTTTGTAAAGTCTGCAAGTGGATATTCAGACCTCCTTGAGGCCTTCGTTGGAAACGGGATTTCTTCATATTCTGCTAGACAGAAGAATTCTCAGTAACTTCCCTTGTGTTGTGTGTATTCAACTCACAGAGTTGAACGATCCTTTACACAGAGCAGACTTGTAACACTCTTTTTGTGGAATTTGCAAGTGGAGATTTCAGCCGCTTTGAAGTCAAAGGTAGAAAAGGAAATATCTTCCTATAAAAACTAGACAGAATGATTCTCATAAACTCCTTTGTGATGTGTGCATTCAACTCACAGAGTTTAACCTTTCTTTTCATAGAGCAGTTAGGAAACACTCTGTTTGTAAAGTCTGCAAGTGGATATTCAGACCTCCTTGAGGCCTTCGTTGGAAAAGGGATTTCTTCATATTCTGCTAGACAGAAGAATTCGCAGTAACTTCCTTGTGTTGTGTGTGTTCAACTCACAGAGTTGAACTTTCATTTACACAGAGCAGATTTGAAACACTCTTTTTGTGGAATTTGCAGGTGGAGATTTCAAGCGCTTTGAGGCCAAAGGCAGAAAAGGAAATATCTTCGTATAAAAACTAGACAGAATCATTCTCAGAAACTGCTCTGCGATGTGTGCGTTCAACTCTCAGAGTTTAACTTTTCTTTTCATTCAGCAGTTTGGAAAAACTCTGTTTGTAACGTCTGCACGTGCATAATTTGACCACTTAGAGGCCTTCGTTGGAAACGGGTTTTTTTCCTGTAAGGCTAGACAGAAGATTTCTCAGTAACTTCCTTGTGTTGTGTGTATTCAACTCACAGAGTTGAAAGATCCTTTACACAGAGCAGACTGGTAACACTCTTTTTGTGGAATTTGCAAGTGGAGATTTCAGCCGCTTTGAAGTCAAAGGTAGAAAAGGAAATAACTTCCTATAAAAACTAGACAGAATCATTCCCACAAACTGCGTTGTGATGTGTTCGTTCAACTCACAGAGTTTAACCTTTCTGTTCATAGAGCAGTTAGGAAACACTCTGTTTGTAAAGTCTGCCAGTGGATATTCAGACCTCCATGAGGCCTTCGTTGGAAACGGGATTTCTTCATATTCTGCTAGACAGAAGAATTCTCAGAATCTTCCTTGTGTTGTGTGTATTCAACTCACAGAGTTGAACCATCCTTTACACAGAGCAGACTTGAAACACTCTTTTTGTGGAATTTGCAAGTGGAGATTTCAGCCGCTTTGAGGTCCATGGTAGAAAAGGAAATATCTTCGTATAAAAACTAGACAGAATGATTCTCAGAAACTTCTTTGTGATGTGTGCGTTCAAGTCACAGAGTTTAACCTTTCTTTTCATAGAGCAGTTAGGAAACACTCTGTTTGTAAACTCTGCAAGTGGATGTTCAGACCTGTTTGAGGCCTTCGTTGGAAACGGGATTTCTTCATACTATGCTAGACAGAAGAATTCCCAGTAACTTCCTTGTGTTGTGTGAGTTCAACTCACAGAGTTGAACTTTCATTTACACAGAGCAGATTTGAAACACTCTTTTTGTGGAATTTGCAAGTGGAGATTTCAAGCGCTTTGACGCCAAAGGCAGAAAAGGAAATATCTTCGTATAAAAATTAGACAGAATCATTCTCAGAAACTGCTCTGTGATGTCTGCGTTCAACTCTCAGAGTTTAACTTTTCTTTTCATTCAGCAGTTTGGAAACACTCTGTTTGTAAAGTCTGCACGTGGATATTTTGACCACTTAGAGGTCTTCGTTGGAAACGGGTTTTTTTCATGTAAGGCTAGACAGAAGAATTCCCAGTAACTTCCTTGTGTTGTGTACATTCAACTCACAGAGTTGAACGTTCCCTTAGACAGAGTAGATTTGAAACACTCTTTTTGTGCAATTGGCAAGTGGAGATTTCAAGCGCTTTAAGGTCAATGGCAGAAAAGGAAATATCTTCGTTTCAAAACTAGACAGAATCATTCCCACAAACTGCGTTGTGATGTGTTCGTTCAACTCACAGAGTTTAACCTTTCTTTTCATAGAGCAGTTAGGAAACAGTCTGTTTGTAAATTCTGTAAGTGGATATTCTGACATCTTGTGGCCTTTGTTGGAAACGGGATTTCTTCATATTCTGCTAGACAGAAGAATTCTCAGAATCTTCCTTGTGTTGTGTGTATTCAACTCACAGAGTTGAACGATCCTTTACACAGAGCAGACTTGAAACACTCTTTTTGTGGAATTTGCAAGTGGAGATTTCAAGCGCTTTGAGGCCAAAGGCAGAAAAGGAAATATCTTCGTATAAAAACTAGACAGAATGATTCTCAGAATCTTCTTTGTGATGTGTGCGTTCAACTCACAGAGTTTAACCTTTCTTTTCATAGAGCAGTTAGGAAACACTCTGTTTGTAAACTCTGCAAGTGGATATTCAGACCTCATTGAGGCCTTCGTTGGAAACGGGATTTCTTCATACTATGCTAGACAGAAGAATTCTCAGTAACTTCCTTGTGTTGTGTGTATTCAACTCACAGAGTTGAACGACCCTTTACACAGAGCGGACTTGAAACACTCTTTTTGTGGAATTTGCAAGTGGAGATTTCAGCCGCGTTGAGGTCAATGGTAGAAAAGGAAATATCTTCGTATAGAAACTAGACAGAATCATTCTCAGAAACTGCTCTGCGATGTGTGCGTTCAACTCTCAGAGTTTAACTTTTCTTTTCATTCAGCAGTTTGGAAACACTCTGTTTCTAAAGTCTGCACGTGGATATTTTGACCACTTAGAGGCCTTCGTTGGAAACGGGTTTTTTTCCTGTAAGGCTAGACAGAAGAATTCCCAGTAACTTCCTTGTGTTGTGTACATTCAACTCACAGAGTTGAACGTTCCCTTAGACAGAGCAGATTTGAAACACTCTTTTTGTGCAATTGGCAAATGGAGATTTCAAGGGCTTTAAGGTCAATGGCAGAAAAGGAAATATCTTCGTTTCAAAACTAGACAGAATCATTCCCACAAACTGCGTTGTGATGTGTTCGTTCAACTCACAGAGTTTAACCTTTCTGTTCATAGAGCAGTTAGGAAACACTCTGTTTGTAAAGTCTGTAAGTGGATATTCTGACATCTTGTGGCCTTCGTTGGGAACGGGATTTCTTCATATTCTGCTAGACAGAAGAATTCTCAGTAACTTCCCTTGTGTTGTGTGTATTCAACTCACAGAGTTGAACGATCCTTTACACAGAGCAGACTTGAAACATTCTTTTTGTGGAATTTGCAAGTGGAGATTTCAGCCGCTTTGAGGTCAATGGTAGAATAGGAAATATCTTCATATAGAAACTAGACAGAATGATTCTCAGAAACTCCTTTGTGATGTGTGCGTTCAACTCACAGAGTTTAACCTTTCTGTTCATAGAGCTGTTAGGAAACACTCTGTTTGTAAAGTCTGCAAGTGGATATTCAGACCTCCTTGAGGCCTTCGTTGGAAACGGGATTTCTTCATATTCTGCTAGACAGAAGAATTCTCAGTAACTTCCTTGTGTTGTGTGTATTCAACTCACAGAGTTGAACGATCCTTTACAGAGAGCAGACTTGAAACACTCTTTTTGTGGAATTTGCAAGTGGATATTTCAGCCGCTTTGAGGTCAATGGTAGAAAAGGAAATATCTTCGTATAAAGACTAGACAGAATCATTCTCAGAAACTGCTCTGCGATGTGTGCGTTCAACTCTCAGAGTTTAACTTTTCTTTTCATTCAGCAGTTTGGAAACACTCTGTTTGTAAAGTCTGCACGTGAATAATTTGACCACTTAGAGGCCTTCGTTGGAAACGGGTTTTTTTCATGTAAGGCTAGACAGAAGAATTCCCAGTAACTTCCTTGTGTTGTGTACATTCAACTCACAGAGTTGAACGTTCCCTTAGACAGAGCAGATTTGAAACACTCTTTTTGTGCAATTGGCAAGTGGAGATTTCAAGCGATTTGAGGTCAATGGCAGAAAAGGAAATATCTTCGTTTCAAAACTAGACAGAATCATTCCCACAAAATGCGTTGTGATGTGTTCGTTCATCTCACAGAGTTTAACCTTTCTTTTCGTAGAGCAGTTAGGAAACAGTCTGTTTGTAAATTCTGTAAGTGGATATTCTGACATCCTGTGGCCTTCGTTGGAAACGGGATTTCTTCATATTCTGCTAGACAGAAGAATTCTCAGTAACTTCCTTGTGTTGTGTGTATTCAACTCACAGAGTTGAACGATCCTTTACACAGAGCAGACTTGAAACACTCTTTTTGTGAAATTTGCAAGTGGAGATTTCAGCCGCTGTGAGTTCAATGGTAGAATAGGAAATATCTTCCTATAGAAACTAGACAGAATGATTCTCAGAAACTCCTTTGTGATGTGTGCGTTCAACTCACAGAGTTTAACCTTTCTGTTCATAGAGCTGGTAGGAAACACTCTGTTTGTAAAGTCTGCAAGTGGATATTCAGACCTCCTTGCGGCCTTCGTTGGAAACGGGATTTCTTCATATTCTGCTAGACAGAAGAATTCTCAGTAACTTCTTTGTGTTGTGTGTATTCAACTCACAGAGTTGAACGATCCTTTACACAGAGCAGACTTGAAACACTCTTTTTGTGGAATTTGCAAGTGGAGATTTCAGCCGCTTTGAGGTCAATGGTAGAAAAGGAAATATCTTCGTATAAAGACTAGACAGAATCATTCTCAGAAACTGCTCTGCGATGTGTGCGTTCAACTCTCAGAGTTTAACTTTTCTTTTCTTTCAGCAGTTTGGAAACACTCTGTTTGTAAAGTCTGCACGTGGATATTTTGACCACTTAGAGGCCTTCGTTGGAAACGGGTTTTTTTCCTGTAAGGCTAGACAGAAGAATTCCCAGTAACTTCCTTGTGTTGTGTACATTCAACTCACAGAGTTGAACGTTCCCTTAGACAGAGCAGATTTGAAACACTCTTTTTGTGCAATTGGCAAGTGGAGATTTCAAGCGCTTTGAGGTCAATGGCAGAAAAGGAAATATCTTCGTTTCAAAACTAGACAGAATGATTCTCATAAACTCCTTTGTGATGTGTGCGTTCAACTCACAGAGTTTAACCTTTCTTTTCATAGAGCAGTTAGGAAACACTCTGTTTGTAAAGTATGCAAGTGGATATTCAGACCTCTTTCAGGCCTTCGTTGGAAACGGGATTTCTTCATATTATGCTAGACAGAATAATTCTCAGTAACTTCCTTGTGTTGTGTGTATTCAACTCACAGAGTTGAACGATCCTTTACAGAGAGCAGACTTGTAACACTCTTTTTGTGGAATTTGCAAGTGGAGATTTCAGCCGCTTTGAGGTCAATGGTAGAATAGGAAATATCTTCCTATAGAAAGTAGACAGAATGATTCTCATAAACTCCTTTGTGATGTGTGCATTCAACTCACAGAGTTTCACCTTTCTTTTCATAGAGCAGTTAGGAAACACTCTGTTTGTAAAGTCTGCAAGTGGATATTCAGACCACCTTGAGGCCTTCGTTGGAAACGGGATTTCTTCATATTCTGCTAGACAGAAGAAATCCCAGTAACTTCCATGTGTTGTGTGTGTTCAACTCACAGAGTTGAACTTTCATTTACACAGAGCAGATTTGAAACACTCTTTTTGTGGAATTTGCAAATGGAGATTTCAAACTCTTTGAGGCCAAAGGCAGAAAAGGAAATATCTTCGTATAAAAACTAGACAGAATCATTCTCAGAAACTGCTGCGTGATGTGTGCGTTCAACTCTCAGAGTTTAACTTTTGTTTTCATTCAGCGGTTTGGAAACACACTGTTTGTAAAGTCTGCACGAGGATATATTGACCACTTAGAGGCCTTCGTTGGAAACGGGTTTTTTTCATGTAAAGCTAGACAGAAGAATTCCCAGTAACTTTCCTTGTGTTGTGTGCATTCAACTCACAGAGTTGAACGTTCCCTTAGACAGAGCAGATTTGAAACACACTATTTGTGCAATTTGCAAGTGTAGATTTCAAGCGCTTTAAGGTCAATGGCAGAAAAGGAAATATCTTCGTTTCAAAACTAGACAGAATCATTCCCACAAACTGCGTTGTGATGTGTTCGTTCAACTCACAGAGTTTAACCTTTCTTTTCATAGAGCAGTTAGGAAACAGTCTGTTTGAAAATTCTGTAAGTGGATATTCTGACATCTTGTGGCCTTCGTTGGAAACGGGATTTCTTCATATTCTGCTAGACAGAAGAATTCTCAGTAACTTCCTTGTGTTGTGTGTATTCAACTCACAGAGTTGAACGATCCTTTACACAGAGCAGACTTGAAACATTCTTTTTGTGGAATTTGCAAGTGGAGATTTCAGACGCTTTGAGGTCAATGGTAGAATAGGAAATATCTTCCTATAGAAACTAGACAGAACGATTCTCAGAAACTCCTTTGTGATGTGTGCGTTCAACTCACAGAGTTTAACCTTTCTTTTCATAGAGCAGTTAAGAAACACTCTGTTTGTAAAGTCTGCAAGTGGATATTCAGACCTCTTTGAGGCCTTCGTTGGAAACGGGATTTCTTCATATTCTGCTAGACAGAAGAATTCTCAGTAACTTCCTTGTGTTGTGTGTATTCAAGTGACAGAGTTGAACTTTCATTTAGAGAGAGCAGATTTGAAACACTGTTTTTGTGGAATTTGCAATTGGAGATTTCAAGCGCTTTGGGGCCAAAGGCAGAAAAGGAAATATCTTCGTATAAAAACTAGACAGAATCATTCTCAGAAACTGCTGCGTGATGTGTGCGTTCAACTCTCAGAGTTTAACTTTTCTTTTCATTCAGCGGTTTGGAAACACTCTCTTTGTAAAGTCTGCACGTGGATATTTTGACCTCTTAGAGGCCTTCGTTGGAAACGGGTTTTTTTTCATGTAAGGCTAGACAGAAGAATTCCCAGTAACTTCCTTGTGTTGTGTGCATTCAACTCACAGAGTTGAATGTTCCCTTAGACAGAGCAGATTTGAAACACTCTATTTGTGCAATTTGCAAGTGTAGATTTCAAGCGCTTTAAGGTCAATGGCAGAAAAGGAAATATCTTCGTCTCAAAACTAGACAGAATCATTCCCAGAAACTGCGTTGTCATGTGTTCGTTCAACTCACAGAGTTTAACCTTTCTGTTCATAGAGCAGTTAGGAAACACTCTGTTTGTAAAGTCTGTAAGTGGATATTCTGACATCTTGTGGCCTTCGTTGGAAACGGGATTTCTTCATATTCTGCTAGACAGAAGAATTCTCAGTAACTTCCTTGTGTTGTGTGTATTCAACTCACAGAGTTGAACGATCCTTTACACAGAGCAGACTTGAAACACTCTTTTTGTGGAATTTGCAAGTGGAGATTTCAGCCGCTTTGAGATCAATGGTAGAAAAGGAAATATCTTCGTATAAAGACTAGACAGAATGATTCTCAGAAACTCCTTTTGGATGTGTGCGTTCAACTCACAGAGTTTAACCTTTCTTTTCATAGAGCAGTTAGGAAACACTCTGTTTGTAAAGTCTGCAAGTGGATATTCAGACCTCTTTGAGGCCTTCGTTGGAAAAGGGATTTCTTCATTTTATGCTAGACAGAAGAATTCTCAGTAACTTCCTTGTGTTGTGTGTATTCAACTGACAGAGTTGAACTTTCATTTGGAGAGAGCAGATTTGAAACACTGTTTTTGTGGAATTTGCAAGTGGAGATTTCAAGCGCTTTGGGACCAAAGGCAGAAAAGGAAATATCTTCGTATAAAAACTAGACAGAATAATTCTCAGAAACTGCTGCGTGATGTGTGCGTTCAACTCTCAGAGTTTAACTTTTCTTTTCATTCAGCGGTTTCGAAACACTCTGTAAAGTCTGCACGTGGATATTTTGACCACTTAGAGGCCTTCGTTGGAAACGGGTTTTTTTCATGTAAGGCTAGACAGAAGAATTCCCAGTAACTTCCTTGTGTTGTGTGCATTCAACTCACAGAGTTGAACGTTCCCTTAGACAGAGCAGATTTGAAACACTCTATTTGTCCAATTTGCAAGTGTAGATTTCAAGCGCTTTAAGGTCAACGGCAGAAAAGGAAATATCTTCGTTTCAAAACTAGACAGAATCATTCCCACAAACTGCGTTGTGATGTGTTCGTTCAACTCACAGACTTTAACCTTTCTGTTCATAGAGCAGTTAGGAAACACTCTGTTTGTAAAGTCTGCAAGTGGATATTCAGACCTCCTTGAGGCCTTCGTTGGAAACGGGATTTCTTCATATTCTGCTAGACAGAAGAATTCTCAGAAACTTCCTTGTGTTGTGTAATTTCAACTCACAGAGTTGAACGATGCTTTACACAGAGTAGACTTGAAACACTCTTTTTGTGGAATTTGCAAGTGGAGATTTCAGCCGCTTTGAGGTCAATTTTTGAAAAGGAAATATCTTCGTATAAAAACTAGACAGAATGATTCTCAGAAACTCCTTTGTGATGTGTGTGTTCAACTCACAGACTTTAACCTTTCTTTTCATAGAGCAGTTAGGAAACACTCTGTTTGTACAGTCTGCAAGTGGATATTCAGACATCCTTGAGGCTTTCGTTGAAAACGGGATTTCTTCATATTCTGCTAGAAAGAAGAAATTCCCAGTAACTTCCTTGTGTTGTGTGTGTTCAACTCACAGCAGTTGAACTTTCATTTACACAGAGCAGATTGGAAACACTCTTTTTGTGGAATTTGCAAGGGGAGATTTCAAGCGCTTTGAGGCCAAAGGCAGAAAAGGAAATATCTTCGTATAAAAACTAGACAGAATCATTCTCAGAAACTGCTCTGCGATGTGTGCGTTCAACTCTCAGAGTTTAACTTTTCTTTTCATTCAGCAGTTTGGAAACACTCTGTTTGTAAAGTCTGCACGTGGATATTTTGACCACTTAGAGGCCTTCGTTGGAAACGGTTTTTTTCCTGTAAGGCTAGACAGAAGAATTCCCAGTAACTTCCTTGTGTTGTGTACATTCAACTCACAGAGTTGAACGTTCCCTTAGACAGAGCAGATTTGAAACACTCTTTTTGTGCAATTGGCAAGTGGTGATTTCAGCCTCTTTGAGGTCAATGGTAGAAAAGGAAATATCTTCGTATAAAAACTAGACAGAACGATTCTCAGAAACTCCTTTGTGATGTGTGTGTTCAACTCACAGAGTTTAACCTTTCTTTTCATAGAGCAGTTAGGAAACACTCTGTTTGTAAACTCTGCAAGTGGATATTCAGACCTCTTTGAGGCCTTCGTTGGAAACGGGATTTCTTCCTATTCTGCTAGACAGAAGAATTCTCAGTAACTTCCTTGTGTTGTGTGTATTCAACTCACCGAGTTGAACGATCCTTTACACAGAGCAGACTTGAAACACTCCTTTTGTGGAATTTGCAAGTGGAGATTTCAGCTGCTTTCAGGTCAATAGTAGAAAAGGAAATATCTTCGTAGAAAAACTAGACAGAATGATTCTCAGAAACTCCTTTGTGATGTGTACGTTCAACTCACAGAGTTTAACCTTTGTTTTCATAGAGCAGTTAGGAAACACTCTGTTTGTAAAGTCTGCAAGTGGATATTCAGACCTCTTTGAGGCCTTCGTTGGAAACGGGTTTTTTTCATATAAGGCTAGACTGAAGAATTCTCAGTAACTTCCTTGTGTTGTGTGTATTCAACTGACAGAGCTGAACTTTCATTTAGAGAGAGCAGATTTGAAACACTGTTTTTGTGGAATTTGCAAGTGGAGATTTCAAGCGCTTTGGGGCCAAAGGCAGAAAAGGAAATATCCTTCGTATAAAAACTAGACAGAATCATTCTCAGAAACTGCTCTGCGATGTGTGCGTTCAACTCTCAGAGTTTAACTTTTATTTTCATTCAGCAGTTTGGAAACACTCTGTTTGTAAAGTCTGCACGTGGATATTTTGACCACTTAGAGGCCTTCGTTGGAAACGGGTTTTTTTCCTGTAAGGCTAGACAGAAGAATTCCCAGTAACTTCCTTGTGTTGTGTACATTCAACTCACAGAGTTGAACGTTCCCTTAGACAGAGCAGATTTGAAACACTCTTTTTGTGCAATTGGCAAATGGAGATTTCAAGCGCTTTAAGGTCAATGGCAGAAAAGGAAATATCTTCGTTTCAAAACTAGACAGAATCATTCCCACAAACTGCGTTGTGAAGTGTTCGTTCAACTCACAGAGTTTAACCTTTCTTTTCATAGAGCAGTTAGGAAACAGTCTGTTTGTCAATTCTGTAAGTGGATATTCTGACATCTTGTGGCCTTCGTTGGAAACGGGATTTCTTCATATTCTGCTAGACAGAATAATTCTCAGTAACTTCTTTGTGTTGTGTGTATTCAACTCACAGAGTTGAAGGATCCTTTACAGAGAGCAGGCTTGAAACACTCTTTTTGTCGAATTTGCAAGTGGAGATTTCAGCCGCTTTGAGGTCAATGGTTGAATAGGAAATATCTTCTTATAGAAACTAGACAGAATGATTCTGAGAAACTCCTTTGTGATGTGTGCGTTCAACTCACAGAGTTTAACCTTTCTTTTCATAGAGCAGTTAGGAAACACTCTGTTTGTAAAGTCTGCAAGTGGATATTCAGATCTCCTTGAGGCCTTCGTTGGAAACGGGATTTCTTCATATTATGCTAGACAGAAGAATTCCCAGTAACTTCGTTGTGTTGTGTGTGTTCAACTCACAGAGTTGAACTTTGATTTACACAGAGCAGATTTGAAACACTCTTTTTGTGGAATTTGCAAGTGGAGATTTCAAGCGATTTGAGGCCAAAGGCAGAAAAGGAAATATCTTCGTATAAAAACTAGACAGAATCATTCTCAGAAACTGCTCTGCGATGTGTGCGTTTAACTCTCAGAGTTTAAATTTTCTTTTCATTCAGCAGTGTGGAAACACTCTGTTTGTAAAGTCTGCACGTGGATATTTTGACCACTTAGAGGCCTTCGTTGGAAACGGGTTTTTTTCCTGTAAGGCTAGACAGAAGCATTCCCAGTAACTTCCTTGTGTTGTGTGCATTCAACTCACAGAGATGAACGTTCCCTTAGACAGAGCAGATTTGAAACGCTCTATTTGTGCAATTTGCAAGTGTAGATTTCAAGCGCTTTAAGGTCAATGGCAGAAAAGGAAATATCTTCGTTTCAAAACTAGACAGAATCATTCCCACAAACTGCGTTGTGATGTGTTCGTTCAACTCACAGAGTTTAACCTTTCTGTTCATAGAGCAGTTAGGAAACACTCTGTTTGTAAAGTCTGTAAGTGGATATTCTGACATCTTGTGGCCTTCGTTGGAAACGGGGTTTCTTCATATTATGCTAGACAGAAGAATTCTCAGAAACTTCTTTGTGTTGTGTGTATTTAACTCACAGAGTTGAACGATCCTTTACACAGAGCAGACTTGAAACACTCTTTTTGTGGAATTTGCAAGTGGAGATTTCAGCCGCTTTGAGGTCAACGGTAGAATAGGAAATATCTTCCTATAGAAACTAGACAGAATGATTCTCAGAAACTCCTTTGTGATGTGTGTGTTCAACTCACAGAGTTTAACCTTTCTATTCATAGAGTAGTTAGGAAACACTCTGTTTGTAAAGTCTGCAAGTGGATATTCAGACCTACTTTGAGGCCTTCGTTGGAAACAGGATTTCTTCATACTATGCTAGACAGAAGAATTCCCAGTAACTTCCTTGTGTTGTGTGTGTTCAACTCACAGAGTTGAACTTTCATTTACACAGAGCAGATTTGAAACACTCTTTTTGTGGAATTTGCAGGTGGAGATTTCAAGCGCTTTGAGGCCAAAGGCAGAAAAGGAAATATCTTCGTATAAAAACTAGACAGAATCATTCTCAGAAACTGCTCTGCGATGTGTGCGTTCAACTCTCAGAGTTTAACTTTTCTTTTCATTCAGCAGTTTGGAAACACTCTGTTTCTAAAGTCTACACGTGGATAATTTGACCACTTAGAGGCCTTCGTTGGAAACGGGTTTTTTTCATGTAAGGCTAGACAGAAGAATTCCCAGTAACTTCCTTGTGTTGTGTGCATTCAACTCACAGAGTTGAACGTTCCCTTAGACAGAGCAGATTTGAAACACTCTATTTGTGCAATTTGCAAGTGTAGATTTCAAGCGCTTTAAGGTCAATGGCAGAAAAGGAAATATCTTCGTTTCAAAACTAGACAGAATCATTCCCACAAACTGCGTTGTGATGTGTTCGTTCAACTCACAGAGTTTAACCTTTCTGTTCATAGAGCAGTTAGGAAACACTGTGTTAGTAAAGTCTGTAAGTGGATATTCTGACATCTTGTGGCCTTCGTTGGAAACGGGATTTCTTCATATTCTGCTAGACAGAAGAATTCTCAGTAACTTCCTTGTGTTGTGTGTATTCAACTCACAGAGTTGAACGATCCTTTACACAGAGCAGACTTGAAACACTCTTTTTGTGGAATTTGCAAGTGGAGATTTCAGCCGCATTGAGGTCAATGGTAGAAAAGGAAATATCTTCGTATAAAAACTAGACAGAATGATTCTCAGAAACTCCTTTGTGATGTGTGCGTTCAAGTCACAGAGTTTAACCTTTCTTTTCATAGAGCAGTTAGGAAACACTCTGTTTGTAAAGTCTGCAAGTGGATATTCAGACCTCTTTGAGGCCTTCGTTGGAAACGGGATTTCTTCATATTCTGCTAGACAGAAGAATTCTCAGTAACTTCCTTGTGTTGTGTGTATTCAACTGACAGAGTTGAACTATCATTTAGAGAGAGCAGATTTGAAACACTGTTTTTGTGGAATTTGCAAGTGGAGATTTCAAGCGCTTTGGGGCCAAAGGCACAAAAGGAAATATCTTCGTATAAAAACTAGACAGAATCATTCTCAGAAACTGCAGCGCGATGTGTGCGTTCAACTCTCAGAGTTTAACTTTTCTTTTCATTCAGCGGTTTGGAAACACTCTGTTTGTAAAGTCTGCACGTGGAAATTTTGACCACTTAGAGGCCTTCGTTGGAAACGGGTTTTTTTCATGTAAGGCTAGACAGAAGAATTCCCAGTAACTTCCTTGTGTTGTGTGCATTCAACTCACAGAGTTGAACGTTCCCTTAGACAGAGCAGATTTGAAACACTCTATTTGTGCAATTTGCAAGTGTAGTTTTCAAGCTCTTTAAGGTCAACGGCAGAAAAGGAAATATCTTGGTTTCAAAACTAGACAGAATGATTCTCAGAAACTCCTTTGTGATGTGTGCGTTCAACTCACACAGTTTAACCTTTCTTTCCATAGAGCAGTTAGGAAACACTCTGTTTGTAAAGTCTGCAAGTGGATATTCAGACCTCTTTGAGGCCTTCGTTGGAAACGGGATTTCTTCATATTCTGCTAGACAGAAGAATTCTCAGGAACTTCCTTGTGTTGTGTGTATTCAACTCACAGAGTTGAACGATACTTTACACAGAGCAGACTTGAAACACTCTTTTTGTGGAATTCGCAAGTGGAGATTTCAGCCGCTTTGAGGTCAATGGTAGAATAGGAAATATCTTCCTATAGAAACTAGACAGAATGATTCTCAGAAACTCCTTTGTGATGTGTGCCTTCAACTCACAGAGTTTAACCTTTCTTTTCATAGAGCAGTTAGGAAACACTCTGCTTGTAAAGTCTGCAAGTGGATATTCAGCCCTCTTTGAGGCCTTCGTTGGAAACGGGTTTTTTTCATATAAGGCTAGACAGAAGAATTCTCAGTAACTTCCTTGTGTTGTGTGTATTCAACTGACAGAGTTGAACTTTCATTTAGAGAGAGCAGATTTGAAACACTGTTTTTGTGGAATTTCCAATGGAGATTTCAAGCGCTTTGGGGTCAAAGGCAGAAAAGGAAATATCTTCGTATAAAAACTAGACAGAATCATTCTCAGAAACTGCTCTGTGATGTGTGCGTTCAACTCTCAGAGTTTAACTTTTCTTTTCATTCAGCAGTTTGGAAACACTCTGTTTGTAAAGTCTGCACGTGGATAATTTGACCACTTAGAGGCCTTCGTTGGAAAAGGGTTTTTTTCATGTAAGGCTAGACAGAAGAATTCCCAGTAACTTCCTTGTGTTGTGTGCATTCAACTCACAGAGTTGAACGTTCCCTTAGACAGAGCAGATTTGAAACACTCTATTTGTGCAATTTGCAAGTGTAGATTTCAAGCGCTTTAAGGTCAATGGCAGAAAAGGAAATTTCTTCGTTTCAAAACTAGACAGAATCATTCCCACAAACTGCGTTGTGATGTGTTCGTTCAACTCACAGCAGTTTAACCTTTCTGTTCATAGAGCAGTTAGGAAACACTCTGTTTGTAAAGTCTGTAAGTGGATATTCTGACATCTTGTGGCCTTCGTTGGAAACGGGATTTCTTCATATTCTGCTAGACAGAAGAATTCTCAGTAACTTCCTTGTGTTGTGTGTATTCAACTCACAGAGTTGAACGATCCTTTACACAGAGCAGACTTGAAACATTCTTTTTGTGGAATTTGCAATGGAGATTTCAGCCGCTTTGAGGTCAATGGTAGAATAGGAAATATCTTCCTATAGAAACTAGACAGAATGATTCTCATAAACTCCTTTGTGATGTGTGCGTTCAACTCACAGAGTTTAACCTTTCTTTTCATAGAGCAGTTAGGAAACACTCTGTTTGTAAAGTATGCAAGTGGATATTCAGACCTGCTTGAGGCCTTCGTTGGAAACGGGATTTCTTCATATTATGCTAGACAGAAGAATTCCCAGTAACTTCCTTGGGTTGTGTGTGTTCAACTCACAGAGTTGAACTTTCGTTTACACAGAGCAGATTTGAAACACTCTTTTTGTGGAATTTGCAGGTGGAGATTTCAAGCGCTTTGAGGCCAAAGGCAGAAAAGGAAATATCTTCGTATAAAAACTAGACAGAATCATTCTCAGAAACTGCTCTGCGATGTGTGCGTTCAACTCTCAGAGTTTAACTTTTCTTTTCATTCAGCAGTTTAGAAACACTCTGTTTGTAAAGTCTGCACGTGGATAATTTGACCACTTAGAGGCCTTCGTTGGAAACGGGTTTTTTTCATGTAAGGCTAGACAGAAGAGTTCTCAGTAACTTCCTTGTGTTGTGTGTATTCAACTCACACAGTTGAACGATCCTTTACACAGAGCAGACTTGTAACACTCTTTTTGTGGAATTTGCAAGTGGAGATTTCAGCCGCTTTGAAGTCAAAGTAGAAAAGGAAATATCTTCCAATAAAAACTAGACAGAATCATTCCCACAAACTGCGTTGTGATGTGTTCGTTCAACTCACAGAGTTTAACCGTTCTTTTCATAGAGCAGTTAGGAAACAGTCTGTTTGTCAATTCTGTAAGTGGATATTCTGACATCTTGTGGCCTTCGTTGGAAACGGGATTTCTTCATATTCTGCTAGACAGAAGAATTCTCAGAAACTTCGTTGTGTTGTGTGTTTTCAAATCACAGAGTTCAACGATCCTTTACACAGAGTAGACTTGAAACACTCTTTTTGTGGAATTGGCAAGGTGGAGATTTCAGCCGCTTTGAGGTCAATGGTAGAATAGGAAATATCTTCGTATAAAAACTAGACAGAATGATTCTCAGAAACTCCTTTGTGATGTGTGCGTTCAACTCACAGTAGTTTAACCTTTCTTTTCATAGAGCAGTTAGGAAACACTCTGTTTGTAAAGTCTGCAAGTGGATATTCAGACCTCTTTGAGGCCTTCGTTGGAAACGGGTTTTTTTCATATAAGGCTAGACAGAAGAATTCCCAGTAACTTCCATGTGTTGTGTGTGTTCAACTCACAGAGTTGAACTTTCATTTACACAGAGCAGATTTGAAACACTCATTTTGTGGAATTTGCAAATGGAGATTTCAAGCGCTTTGAGGCCAAAGGCAGAAAAGGAAATATCTTCGTATAAAAATTAGACAGAATCATTCTCAGAAACTGCTCTGCGATGTGTGCGTTCAACTCTCAGAGTTTAACTTTTCTTTTCATTCAGCAGTTTGGAAACACTCTGTTTGTAAATTCTGCACGTGGATAATTTGACCACTTAGAGGCCTTCGTTGGAAACGGGTTTTTTTCCTGTAAGGCTAGACAGAGAAGATTCCCAGTAACTTCCTTGTGTTGTGTACATTCAACTCACAGAGTTGAACGTTCCCTTAGACAGAGCAGATTTGAAACACTCTTTTTGTGCAATTGGCAAGTGGAGATTTCAAGCGCTTTAAGGTCAATGGCAGAAAAGGAAATATCTTCGTTTCAAAACTAGACAGATCATTCCCACAAACTGCGTTGTGATGTGTTCGTTCAACTCACAGAGTTTAACCTTTCTTTTCATAGAGCAGTTAGGAAACAGTCTGTTTGAAAATTCTGTAAGTGGATATTCTGACATCTTGTGGCCTTCGTTGGAAACGGGATTTCTTCATATTCTGCTAGACAGAAGAATTCTCAGTAACTTCCTTGTGTTGTGTGTATTCAACTCACAGAGTTGAACGATCCTTTACACAGAGCAGACTTGTAAAACTTTTTTGTGGAATTTGCAAGTGGAGATTTCAGCCGCTTTGAAGTCAAAGGTAGAAAAGGAAATATCTTCCTATAAAAACTAGACAGAATGATTCTCAGAAACTCCTTTGTGATGTGTGTGTCCAACTCACAGAGTTTAACCTTTCTTTTCATAGAGCAGTTAGGAAACACTCTGTTTGTAAAGTCTGCAAGAGGATATTCAGACCTCTTTGAGGCCTTCGTTGGAAACGGGATTTTTTCATATAAGGCTAGACAGAAGAATTCTCAGTAACTTCCTTGTGTTGTGTGTTTTCAACTGACAGAGTTGAACTTTCATTTGGAGAGAGCAGATTTGAAACACTGTTTTTGTGGAATTTGCAAGTGGAGATTTCAAGCGCTTTGGGGCCAAAGGCAGAAAAGGAAATATCTTCGTATAAAAACTAGACAGAATCTTTCTCAGAAACTGCTCTGCGATGTGTGCGTTCAACTCTCAGAGTTTAACTTTTCTTTTCATTCAGCAGTTTGGAAACACTCTGTTTGTAAAGTCTGCACGTGGATATTTTGACCACTTAGAGGCCTTCGTTGGAAACGGGTTTTTTTCCTGTAAGGCTAGACAGAAGAATTCTCAGTAACTTTCCTTGTGTTGTGTGTATTCAACTCACAGAGTTGAACGATCCTTTACACAGAGCAGACTTGAGACACTCTTTTTGTGGAATTTGCAAGTGGAGATTTCAGCCGCTTTGAGGTCAATGGTAGAAAAGGAAATATCTTCGTATAAAAACTAGACAGAATGATTCTCAGAAACTTCATTGTGATGTGTGCGTTCAACTCACAGAGTTTAACCTTTCTTTTCATAGAGCAGTTAGGAAACACTCTGTTTGTAAAGTCTGCAAGTGGATATTCAGACCTCTTTGAGGCCTTCGTTGGAAACGGGATTTCTTCATACTGTGCTAGACAGAAGAATTCTCAGTAACTTCCTTGTGTTGTGTGTATTCAACTCACAGAGTTGAACGATCCTTTAGAGAGAGCGGACTTGAAACACTCTTTTTGTGGAATTTGCAAGTGGAGATTTCAGCCGCGTTGAGGTCAATGATAGAAAAGGAAATATCTTCGTATAAAAACTAGACAGAATGATTCTCAGAAACTCCTTTGTGATGTGTGCGTTCAACTCACAGAGTTTAACCTTTCTTTTCATAGAGCAGTTAGGAAACACTCTGTTTGTAAAGTCTGCAAGTGGATACTCAGACCTCTTTGAGGCCTTCTTTGGAAACGGCATTTCTTCATATTATGCTAGACAGAAGAATTCCCAGTAACTTCCTTGTGTTGTGTGTGTTCAACTCATAGAGTTGAACTTTCATTTACACAGAGCAGATTTGAAACACTCTTTTTGTGGAATTTGCAAATGGAGATTTCAAGCGCTTTGAGGCCAAAGGCAGAAAAGGAAATATCTTCGTATAAAAACTCGACAGAATCATTCTCAGAAACTGCTCTGCGATGTGTGCGTTCAACTCTCAGAGTTTAACTTTTCTTTTCATTCAGCAGTTTGGAAACACTCTGTTTGTAAAGTCTGCATGTGGAAAACTTGACCACTTAGAGGCCTTCGTTGGAAACGGGTTTTTTTCATGTAAGGCTAGACAGAAGAATTCCCAGTAACTTCCTTGTGTTGTGTGCATTCAACTCACAGAGATGAACGTTCCCTTAGACAGAGCAGATTTGAAACACTCTATTTGTGCAATTTGCAAGTGTAGATTTCAAGCGCTTTAAGGTCAATGGCAGAAAAGGAAATATCTTTGTTTCAAAACTAGACAGAATCATTCCCACAAACTGCGTTGTGATGTGTTCGTTCAACTCACAGAGTTTTACCTTTCTGTTCATAGAGCAGTTAGGAAACACTCTGTTTGTAAAGTCTGTAAGTGGATATTCTGACATCTTGTGGCCTTCGTTGGAAAAGGGATTTCTTCATATTCTGCTAGACAGAAGAATTCTCAGAAACTTCCTTGTGTTGTGTGTTTTCAACTCACAGAGTTGAACGACGCTTTACACAGAGTAGACTTGAAACACTCTTTTTGTGTAATTTGCAAGTGGAGATTTCAGCCGCTTTGAGGTCAATGGTAGAAAAGGAAATATCTTCGTATAAAAACTAGACAGAATGATTCTCAGAAACTCCTTTGTGATGTGTGCGTTCAACTCACAGAGTTTAACCTTTCTTTTCATAGAGCAGTTAGGAAACACTCTGTTTGTAAAGTCTGTAAGTGGATATTCAGACCTCTTTGAGGCCTTCGTTGGAAACGGGATTTCTTCGTATTCTGCTAGACAGAAGAATTCCCAGTAACTTCCTTGTGTTGTGTACATTCAACTCACAGAGTTGAACTTTGATTTACACAGAGCAGATTTGAAACACTCTTTTTGTGGAATTTGCAAGTGGAGATTTCAAGCGCTTTGAGGCCAAAGGCAGAAAAGGAAATATCTTCGTATAAAAACTAGACAGAATCATTCTCAGAAACTGCTCTGCGATGTGTGCGTTCAACTCTCAGAGTTTAACTTTTCTTTTCATTCAGCAGTTTGGAAACACTCTGTTTGTAAAGTCTGCACGTCGATATTTTGACCACTTAGAGGCCTTCGTTGGAAACGGGTTTTTTTCCTGTAAGGCTAGACAGAAGAATTCCCAGTAACTTCCTTGTGTTGTGTGCATTCAACTCACAGAGTTGAACGTTCCATTAGACAGAGCAGATTTGAAACACTCTATTTGTGCAATTTGCAAGTGTAGATTTCAAGCGCTTTAAGGTCAATGGCAGAAAAGGAAATATCTTCGTTTCAAAACTAGACAGAATCATTCCCACAAACTGCGTTGTGATGTGTTCGTTCAACTCACAGCAGTTTAACCTTTCTGTTCACAGAGCAGTGAGGAAACACTCTGTTTGTAAACTCTGTAAGTGGATATTCTGACATCTTGTGGCCTTCGTTGGAAAAGGGATTTCTTCATATTCTGCTAGACAGAAGGATTCTCAGTAACTTCCTTGTGTTGTGTGTATTCAACTCACAGAGTTGAACGATCCTTTACACAGAGCAGACTTGAAACACTCTTTTTGTGGAATTTGCAAGTGGAGATTTCAGCCGCTTTGAGGTCAATAGTAGAAAAGGAGATATCTTCGTATAAAAACTAGACAGAATGATTCTCAGAAACTCCTTTGTGATGTGTGCGTTCAACTCACAGAGTTTAACCTTTCTTTTCATAGAGCAGTTAGGAAACACTCTGTTTGTAAAGTCTGCAAGTGGATATTCAGACCTCCTTCAGGCCTTCGTTGGAAACGGGATTTTTTCATATAAGGCTAGACAGAAGAATTCCCAGTAACTTCCTTGTGTTGTGTGTGTTCAACTCACAGAGTTGAACTTTCATTTACACAGAGCAGATTTGAAACACTCTTTTTGTGGAATTTGCAAATGGAGATTTCAAGCGCTTTGAGGCCAAAGGCAGAAAAGGAAATATCTTTCTATAAAAACTAGACAGAATCATTCTCAGAAACTGCTGCGTGATGTGTGCGTTCAACTCTCAGAGTTTAACTTTTCTTTTCATTCAGCGGTTTGGAAACACTCTGTTTGTAAAGTCTGCACGTGGAAATTTTGACCACTTAGAGGCCTTCGTTGGAAACGGGTTTTTTTCATGTAAGGCTAGACAGAAGAATTCCCAGTAACTTCCTTGTGTTGTGTGCATTCAACTCACAGAGTTGAACGTTCCCTTAGACAGAGCAGATTTGAAACACTCTATTTGTGCAATTTGCAAGTGTAGTTTTCAAGCTCTTTAAGATCAACCTGCAGAAAAGGAAATATCTTCGTTTCAAAACTAGACAGAATCATTCCCACAAACTGCGTTGTGATGTGTTCGTTCAACTCACAGAGTTTAACCTTTCTGTTCACAGAGCAGTTAGGAAACACTCTGTTTGTAAAGTCTGTAAGTGGATATTCTGACATCTTGTGGCCTTCGTTGGAAACGGGATTTCTTCATATTCTGCTAGACAGAAGAATTCTCAGTAACTTCCTTGTGTTGTGTGTATTCAACTCACAGAGTTGAACGATCCTTTACACAGAGCAGACTTGAAACACTCTTTTTGTGGAATTTGCAAGTGGAGATTTCAGCCGCGTTGAGGTCAATGTTAGAAAAGGAAATATCTTCGTATAAAAACTAGACAGAATGATTCTCAGAAACTCCTTTGTGATGTGTGCGTTCAACTCACAGAGTTTAACCTTTCTTTTCATAGAGCAGTTAGGAAACACTCTGTTTGTAAAGTATGCAAGTGGATATTCAGACCTGCTTGAGGCCTTCGTTGGAAACGGGATTTCTTCATATTATGCTAGGCAGAAGAATTCTCAGTAACTTCCTTGTGTTGTGTGTATTCAACTGACAGAGTTGAACTTTCATTTAGAGAGAGCAGATTTGAAACACTGTTTTTGTGGAATTTGCAAGTGGAGATTTCAGCCGCTTTGAGGTCAATAGTAGAAAAGGAAATATCTTCGTAGAAAAACTAGACAGAATGATTCTCAGAAACTCCTTTGTGATGTGGGCGTTGAACTCACAGAGTTTAACCTTTCTTTTCATAGAGCAGTTAGGAAACACTCTGTTTGTAAAGTCTGCACATGGATATTTTGACCACTTAGAGGCCTTCGTTGGAAACGGGTTTTTTTCATGTATGGCTAGACAGAAGAATTCCCAGTAACTTCCTTGTGTTGTGTGCATTCAACTCACAGAGTTGAACGTTCCCTTAGACAGAGCAGATTTGAAACACTCTATTTGTGCAATTTCCAAGTGTAGATTTCAAGCGCTTTAAGGTCAACGGCAGAAAAGGAAATATCTTCGTTTCAAAACTAGACAGAATCATTCCCACAAACTGCGTTGTGATGTGTTCGTTCAACTCACAGTGTTTAACCTTTCTGTTCATAGAGCAGTTAGGAAACACTCTGTTTGTAAAGTCTGTAAGTGGATATTCTGACATCTTGTGGCCATCGTTGGAAACGGGATTTCTTCATATTCTGCTAGACAGAAGAATTCCCAGTAACTTCCTTGTGTTGTGTGCATTCAACTCACAGAGTTGAACGATCCTTTACACAGAGCAGACTTGAAACACACTTTTTGTGGAATTTGCAAGTGGAGATTTCAGCCGCTTTGAGGTTAATGGTAGAAAATGAAATATCTTCGTATAGAAACTAGACAGAATGATTCTCAGAAACTCCTTTGTGATGTGTGCGTTCAACTCACAGAGTTTAACCTTTCTTTTCATAGAGCAGTTAGGAAACACTCTGTTTGTAAAGTCTGCAAGTGGATATTCAGACATCCTTGAGGCTTTCGTTTGAAACGGGATTTCTTCATATTCTGCTAGAAAGAAGAATTCCCAGTAACTTCCTTGTGTTGTGTGTGTTCAACTCACAGAGTTGAACTTTCATTTACACAGAGCAGATTTGAAACACTCTTTTTGTGGAATTTGCAAGTGGAGATTTCAAGCGCTTTGGGGCCAAAGGCAGAAAAGGAAATATCTTCGTTTCAAAACTAGACAGAATCATTCTCAGAAACTGCTCTGCGATGTGTGCGTTCAACTCTCAGAGTTTAACTTTTCTTTTCATTCAGCAGTTTGGAAACACTCTGTTTGTAAAGTCTGCACGTGGATATTTTGACCACTTAGAGGCCTTCTTTGGAAACGGGTTTTTTTCCTGTAAGGCTAGACAGAAGAATTCCCAGTAACTTCCTTGTGTTCTGTACATTCAACTCACAGAGTTGAACGTTCCCTTAGACAGAGCAGATTTGAAACACTCTTTTTGTGCAATTGGCAAGTGGAGATTTCAAGCGCTTTAAGGTCAATGGCAGAAAAGGAAATATCTTCGTTTCAAAAGTAGACAGAATCATTCCCACAAACTGCGTTGTGATGTGTTCGTTCAACTCACAGAGTTTAACCTTTCTGTTCATAGAGCAGTTAGGAAACACTCTCTTTGTAAAGTCTGTAAGTGGATATTCTGATATCTTGTGGCCTTCGTTGGAAACGGGATTTCTTCATATTCTGCTAGACAGAAGAATTCTCAGTAACTTCCCTTGTGTTGTGTGTATTCAACTCACAGAGTTGAACGATCCTTTACAGAGAGCAGACTTGAAACACTCTTTTTGTGGAATTTGCAAGTGGAGATTTCAGCCGCTTTGAGGTCAATGGTAGAAAAGGAAATATCTTCGTATAAAGAATAGACAGAATGATTCTCAGAAACTTCTTTGTGATGTGTGCGTTCAACTCACAGAGTTTAACCTTTCTTTTCATAGAGCAGTTAGGAAACACTCTGTTTGTAAAGTCTGCAAGTGGATATTCAGACCTCTTTAAGGCCTTCGTTGGAAACGGGTTTTTTTCATATAAGGCTAGACAGAAGAATTCCCAGTAACTTCCTTGTGTTGTGTGTGTTCAACTCACAGAGTTGAACTTTCATTTTCACAGAGCAGATTTGAAACACTCTTTTTGTGGAATTTGCAAATGGAGATTTCAAGCGCTTTGAGGCCAAAGGCAGAAAAGGAAATATCTTCGTATAAAAACTAGACAGAATCATTCTCAGAAACTGCTGCGTGATGTGTGCGTTCAACTCTCAGAGTTTAACTTTTCTTTTCATTCAGCGGTTTGGAAACACTCTGTTTGTAAAGTCTGCACGTGGAAATTTTGACCACTTAGAGGCCTTCGTTGGAAACGGGATTTTTTCATGTAAGGCTAGGCAGAAGAATTCCCAGTAACTTCCTTGCGTTGTGTACATTCAACTCACAGAGTTGAACGTTCCCTTAGACAGAGCAGATTTGAAACACTCTTTTTGTGCAATTGGCAAGTGGAGATTTCAAGCGCTTTAAGGTCAATGGCAGAAAAGGAAATATCTTCGTTTCAAAACTAGACAGAATCATTCCCACAAACTGCGTTGTGATGTGTTCGTTCAACTCACAGAGTTTAACCTTTCTGTTCATAGAGCAGTTAGGAAACACTCTGTTTGTAAAGTCTGTAAGTGGATATTCTGAAATCTTGTGGCCTTCGTTGGAAACGGGATTTCTTCATATTGTGCTAGACAGAAGAATTCTCAATAACTTCCTTGTGTTGTGTGTATTCAACTCACAGAGTTGAACGATCCTTTACACAGAGCGGACTTGAAACACTCGTTTTGTGGAATTTGCAAGTGGAGATTTCAGCCACGTTGAGGTCAATGGTAGAAAAGGAAATATCTTCGTATAAAAACTAGACAGAATGATTCTCAGAAACTCCTTTGTGATGTGTGCGTTCAACTCACAGAGTTCAACCTTTCTTTTCATAGAGCAGTTGGGAAACACTCTGTTTGTAAAGTCTGCAAGTGGATATTCAGACTTCCTTGAGGCCTTCGTTGGAAGCGGGATTTCTTCATATTCTGCTAGACAGAATAATTCTCAGTAACTTCCTTGTGTTGTGTTTATTCAACTAACAGAGTTGAACTTTCATTTGGAGAGAGCAGATTTGAAACACTGTTTTTGTGGAATTTGCAAGTGGAGATTTCAAGCGCTTTGGGGCCAAAGGCAGAAAAGGAAATATCTTCGTATAAAAACTAGACAGAATCATTCTCAGAAACTGCTCTGCGATGTGTGCGTTCAACTCTCAGAGTTTAACTTTTCTTTTCATTCAGCAGTTTGGAAACACTCTGTTTGTAAAGTCTGCACGTGGATATTTTGACCACTTAGAGGCCTTCGTTGGAAACGGGTTTTTTCCTGTAAGGCTAGACAAAAGAATTCCCAGTAACTTCCTTGTGTTGTGTACATTCAACTCACAGAGTTGAACGTTCCCTTAGACAGAGCAGATTTGAAACACTCTTTTTGTGCAATTGGCAAGTGGAGATTTCAAGCGCTTTAAGGTCAATGGCAGAAAAGGAAATATCTTCGTTTCAAAACTAGACAGAATGATTCTCAGAAACTCCTTTGTGATGTGTGCGTTCAACTCACAGAGTTTAACCTTTCTTTTCATAGAGCAGTTAGGAAACACTCTGTTTGTAAAGTCTGCAAGTGGATATGCAGACTTCTTTGAGGCCTTCGTTGGAAGCGGGATTGCTTCATATTCTGCTATACAGAAGAATTCTCAGTAACTTCCTTGTGTTGTGTGTATTCAACTCACAGAGTTGAACGATCCTTTACACAGAGCAGACTTGAAACACTCTTTTTTTGGAATTTGCAAGTGGAGATTTCACCCGCTTTGAGGTCAATGGTAGACTAGGAAATATCTTCCTATAGAAACTAGACAGAAATGATTCTCAGAAACTCCTTTGTGATGTGTGCGTTCAACTCACAGAGTTTAACCTTTCTTTTCATAGAGCAGTTAGGAAACACTCTGTTTGTAAAGTCTGCAAGTGGATATTCAGACCTCTTTGAGGCCTTCGTTGGAAACGGGATTTCTTCATATTCTGCTAGACAGAAGAATTCTCAGTAACTTCCTTGTGTTGTGTGTATTCAACTGACACAGTTGAACTTTCATTTAGAGAGAGCTGATTTGAAACACTGTTTTTGTGGAATTTGCAAGTGGAGATATCAAGCGCTTTGGGGCCAAAGGCAGAAAAGGAAATATCTTCGTATAAAAACTAGACAGAATCATTCTCAGAAACTGCTGCGTGATGTGTGCGTTCAACTCTCAGAGTTTAACTTTTCTTTTCATTCAGCGGTTTGGAAACACTCTGTTTGTAAAGTCTGCACGTGGATATTTTGACCACTTAGAGGCCTTCGTTGGAAACGGGTTTTTTTCATGTAAGGCTAGACAGAAGAATTCCCAGTAACTTCCTTGTGTTGTGTGCATTCAACTCACAGAGTTGTACGTTCCCTTAGACAGAGCAGATTTGAAACACTCTATTTGTGCAATTTGCAAGTGTAGATTTCAAGCGCTTTAAGGTCAATGGCAGAAAAGGAAATATCTTCGTTTCAAAACTAGACAGAATCATTCCCACAAACTGCGTTGTGATGTGTTCGTTCAACTCACAGAGTTTAACCTTTCTGTTCATAGAGCAGTTAGGAAACACTCTGTTTGTAAAGTCTGCAAGTGGATATTCAGACCTCCTTGAGGCCTTCGTTGGAAACGGGATTTCTTCATATTCTGCTAGACAGAAGAATTCTCAGTAACTTCCTTGTGTTGTGTGTATTCAACTCACAGAGTTGAACGATCCTTTACACAGAGCAGACTTGAAACACTCTTTTTGTGGAATTTGCAAGTAGAGATTTCAGCCGCTTTGAGGTCAATGGTAGAAAAGGAAATATCTTCGTATAAAGACTAGACAGAATGATTCTCAGAAACTCCTTTGTGATGTGTGCGATCAACTCACAGAGTTTAACCTTTCTTTTCATAGAGCAGTTAGGAAACACTCTGTAAAGTCTGCAAGTGGATATTCAGACATCCTTGAGGCTTTCGTTGGAAACGGGATTTCTTCATATTCTGCTAGAAAGAAGAATTCTCAGTAACTTCCTTGTGTTGTGTGTATTCAACTCAGAGTTGAACGATCCTTTACACAGAGCAGACTTGAAACACTCTTTTTGTGGAATATGCAAGTGGAGATTTCAGCCGCTTTGAGGTCAATGTTAGAATAGGAAATATCTTCCTATAGAAACTAGACACAATCATTCTCAGAAACTGCTCTGCGATGTGTGCGTTCAACTCTCAGAGTTTAACTTTTCTTTTCATTCAGCAGTTTGGAAACACTCTGTTTGTAAAGTCTGCACGTGGATAATTTGACCACTTAGAGGCCTTCGTTGGAAACGGGTTTTTTTCATGTAAGGCTAGACAGAAGAATTCCCAGTAACTTCCTTGTGTTGTGTGCATTCAACTCACAGAGTTGAACGTTCCCTTAGACAGAGCAGATTTGAAACACTCTATTTGTGCAATTTGCAAGTGTAGATTTCAAGCTCTTTAAGGTCAACGGCAGAAAAGGAAATATCTTCGTTTCAAAACTAGACAGAATCATTCCCACAAACTGCGTTGTGATGTGTTCGTTCAACTCACAGAGTTTAACCTTTCTTTTCATAGAGCAGTTAGGAAACAGTCTGTTTGTAAATTCTGTAAGTGGATATTCTGACATGTTGTGGCCTTCGTTGGAAACGGGATTTCTTCATATTCTGCTAGACAGAAGAATTCTCAGTAACTTCCTTGTGTTGTGTGTATTCAACTCACAGAGTTGAACGATCCTTTACACAGAGCAGACTTGAAACATTCTTTTTGTGGAATTTGCAAATGGAGATTTCAGCCGCTTTGAGGTCAATGGTAGAATAGGAAATATCTTCCTATAGAAACTAGACAGAATGATTCTCAGAAACTCCTTTGTGATGTGTGCGTTCAACTCACAGAGTTTAACCTTTCTTTTCATAGAGCAGTTAGTAAACACTCTGTTTATAAAGTCTGCAAGTGGATATTCAGACCCCTTTGAGGCCTTCGTTGGAAACGGGATTTCTTCATATTATGCTAGACAGAAGAATTCTCACTAACTTCCTTCTGTTGTGTGTATTCAACTGACAGAGTTGAACTTTCATTTAGAGAGAGCAGATTTGAAACACTGTTTTTGTGGAATTTGCAAGTGGAGATTTCAAGCGCTTTCGGGCCAAAGGCAGAAAAGGAAATATCTTCGTATAAAAACTAGACAGAAATCATTCTCAGAAACTGCTCTGCGATGTGTGCGTTCAACTCTCAGAGTTTAACTTTTCTTTTCATTCAGCAGTTTGGAAACACTCTGTTTGTAAAGTCTGCACGTGGATATTTTGACCACTTAGAGGCCTTCGTTGGAAACGGGTTTTTTTCCTGTAAGGCTAAACAGAAGAATTCTCAGTAACTTCCTTGTGTTGTGTGTATTCAACTCACAGAGTTGAACGATCCTTTACACAGAGCAGACTTGAAACACTCTTTTTGTGGAATTTGCAAGTGGAGATTTCAGCCGCTTTGGGGTCAATGGTAGAATAGGAAATATCTTCCTATAGAAACTAGACAGAATGATTCTCAGAAACTCCTTTGTGATGTGTGCGTTCAACTCACAGAGTTTAACCTTTCTTTTCATAGAGCAGTTAGGAAACACTCTTTTTGTAAAGTCTGCAAGTGGAAATTCAGACATCCTTGAGGCTTTCGTTGGAAACGGGATTTCTTCATGTTCTGCTAGAAAGAAGAATTCTCAGTAACTTCCTTGTGTTGTGTGTATTCAACTCACAGAGGTGAACGATCCTTTACACAGAGCAGACTTGAAACACTCTTTTTGTGGAATTTGCAAGTGGAGATTTCAGCCGCTTTGAGGTCAATGGTAGAAAAGGAAATATCTTCGTATAAAGACTAGACAGAATGATTCTCAGAAACTCGTTTGTGATGGGTGCGTTCAACTCACAGAGATTAACTTTTCTTTTCATAGAGCAGTTAGGAAACACTCTGTTTGTAAAGTCTGCAAGTGGATATTCAGACCTCTTTGTGGCCTTCGTTGGAAACGGGATTTCTTCATATTATGCTAGACAGAAGAATTCCCAGTAACTTCCCTTGTGTTGTGTGCATTCAACTCACAGAGTTGAACGTTCCCTTAGACAGAGCAGATTTGAAACACTCTATTTGTGCAATTTGCAAGTGTAGATTTCAAGCGCATTAAGGTCAATGGCAGAAAAGGAAATATCTTCGTTTCAAAACTAGACAGAATCATTCCCACAAACTGCGTTGTGATGTGTTCGTTCAACTCACAGAGTTTAACCTTTCTTATCATAGAGCACTTAGGAAACAGTCTGTTTGTAAATTCTGTAAGTGGATATTCTGACATCTTGTGGCCTTCGTTGGAAACGGGATTTCTTCATATTCTGCTAGACAGAAGAATTCCCAGTAACTTCCTTGTGTTGTGTGCATTCAACTCACAGAGTTGAACGTTCCCTTAGACAGAGCAGATTTGAAACACTCTATTTGTGCAATTTGCAAGTGTAGTTTTCAAGCTCTTTAAGGTCAACGGCACAAAAGGAAATATCTTCGTTTCAAAACTAGACAGAATCATTCCCACAAACAGCGTTGTGATGTGTTCGTTCAACTCACAGAGTTTAACCTTTCTTTTCATAGAGCAGTTAGGAAACAGTCTGTTTGTCAATTCTGTAAGTGGATATTCTGACATCTTGTGGCCTTCGTTGGAAACGGGATTTCTTCATATTCTGCTAGACAGAAGAATTCTCAGTAACTTTCCTTGTGTTGTGTGTATTCAACTCACAGAGTTGAACGATCCTTTACACAGAGCAGACTTGAAACACTCTTTTTGTGGAATTTGCAAGTGGAGATTTCAGCCGCTTTGAGTTCAATGGTAGAATAGGAAATATCTTCCTATAGAAACTAGACAGAATGATTCTCAGAAACTCCTTTGTGATGTGTGCGTTCAACTCACAGAGTTTAACCTTTCTTTTCATAGACCAGTTAGGAAACACTCTGTTTTTATAGTCTGTAAGTGGATATTCAGACATCTTTGAGGCCTTCGTTGGAAACGGGATTTCTTCATATTCTGCTATACAGAAGAATTCTCAGTAACTTCCTTGTGTTGTGTGTATTCAACTGACAGAGTTGAACATTCATTTAGAGAGAGCAGATTTGAAACACTGTTTTTGTGGAATTTGCAAGTGGAGATTTCAAGCGCTTTGGGGCCAAAGGCAGAAAAGGAAATATCTTCGTATAAAAACTAGACAGAATCATTCTCAGAAACTGCTGCGTGATGTCTGCGTTCAACTCTCAGAGTTTAACTTTTCTTTTCATTCAGCGGTTTGGAAACACTCTCTTTGTAAAGTCTGCACGTGGATATTTTGACCTCTTAGACGCCTTCGTTGGAAACGGGTTTTCTTCATGTAAGGCTAGACAGAAGAATTCCCAGTAACTTCCTTGTGTTGTGTGCATTCAACTCACAGAGTTGAACGTTCCCTTAGACAGAGCAGATTTGAAACACTCTATTTGTGCAATTTGCAAGTGTAGATTTCAAGCGCTTTAAGGTCAATGGCAGAAAAGGAAATTTCTTCTTTTCAAAACTAGACAGAAATCATTCCCACAAACTGCGTTGTGATGTGTTCGTTCAACTCACAGAGTTTAACCTTTCTGTTCATAGAGCAGTTAGGAAACACTCTGTTTGTAAAGTCTGTAAGTGGATATTCTGACATCTTGTGGCCTTCGTTGGGAACGGGATTTCTTCATATTCTGCTAGACAGAAGAATTCTCAGTAACTTCCTTGTGTTGTGTGTATTCAACTCACAGAGTTGAACGATCCTTTACACAGAGCAGACTTGAAACACTCTTTTTGTGGAATTTGCAAGTAGAGATTTCAGCCGCTTTGAGGTCAATGGTAGAATAGGAAATATCTTCCTATAGAAACTAGACAGAATGATTCTCATAAACTCCTTTGTGATGTGTGCGTTCAACTCACAGAGTTTAACTTTTCTTTTCATAGAGCAGTTAGGAAACACTCTGTTTGTAAAGTCTGCAAGTGGATATTCAGACCTCTTTGAGGCCTTCGTTGGAAACGGGATTTCTTCATATTCTGCTAGACAGAAGAATTCCCAGTAACTTCCTTGTGTTGTGTGTGTTCAACTCACAGAGTTGAACTTTCATTTACACAGAGCAGATTTGAAACACTCTTTTTGTGGAAGTTGCAAGTGGAGATTTCAAGCGCTTTGAGGCCAAAGGCAGAAAAGGAAATATCTTCGTTTCAAAACTAGACAGAATCATTCTCAGAAACTGCTCTGCGATGTGTGCGTTCAACTCTCAGAGTTTAACTTTTCTTTTCATTCAGCAGTTTGGAAACACTCTGTTTGTAAAGTCTGCACGTGGAGAATTTGACCACTTAGAGGCCTTCGTTGGAAACGGGTTTTTTTCATGTAAGGCTAGACAGAAGAATTCCCAGTAACTCCCTTGTGTTGTGTACATTCAACTCACAGAGTTGAACGTTCCCTTAGACAGAGCAGATTTGAAACACTCTTTTTGTGCAATTGGCAAATGGAGATTTCAAGCGCTTTAAGGTCAATGGCAGAAAAGGAAATATCTTCGTTTCAAAACTAGACAGAATCATTCCCACAAACTGCGTTGTGATATGTTCGTTCAACTCACAGAGTTTAACCTTTCTTTTCATAGAGCAGTTAGGAAACAGTCTGTTTGTAAATTCTGTAAGTGGATATTCTGACATCTTGTGGCCTTCGTTGGAAACGGGATTTCTTCACATTCTGCTAGACAGAAGAATTCTCAGTAACTTCCTTGTGTTGTGTGTATTCAACTCACAGAGTTGAACGATCCTTTACACAGAGCAGACTTGAAACACTCTTTTTGTGGAATTTGCAGGTGGAGATTTCAGCCGCTTTGTGTTCAATGGTAGAATAGGAAATATCTTCCTATAGAAACTAGACAGAATGATTCTCAGAAAATCCTTTGTGATGTGTGCGTTCAACTCACAGAGTTTAACCTTTCTTTTCATAGAGCAGTTAGGAAACACTCTGTTTGTAAAGTCTGCAAGTGGATATTCAGACAACTTTGAGGCTTTCGTTGGAAACGGGATTTCTTCATATTCTGCTATACAGAAGAATTCTCAGTAACTTCCTTGTGTTGTGTGTATTCAACTGACAGAGTTGAACTTTCATTTAGACAGAGCAGATTAGAAACACTCTTTTTGTGGAATTTGCAAGTGGAGATTTCAAGGGCTTTGAGGCCAAAGGCAGAAAAGGAAATATCTTCGTATAAAAACTAGACAGAATCATTCTCAGAAACTGCTCTGCGATGTGTGCGTTCAACTCTCAGAGTTTAACTTTTCTTTTCATTCAGCAGTTTGGAAACACTCTGTTTGTAAAGTCTGCACGTGGATAACTTGACCACTTAGAGGCCTTCGTTGGAAACGGTTTTTTTTCATGTAAGGCTAGACAGAAGAATTCTCAGTAACTTCCTTGTGTTGTGTGTATTCAACTGACAGAGTTGAACTTTCATTTAGAGAGAGCAGATTTGAAACACTGTTTTTGTGGAATTTGCAAGTGGTGATTTCAAGCGTTTTGGGGCCAAAGGCAGAAAAGGAAATATCTTCGTATAAAAACTAGACAGAATCATTCTCAGAAACTGCTCTGCGATGTGTGCGTTCAACTCTCAGAGTTTAACTTTTCTTTTCATTCAGTAGTTTGGAAACACTCTGTTTGTAAAGTCTGCACGTGGATAATTTGACCACTTAGAGGCCTTCGTTGGAAACGGGTTTTTTTCATGTAAGGCTAGACAGAAGAATTCTCAGTAACTTCCTTGTGTTGTGTGTATTCAACTCACAGAGTTGAACGATCGTTTACACAGAGCAGACTTGAGACACTCTTTTTGTGGAATTTGTAAGTGGAGATTTCAGCCGCTTTGTGGTCATTGGTAGAAAAGGAAATATCTTCATATAAAAACTAGACAGAATGATTCTCAGAAACTCCTTTGTGATGTGTGCGTTCAACTCACAGAGTTTAACCTTTCTTTTCATAGAGCAGTTAGGAAACACTCTGTTTGTAAAGTCTCCAAGTGGATATTCAGACCTCTTTGAGGCCTTCGTTGGAAACGGGTTTTTTCATATAAGGCTAGACAGAAGAATTCCCAGTAACTTCCTTGTGTTGTGTGTGTTCAACTCACAGAGTTGAACTTTCATTTACACAGAGCAGATTTGAAACACTCTTTTTGTGGAATTTGCAAGTGGAGATTTGAAGCGCTTTGAGGCCAAAGGCAGAAAAGGAAATATCTTCGTATAAAAACTAGACAGAATCATTCTCAGAAACTGCTGCGTGATGTGTGCGTTCAACTCTCAGAGTTTAACTTTTCTTTTCATTCAGCGGTTTGGAAACACTCTGTTTGTAAAGTCTGCACGTGGAAATTTTGACCACTTAGAGGCCTTCGTTGGAAACGGGATTTTTTCATGTAAGGCTAGGCAGAAGAATTCCCAGTAACTTCCCTTGTGTTGTGTGCATTCAACTCACAGAGTTGAACGTTCCCTTAGACAGAGCAGATTTGAAAAACTCTATTTGTGCAATTTGCAAGTGTAGATTTCAAGCGCTTTAAGGTCAATGGCAGAAAAGGAAATATCTTCGTTTCAAAACTAGACAGAATCATTCCCACAAACTGCGTTGTGATGTGTTCGTTCAACTCACAGAGTTTAACCTTTCTGTTCATAGAGCAGTTAGGAAACACTCTGTTTGTAAAGTCTGAAAGTGGATATTCTGACATCTTGTGGCCTTCGTTGGAAACGGGATTTCTTCATATTCTGCTAGACAGAAGAATTCTCAGTAACTTCCTTGTGTTGTGTGTATTCAACTCACAGAGTTGAACGATCCTTTACACAGAGCAGACTTGAAACACTCTTTTTGTGGAATTTGCAAGTGGAGATTTCAGCCGCTTTGAGGTCAACGGTAGAAAAGGAAATATCTTCGTATAAAGACTAGACAGAATGATTCTCAGAAACTTCTTTGTGATGTGTGCGTTCAACTCACAGAGTTTAACCTTTCTTTTCATAGAGCAGTTAGGAAACACTCTGTTTGTAAACTCTGCAAGTGGATATTCAGACCTCTTTGAAGCCTTCGTTGGAAACGGGATTTCTTCATACTATGCTAGACAGAAGAATTCTCAGTAACTTCTTTTTGTTGTGTGTATTCAACTCACAGAGTTGAACGATCCTTTACACAGAGCAGACTTGAAACACTCGTTTTGTGGAATTTGCAAGTGGAGATTTCAGCCGCGTTGAGGTCAATGGTAGAAAAGGAAATATCTTCGTATAAAAACTAGACAGAATCATTCTCAGAAACTGCTCTGCGATGTGTGCGTTCAACTCTCAAGAGTTTAACTTTGCTTTTCATTCAGCAGTTTGGAAACACTCTGTTTGTAAAGTCTGCACGTGGATAATTTGACCACTTAGAGGCCTTCGTTGGAAACGGGTTTTTTTCATGTAAGGCTAGACAGAAGAATTCCCAGTAACTTCCTTGTGTTGTGTACATTCAACTCACAGAGTTGAACGATCCTTTACACAGAGCAGACTTGTAACACTCTTTTTGTGGAATTTGCAAGTGGAGATTTCAGCCGCTTTGAAGTCAAAGGTAGAAAAGGAAATATCTTCCTATAAAAACTAGACAGAAAGATTCTCAGAAACTCCTTTGTGATGTGTTCGTTCATCTCACAGAGTTTAACCTTTCTTTTCATAGAGCAGTTAGGAAACAGTCTGTTTGTAAATTCTGTAAGTGGATATTCTGACATCTTGTGGCCTTCGTTGGAAACGGGATTTCTTCATATTCTGCTAGACAGAAGAATTCTCAGTAACTTCCTTGTGTTGTGTGTATTCAACTCACAGAGTTGAACGATCCTTTACACAAAGCAGACTTGAAACACTCTTTTTGTGGAATTTGCAAGTGGAGATTTCAGCCGCTTTGAGGTCAATGGTAGAAAAGGAAATATCTTCGTATAAAGACTAGACAGAATGATTCTCAGAAACTCTTTTGTGATGTGTGCGTTCAACTCACAGAGTTTAACCTTTCTGTTCATAGAGCTGGTAGGAAACACTCTGTTTGTAAAGTCTGCAAGTGGATATTCAGACCTCCTTGAGGCCTTCGTTGGAAACGGGATTTCTTCATATTCTGCTAGACAGAAGAATTCTCAGAAACTTCCATGTGTTGTGTGTTTTCAACTCACAGAGTTGAACGATGCTTTACACAGAGTAGACTTGAAACACTCTTTTTGTGTAATTTGCAAGTGGAGATTTCAGCCGCTTTGAGGTCAATGGTAGAAAAGGAAATATCTTCGTATAAAAACTAGACAGAATGATTCTCAGAAACTTCTTTGTGATGTGTGCGTTCAACTCACAGAGTTTAACCTTTCTTTTCATAGAGCAGTTAGGAAACACTCTGTTTGTAAACTCTGCAAGTGGATATTCAGACCTCTTTGAGGCCTTCGTTGGAAACGGGATTTCTCCATACTGTGCTAGACAGAAGAATTCTCAGTAACTACCTTGTGTTGTGTGTATTCAACTCACAGAGTTGAACGATCCTTTACACAGAGCGGACTTGAAACACTCGTTTTGTGGAATTTGCAAGTGGAGATTTCAGCCGCGTTGAGGTCAATGGTAGAAAAGGAAATGTCTTCGTATAAAAACTAGACAGAATCATTCTCAGAAACTGCTCTGCGATGTGTGCGTTCAACTCTCAGAGTTTAACTTTGCTTTTCTTTCAGCAGTTTGGAAACACTCTGTTTGTAAAGTCTGCACGTGGATAATTTGACCACTTAGAGGCCTTCGTTGGAAACGGGTTTTTTTCATGTAAGGCTAGACAGAAGAATTCCCAGTAACTTCCTTGTGTTGTGTGCATTCAACTCACAGAGTTGAACGTTCCCTTAGACAGAGCAGATTTGAAACACTCTATTTGTGCAATTTGCAAGTGTAGATTTCAAGCGCATTAAGGTCAATGGCAGAAAAGGAAATATCTTCGTTTCAAAATTAGACAGAATCATTCCCACAAACTGCGTTGTGATGTGTTCGTTCAACTCACAGAGTTTAACCTTTCTTTTCATAGAGCAGTTAGGAAACACTCTGTTGTAAATTCTGTAAGTGGATATTCTGACATCTTGGGGCCTTCGTTGGAAACGGGATTTCTTCATATTCTGCTAGACAGAAGAATGCTCAGTAACTTCCGCGTGTTGTGTGTATTCAACTCAGAGAGTTGAACGATCCTTTACACAGAGCAGACTTGAAACACTCTTTTTGTGGAATTTGCAAGTGGAGATTTCAGCCGCTTTGAGGTCAATGGTAGAAAAGGAAATATCTTCCTATAAAAACTAGACAGAATGATTCTCAGAAACTCCTTTGTGATGTGTGTGTTCAACTCACAGAGTTTAACCTTTCTATTCATAGAGTAGTTAGGAAACACTCTGTTTGTAAAGTCTGCAAGTGGATATTTTGACCTCTTTGAGGCCTTCGTTGGAAACGGGTTTTTTTCATGTAAGGCTAGACAGAAGAATTCCCAGTAACTTCCTTGTGTTGTGTGTGTTCAACTCACAGAGTTGAACTTTCATTTACACAGAGCAGATTTGAAACACTCTTTTTGTGGAATTTGCAAGTGGAGATTTCAAGCGATTTGAGGCCAAAGGCAGAAAAGGAAATATCTTCGTATAAAAACGAGACAGAATCATGCTCAGAAACTGCTCTGCGATGTGTGCGTTCAACTCTCAGAGTTTAACTTTTCTTTTCATTCAGCAGTTTGGAAACACTCTGTTTGTAAAGTCTGCACGTGCATAATTTGACCGCTTAGAGGCCTTCGTTGGAAACGGGTTTTTTTCATGTAAGGCTAGACAGAAGAATTCCCAGTAACTTTCCTTGTGTTGTGTGCATTCAACTCACAGAGTTGAACGTTCCCTTAGACAGAGCAGATTTGAAACACTCTATTTGTGCAATTTGCAAGTGTAGATTTCAAGCGCTTTAAGGTCAATGGCAGAAAAGGAAATATCTTCGTTTCAAAACTACACAGAATCATTCCCACAAACTGCGTTGTGATGTGTTCGTTCAACTCATAGAGTTTAACCTTTCTGTTCATAGAGCAGTTAGGAAACACTCTGTTTGTAAAGTCTGTAAGTGGATATTCTGACCTCTTGTGGCCTTCGTTGGAAACGGGATTTCTTCATATTCTGCTAGACAGAATAATTCTCAGTAACTTCCTTGTGTTGTGTGTATTCAACTCACAGTAGTTGAAGGATCCTTTACAGCGAGCAGGCTTGAAACACTCTTTTTGTCGAATTTGCAAGTGGAGATTTCAGCCGCTTTGAGGTCAATGGTAGAATAGGAAATATCTTCTTATAGAAACTAGACAAAATGATTCTCATAAACTCCTTTGTGATGTGTGCGTTCAACTCACAGAGTTTAACCTTTCTTTTCATAGAGCAGTTAGGAAACACTCTGTTTGTAAAGTCTGCAAGTGGATATTCAGACCTCTTTGAGACCTTCGTTGGAAACGGGATTTCTTCATATTCTGCTAGACAGAAGAATTCTCAGTAACTTCCTTGTGTTGTGTGTATTCAACTGACAGAGTTGAACTTTCATTTAGAGGGAGCAGATTTGAGACACTGTTTTTGTGGAATTTGCAATTGGAGATTTCAAGCGCTTCGGAGCCAAAGGCAGAAAAGGAAATATCTTCGTATAAAAACTAGGCAGAACCATTCTCAGAAACTGCTGCGTGATGTGTGCGTTCAACTCTCAGAGTTTAACTTTTCTTTTCATTCAGCGGTTTGGAAACACTCTGTTTGTAAAGTCTGCACGTGGATATTTTGACCACTTAGAGGCCTTCGTTGGAATCGGGTTTTTTTCATGTAAGGCTAGACAGAAGAATTCTCAGAAACTTCCTTGTGTTGTGTGTTTTCAACTCACAGAGTTGAACGATGCTTTACACAGAGTAGACTTGAAACACTCTTTTTGTGTAATTTGCAAGTAGAGATTTCAGCCGCTTTGAGGTCAACGGTAGAAAAGGAAATATCTTCGTATAAAAACTAGACAGAATGATTCTCAGAAACTCCTTTGTGATGTGTGCATTCAACTCACAGAGTTTAACCTTTCTTTTCATAGAACAGTTAGGAAACACTCTGTTTGTAAAGTCTGCAAGTGGATATTCAGACCTCTTTGAGGCCTTCGTTGGAAACGGGATTTCTTCATATTATGCTAGACAGAAGAATTCTCAGTAACTTCCTTGTGTTGTGTGTATTCAACTCACAGAGTTGAACGATCCTTTACACAGAGCAGACTTGAAACACTCTTTTTGTGGAAATTGCAAGTGGAGATTTCAGCCGCTTTGAGGTCAATGGTAGAAAAGGAAATATCTTCGTATAAAAACTAGACACAATGATTCTCAGAAACTCCTTTGTGATGAGTGCGTTCAACTCACAGATTTTAACCTTTCTTTTCATAGAGCAGTTAGGAAACACTCTGTTTGTAAAGTCTGCACGTGGATATTTTGACCTCTTTGAGGCCTTCCGTGGAAACGGGATTTTTTCATATAAGGCTAGACAGAAGAATTCTCAGTAACTTCCTTGTGTTGTGTGTATTCAACTCACAGAGTTGAACTTTCATTTACACAGAGCAGATTTGAAACACTCTTTTTGTGGAATTTGCAAATGGAGATTTCAAGCGCTTTGAGGCCAAAGGCAGAAAAGGAAATATCTTCTTATAAAAACTAGACAGAATCATTCTCAGAAACTGCTCTGCGATGTGTGCGTTCAACTCTCAGAGTTTAACTTTTCTTTTCATTCAGCAGTTTGTAAACACTCTGTTTGTAAAGTCTGCACGTTGATAATTTGACCACTTAGAGGCCTTCGTTGGAAACGGGTTTTTTTCATATAAGGCTAGACAGAAGAATTCCCAGTAACTTCCTTGTGTTGTGTACATTCAACTCACAGAGTTGAACGTTCCCTTAGACAGAGCAGATTTGAAACACTCTTTTTGTGCAATTGGCAAATGGAGATTTCAAGCGCTTTAAGGTCAATGGCAGAAAAGGAAATATCTTCGTTTCAAAACTAGACAGAATGATTCTCAGAAAGTCCTTTGTGATGTGTGCGTTCAACTCACAGAGTTCAACCTTTCTTTTCATAGAGCAGTTGGGAAACACTCTGTTTGTAAAGTCTGCAAGTGGATATTCAGACTTCTTTGAGGCCTTCGTTGGAAGCGGGATTTCTTCATATTCTGCTAGACAGAAGAATTCTCAGTAACTTCCTTGTGTTGTGTGTATTCAACTCACAGAGTTGAACGATCCTTTACACAGAGCAGACTTGAAACACTCTTTTTGTGGAATTTGCAATTGGAGATTTCAGCCGCTTTGAGGTCAATGGTAGAATAGGAAATATCTTCCTATAGAAACTAGCCAGAATGATTCTCAGAAACTCCTTTGTGATGTGTGCGTTCAACTCTCAGAGTTTAACTTTTCTTTTCATTCAGCAGGTTGGAAACACTCTGTTTGTAAAGTCTGCACGTGGATAATTTGACCACTTAGAGGCCTTCGTTGGAAACGGGTTTTTTTCCTGTAAGGCTAGACAAAAGAATTCCCAGTAACTTCCTTGTGTTGTGTGTGTTCGACTCACAGAGTTGAACTTTCATTTACAGAGAGCAGATTTGAAACACTCTTTTTGTGGAATTTGCAAGTGGAGATTTCAAGCGCTTTGAGGCCAAAGGCAGAAAAGGAAATATCTTCGTTTCAAAACTAGACAGAATCATTCTCAGAAACTGCTGCGTGATGTGTGCGTTCAACTCTCAGAGTTTAACTTTTCTTTTCATTCAGCGGTTTGGAAACACTCTGTTTGTAAAGTCTGAACGTGGAAATTTTGACCACTTAGAGGCCTTCGTTGGAAACGGGTTTTTTTCTTGTAAGGCTAGACAGAAGAATTCCCAGTAACTTCCTTGTGTTGTGTGCATTCAACTCACAGAGTTGAACGTTCCCTTAGACAGAGCAGATTTGAAACACTCTATTTGTGCAATTTGCAAGTGTAGATTTCAAGCGCTTTAAGGTCAATGGCAGAAAAGGAAATATCTTCGTTTCAAAACTAGACAGAATGATTCTCAGAAACTCCTTTGTGATGTGTGCGTTCAACTCACAGAGTTTAACCTTTCTTTTCATAGAGCAGTTAGGAAACACTCTGTTTGTAAAGTCTGCAAGTGGATATTCAGACCTCCTTGAGGCCTTCGTTGGAAACGGGATTTCTTCATATTATGGTAGACAGAAGAATTCTCAGTAACTTCCTTGTGTTGTGTGTATTCAACTCACAGAGTTGAACGATCCTTTACACAGAGCAGACTTGAAACTCTCTTTTTGTGGAATTTGCAAGTGGAGATTTCAGCCGCTTTGAGGTCAATGGTAGAATAGGAAATATCTTCCTATAGAAACTAGACAGAATGATTCTCAGAAACTCCTTTGTGATGTGTGTGTTCAACTCACAGAATTTAACCTTTCTTTTCATAGAGCAGTTAGTAAACACTCTGTTTATAAAGTCTGCAAGTGGATATTCAGACCCCTTTGAGGCCTTCGTTGGAATCGGGATTTCTTCATATTATGCAAGACAGAAGAATTCCCAGTAACTTCCTTGTGTTGTGTGTGTTCAACTCACAGCGTTGAACTTTCATTTACACAGAGCAGATTTGAAACACTCTTTTTGTGGAATTTGCAAGTGGAGATTTCAAGCGCTTTGAGGCCAAAGGCAGAAAAGGAAATATCTTCGTATAAAAATTAGACAGAATCATTCTCAGAAACTGCTCTGCGATGTGTGCGTTCAACTCTCAGAGTTTAACTTTGCTTTTCATTCAGCAGTTTGGAAACACTCTGTTTGTAAAGTCTGCACGTGGATAATTTGACCACTTAGAGGCCTTCGTTGGAAACGGGTTTTTTTTATGTAAGGCTAGACAGAAGAATTCCCAGTAACTTCCTTGTGTTGTGTGCATTCAACTAACAGAGTTGAACGTTCCCTTAGACAGAGCAGATTTGAAACACTCTATTTGTGCAATTTGCAAGTGTAGATTTCAAGCGCTTTAAGGTCAATGGCAGAAAAGGAAATATCTTCGTTTCAAAACTAGACAGAATCATTCCCACAAACTGCGTTGTGATGTGTTCGTTCAACTCACAGAGTTTAACCTTTCTGTTCATAGAACAGTTAGGAAACACTCTGTTTGTAAAGTCTGCAAGTGGATATTCAGACCTCTTTGAGGCCTTCGTTGGAAACGGGATTTCTTCATATTATGCTAGACAGAAGAATTCTCAGTAACTTCCTTGTGTTGTGTGTATTCAACTCACAGAGTTGAACGATCCTTTACACAGACCAGACTTGAAACACTCTTTTTGTGGAATTTGCAAATGGAGATTTCAGCCGCTTTGAGGTCAATGGTAGAAAAGGAAATATCTTCGTATAAACACTAGACAGAATGATTCTCAGAAACTCCTTTGTGATGTGTGCGTTCAACTCACAGAGTTTAACCTTTCTTTTCATAGAGCAGTTAGGAAACACTCTGTTTGTAAAGTCTGCAAGTGGATATTCAGACATCTTTGAGGCTTTCGTTGGAAACGGGATTTCTTCATATTCTGCTATACAGAAGAATTCTCAGAAACTTCCTTGTGTTGTGTGTTTTCAACTCACAGAGTTGAACGATGCTTTACACAGAGCAGACTTGAAACACTCTTTTTGTGGAATTTGCAAGTGGAGATTTCAGCCGCTTTGAGGTCAATGGTAGAATAGGAAATATCTTCCTATAGAAACTAGACAGAATCATTCTCAGAAACTGCTCTGCGATGTGTGCGTTCAACTCTCAGAGTTTAACTTTTCTTTTCATTCAGCAGTTTGGAAACACTCTGTTTGTAAAGTCTGAAGGTGGATATTTTGACCACTTAGAGGCCTTCGTTGGAAACGGGTTTTTTTCCTGTAAGGCTAGACAGAAGAATTCCCAGTAACTTCCTTGTGTTGTGTACATTCAACTCACAGAGTTGAACGTTCCCTTAGACAGAGCAGACTTGTAACACTCTTTTTGTGTAATTTGCAAGTGGAGATTTCAGCCGCTTTGAAGTCAAAGGTAGAAAAGGAAATATCTTCCTATAAAAAGTAGACAGAATCATTCCCACAAACTGCGTTGTGATGTGTTCGTTCAACTCACAGAGTTTAACCTTTCTGTTCATAGAGCAGTTAGGAAACACTCTGTTTGTAAAGTCTGCAAGTGGATATTCAGACCTCCTTGAGGCCTTCGTTGGAAACGGGATTTCTTCATATTCTGCTAGACAGAATAATTCTCAGTAACTTCCTTGTGTTGTGTGTATTCAACTCACAGAGTTGAACGATCCTTTACACAGAGCAGACTTGAAACACTCTTTTTGTGGAATTTGCAAGTGTAGATTTCAAGCGCTTTAAGGTCAATGGCAGAAAAGGAAATATCTTCGTTTCAAAACTAGACAGAATGATTCTCAGAAACTCCTTTGTGATGTGTGCGTTGAACTCACAGAGTTTAACCTTTCTTTTCATAGAGCAGTTAGGAAACACTCTGTTTGTAAAGTCTGCAAGTGGATATTCAGACATCGTTGAGGCTTTCCTTGGAAACGGGATTTCTTCATATTCTGCTAGAAAGAAGAATTCCCAGTAACTTCCTTGTGTTGTGTGTGTTCAACTCACAGAGTTGAACTTTCATTTACACAGAGCAGATTTGAAACACTCTTTTTGAGGAATTTGCAAGTGGAGATGTCAAGCGCTTTGAGGCCAAAGGCAGAAAAGGAAATATCTTCGTTTCAAAACTAGACAGAATCATTCTCAGAAACTGCTCTGCGATGTGTGCGTTCAACTCTCAGAGTTTAACTTTTCTTTTCATTCAGCAGTTTGGAAACACTCTGTTTGTAAAGTCTCCACGTGGATATTTTGACCACTTAGAGGCCTTCGTTGGAAACGGGTTTTTTTCCTGTAAGGCTAGACAGAAGAATTCCCAGTAACTTCCTTGTGTTGTGTACATTCAACTCACAGAGTTGAACGTTCCCTTAGACAGAGCAGATTTGAAACACTCTTTTTGTGCAATTGGCAAGTGGAGATTTCAAGCGCTTTGAGGTCAATGGCAGAAAAGGAAATATCTTCGTTTCAAAACTAGACAGAATAATTCCCACAAACTGCGTTGTGATGTGTTCGTTCAACTCACAGAGTTTAACCTTTGTTTTCATAGAGGAGTTAGGAAACAGTCTGTTTGTAAATTCTGTAAGTGGATATTGTGACATCTTGTGGCCTTCGTTGGAAACGGGATTTCTTCATATTCTGCTATACAGAAGAATTCTCAGTAACTTCCTTGTGTTGTGTGTATTCAACTCAAAGAGTTCAACGATCCTTTATACAGAGCAGACTTGAAACACTCTTTTTGTGGAATTTGCAAGTGGAGATCTCAGCCGATTTGTGGTCAATAGTAGAAAAGGAAATATCTTCGTATAAAAACTAGACAGAATGACTCTCAGAAACTCCTTTGTGATGTGTGCGTTCAACTCACAGAGTTTAACTTTTCTTTTCATAGACCAGTTAGGAAACACTCTGTTTGTAATGTCTGCAAGTGGATATTCAGACCTCTTTGAGGCCTTCGTTGGAAACGGGATTTCTTCATATTCTGCTAGACAGAAGAATTCCCAGTAACTTCCTTGTGTTGTGTGTGTTCAACTCACAGAGTTGAACTTTCATTTACACAGAGCAGATTTGAAACACTCTTTTTGTGGAATTTGCAAGTGGAGATTTCAAGCGCTTTGAGGCCAAAGGCGGAAAAGGAAATATCTTCGTTTCAAAACTAGACAGAATCATTCCCAGAAACTGCTCTGCGATGTGTGCGTTCAACTCTCAGAGTTTAACTTTTCTTTTCATTCAGCAGTTTGGAAACACTCTGTTTGTAAAGTCTGCACGTGGATATTTTGACCACTTAGAGGCCTTCGTTGGAAACGGGTTTTTTTCCTGTAAGGCTAGACAGAAGAATTCCCAGTAACTTCCTTGTGTTGTGTACATTCAACTCACAGAGTGGAACGTTCCCTTAGACAGAGCAGATTTGAAACACTCTTTTTGTGCAATTGGCAAGTGGTGATTTCAGCCGCTTTGAGGTCAATGGTATAAAAGGAAATATCTTCGTATAAAAACTAGACAGAATCATTCCCACAAACTGCGTTGTGATGTGTTCGTTCAACTCACAGAGTTTAACCTTTCTGTTCATAGAGCAGTTAGGAAACACTCTGTTTGTAAAGTCTGCAAGTGGATATTCAGACCTCTTTGAGGCCTTCGTTGGAAACGGGATTTCTTCATATTATGCTAGACAGAAGAATTCTCAGTAACTTCCTTGTGTTGTGTGTATTCAACTCACAGAGTTGAACGATCCTTTACACAGAGCGGACTTGAAACACTCTTTTTGTGGAATTTGCAAGTGGAGATTTCAGCCGCGTTGAGGTCAATGGTAGAAAAGAAAATATCTTCGTATAAAAACTAGACAGAATGATTCTCAGAAACTCCTTTGTGATGTGTGTGTTCAACTCACAGAGTTTAACCTTTCTTTTCATAGAGCAGTTAGGAAACACTCTGTTTGTAAAGTCTGCAAGTGGATATTCAGACCTCTTTGAGGCCTTCATTGGAAACGGGTTTTTTTCATATAAGGCTAGACAGAAGAATTCCCAGTAACTTCCTTGTGTTGTGTGTGTTCAACTCACAGAGTTGAACTTTCATTTACACAGAGCAGATTTGAAACACTCTTTTTGTGGAATTTGCAAGTGGAGATTTCAAGCGATTTGAGACCAAAGGCAGAAAAGGAAATATCTTCGTTTCAAAACTAGACAGAATCATTCTCAGAAACTGCTGTGTGATGTGTGCGTTCAACTCTCAGAGTTTAACTTTTCTTTTCATTCAGCGGTTTGGAAACACTCTGTTTGTAAAGTCTGCACGTGGATATTTTGACCACTTAGAGGCCTTCGTTGGAAACGGGTTTTTTTCATGTAAGGCTAGACAGAAGAATTCTCAGTAACTTCCTTGTGTTGTGTACATTCAACTCACAGAGTTGAACGATCCTTTACACAGAGCAGACTTGTAACACTCTTTTTGTGGAATTTGCAAGTGGAGATTTCAGCCGCTTTGAAGTCAAAGGTAGAAAAGGAAATATCTTCCTATAAAAACTAGACAGAATGATTGTCAGAAACTCCTTTGTGATGTGTGCGTTCAACTCACAGAGTTTAACCTTTCTTTTCATAGAGCAGTTAGGAAACACTCTGTTTGTAAAGTCTGCAAGTGGATATTCAGACCTCTTTGAGGCCTTCGTTGGAAACGGGATTTCTTCATACTGTGCTAGACAGAAGAATTCTCAGTAACTTCCTTGTGTTGTGTGTATTCAATTCACAGAGTTGAACGATCCTTTACACAGAGCAGACTTGTAACACTCTTTTTGTGGAAATTGCAAGTGGAGATTTCAGCCGCTTTGAAGTCAAAGGTAGAAAAGGAAATATCTTCCTATAAAAACTAGACAGAATGATTCTCAGAAACTTCTTTGTGATGTGTGCGTTCAACTCACAGAGTTTAACCTTTCTTTTCATAGAGCAGTTAGGAAACACTCTGTTTGTAAACTCTGCAAGTGGATATTCAGACCTCTTCGAGGCCTTCGTTGGAAACGGGATTTCTTCATACTGTGCTAGACAGAAGAATTCCCAGTAACTTCCTTGTGTTGTGTGTGTTCAAGTCACAGAGTTGAACTTTCATTTACACAGAGAAGATTTGAAACACTCTTTTTGTGGAATTTGCAAGTGGAGATTTCAAGCGCTTTGAGGCCAAAGGCAGAAAAGGAAATATCTTCGTTTCAAAACTAGACAGAATCATTCTCAGAAACTGCTCTGCGATGTGTGCGTTCAACTCTCAGAGTTTAACTTTTCTTTTCATTCAGCAGTTTGGAAACACTCTGTTTGTAAAGTCTGCACGTGGATATTTTGACCATTTAGAGGCTTTCGTTGGAAACGGGTTTTTTTCTTGTAAGGCTAGACAGAAGAATTCCCAGTAACTTCCTTGTGTTGTGTACATTCAACTCACAGAGTTGAACGTTTCCTTAGAGAGAGCAGATTTGAAACACTCTTTTTGTGCAATTGGCAAGTGGTGATTTCAGCCGCTTTGAGGTCAATGGTAGAAAAGGAAATATCTTCGTATAAAAACTAGACAGAATGATTCTCAGAAACTCCTTTGTGATGTGTGCGTTCAACTCACAGAGTTTACCCTTTCTTTTCATAGAGCAGTTAGGAAACACTCTGTTTGTAAAGTCTGCAATTGGATATTCAGACATCCTTGAGGCTTTCGTTGGAAACGGGATTTCTTCATATTCTGCTAGAAAGAAGAATTCTCAGTAACTTCCTTGTGTTGTGTGTATTCAACTCACAGAGTTGAACGATCCTTTACACAGAGCAGACTTGAAACACTCTTTTTGTGGAATTTGCAAGTGGAGATTTCAGCCGCTTTGAAGTCAATGGTAGAATAGGAAATATCTTCCTATAGAAACTAGACAGAATGATTCTCAGAAACTCCTTTGTGATGTGTGTGTTCAACTCACAGAGTTTAACCTTTCTTTTCATAGAGCAGTTAGTAAACACTCTGTTTATAAAGTCTGCAAGTGGATATTCAGACCCCTTTGAGGTCTTCGTTGGAAACGGGATTTCTTCATATTATGCTAGACAGAAGAATTCCCAGTAACTTCCTTGTGTTGTGTGTGTTCAACTCACAGAGTTGAACTTTCATTTACACAGAGCAGATTTGAAACACTCTTTTTGTGGAATTTGCAAGTGGAGATTTCAAGCGCTTTGAGGCCAAAGGCAGAAAAGGGAATATCTTCGTATAAAAACTAGACAGAATCATTCTCAGAAACTGCTCTGCGATGTGTGCGTTCAACTCTCAGAGTTTGACTTTTCTTTTCATTCAGCAGTTTGGAAACACTCTGTTTGTAAAGTCTGCACGTGGATATTTTGACCACTTAGAGGCCTTCGTTGGAAACGGGTTTTTTTCCTGTAAGGCTAGACAGAAGAATTCCCAGTAACTTCCTTGTGTTGTGTACATTCAACTCACAGAGTTGAACGTTCCCTTAGACAGAGCAGATTTGAAACACTCTTTTTGTGCAATTGGCAAATGGAGATTTCAAGCGCTTTAAGGTCAATGGCAGAAAAGGAAATATCTTCGTTTCAAAACTAGACAGAATCATTCCCACAAACTGCGTTGTGATGTGTTCGTTCAACTCACAGAGTTTAACCTTTCTTTTCATAGAGCAGTTAGGAAACAGTCTGTTTGTCAATTCTGTAAGTGGATATTCTGACATCTTGTGGCCTTCGTTGGAAACGGGATTTCCTCATACTCTGCTAGACAGAAGAATTCTCAGTAACTTCCTTGTGTTGTGTGTATTCGACTCACAGAGTTGAACGATCCTTTACACAGAGCATACTTGAAACACTCTTTTTGTGGAATTTGCAAGTGGAGATTTCAGCCGCTTTGAGGTCAATGGTAGAATAGGAAATATCTTCCTATAGAAACTAGACAGAATGATTCTCAGAAACTCCTTTGTGATGTGTGCGTTCAACTCACAGAGTTTAACCTTTCTTTTCATAGAGCAGTTAGGAAACACTCTGTTTGTAAAGTCTGCAAGTGGATATTCAGACATCTTTGAGGCTTTCTTTGAAATGGGATTTCTTCATATTCTGCTAGACAGAAGAATTCCCAGTAACTTCCTTGTGTTGTGTGTGTTCAACTCACAGAGTTGAACTTTCATTTACACAGAGCAGATTTGAAACACTCTTTTTGTGGAATTTGCAAGTGGAGATTTCAAGCGCTGTGAGGCCAAAGGCAGAAAAGGAAATATCCTCGTATAAAAACTAGACAGAATCATTCTCAGAAACTGCTGCATGATGTGTGCGTTCAACTCTCAGAGTTTAACTTTTCTTTTCATTCAGCGGTTTGGAAACACTCTGTTTGTAAAGTCTGCACGTGGATATTTTGACCACTTAGAGGCCTTCGTTGGAAACGGGTTTTTTCATGTAAGGCTAGACAGAAGAATTCCCAGTAACTTCCCTTGTGTTGTGTGCATTCAACTCACAGAGTTGAACGTTCCCTTAGACAGAGCAGATTTGAAACACTCTATTTGTGCAATTTGCAAGTGTAGTTTTCAAGCTCTTTAAGGTCAACGGCAGAAAAGGAAATATCTTCGTTTCAAAACTAGACAGAATCATTCCCACAAACTGCGTTGTGATGTGTTCGTTCAACTCACAGAGTTTAACGTTTCTTTTCATAGAGCATTTAGGAAACAGTCTGTTTGTCAATTCTGTAAGTGGATATTCTGACATCTTGTGGCCTTCGTTGGAAACGGGATTTCTTCATATTCTGCTAGACAGAAGAATTCTCAGTAACTTCCTTGTGTTGTGTTTATTCAACACACAGAGTTGAATGATCCTTTACACAGAGCAGACTTGAAACACTCTTTTTGTGGAATTTGCAAGTGGAGATTTCAGCCGCTTTGTGGTCAATGGTAGAAAAGGAAACTATCTTCATATAAAGACTAGACAGAATGATTCTCAGAAACTCCTTTGTGATGTGTGCGTTCAACTCACGGAGTTTAACCTTTCTTTTCATAGAGCAGTTAGGAAACACTCTGTAAAGTCTGCAAGTAGATATTCAGACCTCTCTGAGGCCTTCGTTGGAAACGGGATTTCTTCATATTATGCTAGACAGAAGAATTCTCAGTAACTTCCTTGTGTTGTGTGCATTCAACTCACAGAGTTGAAAGATCCTTTACACAGAGCAGATTAGAAACAATATTTTTGTGGATTTTGCAAGCGGAGATTTCAGCCACTTTGAGGTCAATGGTAGAAAAGGAAATATCTTCATAAAAAAACTAGACAGAATCATTCTCAGAAACTGCTGCGTGATGTGTGCGTTCAACTCTCAGAGTTTAACTTTTCTTTTCATTCAGCGGTTTGGAAACACTCTGTTTGTAAAGTCTGCACGTGGAAATTTTGACCACTTAGAGGCCTTCGTTGGAAACGGGTTTTTTTCATGTAAGGCTCGACAGAAGAATTCCCAGTAACTTCCTTGTGTTGTGTACATTCAACTCACAGAGTTGAACGTTCCCTTACACAGAGCAGATTTGAAACACTCTTTTTGTGCAATTGGCAAGTGGAGATTTCAAGCGCTTTAAGGTCAATGGCAGAAAAGGAAATATCTTCGTTTCAAAACTAGACAGAATCATTCCCACAAACTGCGTTGTGATGTGTGCGTTCAACTCACAGAGTTTAACTTTTCTTTTCATAGAGCAGTTAGGAAACACTCTGTTTGTAAAGTCTGCAAGTGGATATTCAGACCTCTTTGAGGCCTTCGTTGGAAACGGGATTTCTTCATATTCTGCTAGACAGAAGAATTCTCAGTAACTTCCTTGTGTTGTGTGTATTCAACTCACAGAGTTGAACGATCCTTTACACAGAGCAGACTTGGAACACTGTTCTTGTGGAATTTGCAAGTGGAGATTTCAGCCGCGTTGAGGTCAATGGTAGAAAAGGAAATATCTTCGTATAAAAACTAGACAGAATGATTCTCAGAAACTCCTTTGTGATGTGTGCGTTCAACTCACAGAGTTTAACCATTCTTTTCATAGAGCAGTTAGGAAACACTCTGTTTGTAAAGTCTGCAAGTGGATATTCAGACCTCCTTGAGGCCTTCGTTGGAAACGGGATTTCTTTATATTCTGCTAGACAGAAGGATTCCCAGTAACTTCCTTGTGTTGTGTGTGTTCAACTCACAGAGTTGAACTTTCATTTACAAAGAGCAGATTTGAAACACTCTTTTTGTGGAATTTGCAAGTGGAGATTTCAAGCGCTTTGAGGCCAAAGGCAGAAAAGTAAATATCTTCGTATAAAAACTAGACAGAATCATTCTCAGAAACTGCTCTGCGATGTGTGCGTTCAACTCTCAGAGTTTAACTTTTCTTTTCATTCAGCAGTTTGGAAACACTCTGTTTGTAAAGTCTGCACGTGGATAATTTGGCCACTTAGAGGCCTTCGTTGGAAACGTGTTTTTTTCATGTAAGGCTAGACAGAAGAATTCCCAGTAACTTCCTTGTGTTGTGTGCATTCAACTCACAGAGTTGAACGTTCCCTTAGACAGAGCAGATTTGAAACAGCCTATTTGTGCAATTTGCAAGTGTAGATTTCAAGCGCTTTAAGGTCAACGGCTGAAAAGGAAATATCTTCGTTTCAAAACTATACAGAATGATTCTCAGAAACTCCTTTGTGATGTGTGCGTTCAACTCACAGAGTTTAACCTTACTTTTCATAGAGCAGTTAGGAAACACTCTGTTTGTAAAGTCTGCAAGTGGATATTCAGACCTCCTTGAGGCCTTCATTGGAAACGGGATTTCTTCATGTTCTGCTAGACAGAATAATTCTCAGTAACTTCCTTGTGTTGTGTGTATTCAACTCACAGAGTTGCACGATCCTTTACACAGAGCAGACTTGAAACACTCTTTTTGTGGAATTTGCAAGTGGAGATTTCAGCCGCTTTGAGGTCAATAGTAGAAAAGGAAATATCTTCGTAGAAAAACTACACAGAATGATTCTCAGAAACTCCTTTGTGATGTGTGTGTTCAACTCACTGAGTTTAACCTTTCTTTTCATAGAACAGTTAGTAAACACTCTGTTTATAAAGTCTGCAAATGGATATTCAGACCCATTTGAGGCCTTCGTTGGAAACGGGATTTCTTCATATTATGCTAGACAGAAGAATTCCCAGTAACTTCCTTGTGTTGTGTGTGTTCAACTCACATAGTTGAACTTTCATTTACACAGAGCAGATTTGAAACACTCTTTTTGTGGAATTTGCAAATGGAGATTTCAAGCGCTTTGAGGCCAAAGGCAGAAAAGCAAATATCTTCGTATAAAAACTAGACAGAATCATTCTCAGAAACTGCTCTGCGATGTGTGCGTTCAACTCTCAGAGTTTAACTTTTCTTTTCATTCAGCAGTTTGGAAACACTCTGTTTGTAAAGTCTGCACGTGGATATTTTGACCACTTAGAGGCCTTCGTTGGAAATGGGTTTTTTTCCTGTAAGGCTAGACAGAAGAATTCGCAGTAACTTCCTTGTGTTGTGTACATTCAACTCACAGAGTTGAACGTTCCCTTAGACAGAGCAGATTTGAAACACTCTTTTTGTGCAATTGGCAAGTGGAGATTTCAAGCGCTTTAAGGTCAATGGCAGAAAAGGAAATATCTTCGTTTCAAAACTAGACAGAATCATTCCCACAAACTGCGTTGTGATGTGTTCGTTCAACTCACAGAGTTTAACCTTTCTGTTCATAGAGCAGTTAGGAAACACTCTGTTTGTAAAGTCTGTAAGTGGATATTCTGACATCTTGTGGCCTTCGTTGGAAACGGGATTTATTCATATTCTGCTAGACAGAAGAATTCTCAGTAACTTCCTTGTGTTGTGTGTATTCAACTCACAGAGTTGAATGATCCTTTACACAGAACAGACTTGAAACACTCTTTTTGTGGAATTTGCAAGTGGAGATTTCAGCCGCTTTGTGGTCAATGGTAGAATAGGAAATATCTTCCTATAGAAACTAGACAGAATGATTCTCAGAAAATCTTTTGTGATGTGTGCGTTCAACTCACAGAGTTTAACTTTTCTTCTCATAGAGCAGTTAGGAAACACTCTGTTTGTAAAGTCTGCAAGTGGATATTCAGACCTCCTTGAGGCCTTCGTTGGAAACGGGATTTCTTCATATTCTGCCAGACAGAAGGATTCCCAGTAACTTCCTTGTGTTGTGTGTGTTCAACTCACAGAGTTGAACTTTCATTTACAAAGAGCAGATTTGAAACACTCTTTTTGTGGAATTTGCAAGTGGAGATTTCAAGCGCTTTGAGGCCAAAGGCAGAAAAGGAAATATCTTCGTATAAAAACTAGACAGAATCATTCTCAGAAACTGCTCTGCGATGTGTGCGTTCAACTCTCAGAGTTTAACTTTTCTTTTCATTCAGCAGTTTGGAAACAATCTGTTTGTAACGTCTGCACGTGAATAATTTGACCACTTAGAGGCCTTCGTTGGAAACGGGTTTTTTTCATGTAAGGCTAGACAGAAGAATTCCCAGTAACTTCCTTGTTTTGTGTACATTCAACTCACAGAGTTGAACGTTCCCTTAGATAGAGCAGATTTGAAACACTCTTTTTGTGCAATTGGCTAGTGGTGATTTCAGCCGCTTTGAGGTCAATGGTAGAAAAGGAAATATCTTCGTATAAAAACTAGACAGAATGATTCTCAGAAACTTCATTGTGATGTGTGCGTTCAACTCACAGAGTTTAACCTTTCTTTTCATACAGCAGTTAGGAAACACTCTGTTTGTAAACTCTGCAAGTGGATATTCAGACCTCTTTGAGGCCTTCGTTGGAAACGGGAATTCTTCATACTGTGCTAGACAGAAGAATTCTCAGTAACTTCCTTGTGTTGTGTGTATTCAACTCACAGAGTTGAAGGATCCTTTACAGAGAGCAGGCTTGAAACACTCTTTTTGTCGAATTTGCAAGTGGAGATTTCAGCCGCTTTGAGGTCAATGGTAGAATAGGAAATATCTTCTTATAGAAACTAGACAAAATGATTCTCAGAAACTTCTTTGTGATGTGTGCGTTCAACTCACAGAGTTTAACCTTTCTTTTCATAGAGCAGTTAGGAAACCCTCTGTTTGTAAACTCTGCAAGTGGATATTCAGACCACTTTGAGGCCTTCGTTGGAAACGGGATTTCTTCATACTATGCTAGACAGAAGAATTCCCAGTAACTTCCTTGTGTTGTGTGTGTTCAACTCACAGAGTTGAACTTTCATTTACACAGAGCAGATTTGAAACACTCTTTTTGTGGAATTTGCAAATGGAGATTTCAAGCGCTTTGGGGCCAAAGGCAGAAAAGGAAATATCTTCGTATAAAAACTAGACAGAATCATTCTCAGAAACTGCTCTGCGATGTGTGCGTTCAACTCTCAGAGTTTAACTTTTCGTCTCATTCAGCAGTTTGGAAACACTCTGTTTGTAAAGTCTGCACGTGGATAATTTGACCACTTAGAGGCCTTCGTTGGAAACGGGTTTTTTTCATGTAAGGCTAGACAGAAGAATTCCCAGTAACTTCCTTGTGTTGTGTACATTCAACTCACAGAGTTGAACGTTCCCTTAGACAGAGCAGATTTGAAACACTCTTTTTGTGCAATTGGCAAGTGGAGATTTCAAGCGCTTGAGGTCAATGGCAGAAAAGGAAATATCTTCGTTTCAAAACTAGACAGAATCATTCCCACAAACTGCGTTGTGATGGGTTCGTTCAACTCACAGAGTTTAACCTTTCTTTTCATAGAGCAGTTAGGAAACAGTCTGTTTGTCAATTCTGTAAGTGGATATTCTGACATCTTGTGGCCTTCGTTGGAAACGGGATTTCTTTATATTCTGCTAGACAGAATAATTCTCAGTAACTTCCTTGTGTTGTGTGTATTCAACTCACAGAGTTGAACGATCCTTTACAGAGTGCAAACTTGAAACACTCTTTTTGTGGAATTTGCAAGTGGAGATTTCAGCCGCTTTGAGGTCAATGATAGAATAGGAAATATCTTCCTATAGAAACTAGACAGAATGATTCTCAGAAACTCCTTTGTGATGTGTGTGTTCAACTCACAGAGTTTAACCTTTCTTTTCATTCAGCAGTTAGGAAACACTCTGTTTGTAAAGTCTGCAAGTGGATATTCAGACCTCTTTGAGGCCTTCGTTGGAAACGGGTTTTTTTCATATAAGGCTAGACAGAAGAATTCCCAGTAACTTCCTTGTGTTGTGTGTGTTCAACTCACAGAGTTGAACTTTCATTTACACAGAGCAGATTTGAAACACTCTTTTTGTGGAATTTGCAAGTGGAGATTTCAAGCGCTTTGTGGCCAAAGGCAGAAAAGGAAATATCTTCGTATAAAAACTAGACAGAATCATTCTCAGAAACTGCTGCGTGATGTGTGCGTTCAACTCTCAGAGTTTAACTTTTCTTTTCATTCAGAGGTTTGGAAACACTCTGTTTGTAAAGTCTGCACGTGGATATTTTGACCACTTAGAGGCCTTCGTTGGAAACGGGTTTTTTGCATGTAAGGCTAGACAGAAGAATTCCCAGTAACTTCCTTGTGTTGTGTGCATTCAACTCACAGAGTTGAACGTTCCCTTAGACAGAGCAGATTTGAAACACTCTATTTGTGCAATTTGCAAGTGTAGATTTCAAGCGCTTTAAGGTCAATGGCAGAAAAGGAAATATCTTCGTTTCAAAACTAGACAGAATCATTCCCACAAACTGCGTTGTGATGTGTTCGTTCAACTCACAGAGTTTAACCTTTCTGTTCATAGAGCAGTTAGGAAACACTGTGTAAAGTCTGTAAGTGGATATTCTGACATCTTGTGGCCTTCGTTGGAAACGGGATTTCTTCATATTCTGCTAGACAGAAGAATTCTCAGTAACTGCCTTGTGTTGTGTGTATTCAACTCACAGAGTTGAACGATCCTTTACACAGAGCAGACTTGAAACACTCTTTTTGTGGAACTTGCAAGTGGAGATTTCAGCCGCTTTGAGGTCAATGGTAGAATAGGAAATATCTTCCTATAGAAACTAGACAGAATGATTCTCAGAAACTTCTTTGTGATGTGTGCGTTGAACTCACAGAGTTTAACCTTTCTTTTCATAGAGCAGTTAGGAAACACTCTGTTTGTAAACTCTGCAAGTGGATATTCAGACCTCTTTGAGGCCTTCGTTGGAAACGGGATTTCTTCATACTGTGCTAGACAGAAGAATTTTCAGTAACTTCCTTGTGTTGTGTGTATTCAACTCACAGAGTTGAACGATCCTTTACACAGAGCAGACTTGAAACACTCTTTTTGTGGAAATTGCAAGTGGAGATTTCAGCCGCTTTGAGGTCAATGGTAGAAAAGGAAATATCTTCGTATAAAAACTAGACACAATGATTCTCAGAAACTCCTTTGTGATGTGTGCGTTCAACTCACAGAGTTTAACCTTTCTTTTCATAGAGCAGTTAGGAAACACTCTGCTTGTAAAGTCTGCATGTGGATATTCAGACCTCTTTGAGGCCTTCGTTGGAAACGGGTTTTTTTCATATAAGGCTAGACAGAAGAATTCCCAGTAACTTCCTTGTGTTGTGTACATTCAACTCACAGAGTTGAACGTTCCCTTAGACAGAGCAGATTTGAAACACTCTTTTTGTGCAATTGGCAAATGGAGATTTCAAGCGCTTTAAGGTCAATGGCAGAAAAGGAAATATCTTCGTTTCAAAACTAGACAGAATCATTCTCAGAAACTGCTGCGTGATGTGTGCGTTCAACACTCATAGTCTAACTTTTCTTTTCATTCAGCGGTTTGGAAACACTCTGTTTGTAAAGTCTGAACGTGCATATTTTGACCACTTAGAGGCCTTCGTTGGAAACGGGTTTTTTTCATGTAAGGCTAGACAGAAGAATTCCCAGTAACTTCCTTGTGTTGTGTCCATTCAACTCACAGAGTTGAACGTTCCCTTAGACAGAGCAGATTTGAAACACTCTATTTGTGCAATTTGCAAGTGTAGATTTCAAGCACTTTAAGGTCAACGGCAGAAAAGGAAATATCTTCGTTTCAAAACTAGACAGAATCATTCCCACAAACTGCGTTGTGATGTGTTCGTTCAACTCACAGAGTTTAACCTTTCTGTTCATAGAGCAGTTAGGAAACACTCTGTTTGTAAAGTCTGCAAGTGGATATTCAGACCTCCTTGAGGCCTTCGTTGGAAACGGGATTTCTTCATATTCTGCTAGACAGAAGAATTCCCACTAACATCCTTGTGTTGTGTGTGTTCAACTCACAGAGTTGAACTTTCATTTACACAGAGCAGATTTGAAACACTCTTTTTGTGGAATTTGCAAATGGAGATTTCAAGCGCTTTGAGGCCAAAGGCAGAAAAGGAAATATCTTCGTTTCAAAACTAGACAGAATGATTCTCAGAAACTCCTTTGTGATGTGTGCGTGCAACTCACAGAGTTTAACTTTTCTTTTCATAGAGCAGTTAGGAGACACTCTGTTTGTAAAGTCTGGAAGTGGATATTCAGACCTCCTTGAGGCCTTCGTTGGAAACGGGATTTCTTCATATTCTGCTAGACAGAAGAATTCTCAGTAACTTCCTCGTGTTGTGTGTATTCAACCTCACAGAGTTGAACGATCCTTTACACAGAGCAGACTTGAAACACACTTTTTGTGGAATTTGCAAGTGGAGATTTCAGCCGCTTTGAGGTCAATGGTAGAAAAGGAAATATCTTCGTATAAAGACTAGACAGAATCATTCCCACAAACTGCGTTGTGATGTGTGCGTTCAAGTCAAAGAGTTTAACCTTTCTTTTCATAGAGCAGTTAGGAAACACTCTGTTTGTAAAGTCTGCAAGTGGATATTCAGACCTCCTTGAGGCCTTCGTTGGAAACGGGATTTCTTCATATTCTGCTAGACAGAAGAATTCTCAGAAACTTCCTTGTGTTGTGTGTATTCAACTCACAGAGTTGAACGATCGTTTACACAGAGTAGACTTGAGACACTCTTTCTGTGGAATTTGCAAGTGGAGATTTCAGCCGCTTTGAGGTCAATGGTAGAAAAGTAAATATCTTCGTATAAAGACTAGACAGAACGATTCTCAGAAACTCCTTTGTGATTTGTGCGTACAACTCACAGAGTTTAACCTTTCTTTTCATAGAGCAGTTAGGAAACACTCTCTTTGTAAAGTCTGCAAGTGGATATTCAGACCTCTTTGAGGCCTTCGTTGGAAACGGGATTTCTTCATATTCTGCTAGACAGAAGAATTCTCAGTAACTTCCTTGTGTTGTGTTTATTCAACTGACAGAGTTGAACTTTCATTTAGAGAGAGCAGATTTGAAACACTGTTTTTGTGGAATTTGCAAGTGGAGATTTCAAGCTTTGGGGCCAAAGGCAGAAAAGGAAATATCTTCGTATAAAAACTAGACAGAATCATTCTCAGAAACTGCTGCGTGATGTGTGCGTTCAACTCTCAGAGTTTAACTTTTCTTTTCATTCAGCGGTTTGGAAACACTCTGTTTGTATAGTCTGCACGTGGATATTTTGACCACTTAGAGGCCTTCGTTGGAAACGGGTTTTTTTCATGTAAGGCTAGACAGAAGAATTCCCAGTAACTTCCTTGTGTTGTGTGCATTCAACCCACAGAGTTGAACGTTCCCCTAGACAGAGCAGATTTGAAACACTCTATTTGTGCAATTTGCAAGTGTAGTTTTCAAGCTCTTTTAGGTCAACGGCAGAAAAGGAAATATCTTGGTTTCAAAACTAGACAGAATCATTCCCACAAACTGCGTTGTGATGTCTTCGTTCAACACACAGAGTTTAACCTTTCTTTTCATAGAGCAGTTAGGAAACAGTCTGTTTGTAAATTCTGTAAGTGGATATTCTGACATCTTGTGGCCTTCGTTGGAAACGGGATTTCTTCATATTCTGCTAGACAGAAGAATTCTCAGAATCTTCCTTGTGTTGTGTGTATTCAACTCACAGAGGTGAACGGTCCTTTACACAGAGCAGACTTGAAACACTCTTTTTGTGGAATTTGCAAGTGGAGATTTCAGCCGCTTTGAGGTCCATGGTAGAAAAGGAAATATCTTCGTATAAAAACTAGACAGAATGATTCTCAGAACCTCCTTTGTGATGTGTGCGTTCAACTCACAGAGTTTAACCTTTCTTTTCATAGAGCAGTTAGGAAACACTCTGTTTGTAAAGTCTGCAAGTGGATATTCAGACATCCTTGAGGCTTTCGTTGGAAACGGGATTTCTTCATATTCTGCTAGAAAGAAGAATTCTCAGTAACTTCCTTGTGTTGTGTGTATTCAACTGACAGAGTTGAACTTTCATTTAGAGAGAGCAGATTTGAAACACTGTTTTTGTGGAATTTGCAAGTGGAGATATCAAGCGCCTTGGGGCCAAAGGCAGAAAAGGAAATATCTTCGTTTAAAAAGTAGACAGAATGATTCTCAGAAACTCCTTTGTGATGTGTGCGTTCAACTCACAGAGTTTAACTTTTCTTTTCATAGAGCAGTTAGGAAACACTCTGTTTGTAAAGTCTGCAAGTGGATATTCAGACCTCTTTGAGGCCTTCGTTGGAAACGGGATTTCTTCATATTTTGCTAGACAGAAGAATTCCCAGTAACTTCCTTGTGTTGTGTGCACTCAACTCACAGAGTTGAACGTTCCCTTAGACAGAGCAGATTTGAAACACTCTATTTGTGCAATTTGCAAGTGGAGATTTCAAGCGCTTTATGGTCAATGGAAGAAAAGGAAATATCTTCGTTTCAAAACTAGACAGAATGATTCTCAGAAACTTCTTTGTGATGTGTGCGTTCAACTCACAGAGTTTAACCTTTCTTTTCATAGAGCAGTTAGGAAACACTCTGTTTGTAAACTCTGCAAGTGGATATTCAGACCTCTTTGAGGCCATTGTTGGAAACGGGATTTCTTCATACTATGCTAGACAGAAGAATTCTCAGAATCTTCCTTGTGTTGTGTGTATTCAACTCACACAGTTGAACGACTGTTTACACAGAGCAGATGTGAAACACTCTTTTTGTGGAATTTGCAAGTGGAGATTTCAGCCGCTTTGAGGTCAATGGTAGAAAAGGAAATATCTTCGTATAAAAACTAGACAGAATGATTCTCAGAAACTTCTTTGTGATGTGTGCGTTCAACTCACAGAGTTTAACCTTTCTTTTCATAGAGCAGTTAGGAAACACTCTGTTTGTAAACTCTGCAAGTGGATATTCAGACCTCTTTGAGGCCTTCGTTGGAAACGGGATTTCTTCATACTGTGCTAGACAGAAGAATTCTCAGTAACTTCCTTGTGTTGTGTGTATTCAACTCACAGAGTTGAACGATCCTTTACACAGAGCGGACTTGAAACACTCTTTTTGTGGAATTTGCAAGTGGAGATTTCAGGCGCGTTGAGGTCAATGGTAGAAAAGGAAATATCTTCGTATAAAAACTAGACAGAATCATTCTCAGAAAATGCTCTGTGATGTGTGCGTTCAACTCTCAGAGTTTAACTTTTCTTTTCATTCAGCACTTTGGAAACACTCTGTTTCTAAAGTCTGCACGTGGATATTTTGACCACTTAGAGGTCTTTGTTGGAAACGGGTTTTTTTCACGTAAGGCTAGACAGAAGAATTCCCAGTAACTTCCTTGTGTTGTGTACATTCAACTCACAGAGTTGAACGTTCCCTTAGACAGAGCAGATTTGAAACACTCTTTTTGTGCAATTGGCAAATGGAGATTTCAAGCGCTTTAAGGTCAATGGCAGAAAAGGAAATATCTTCGTTTCAAAACTAGACAGAATGATTCTCAGAAAATTCTTTGTGATGTGTGCATCAAATCACAGAGTTTAACCTTTCTTTTCATAGAGCAGTTAGGAAACACTCTGTTTGTAAACTCTGCAAGTGGATATTCAGACCTCTTTGAGGCCTTCGTTGGAAACGGGATTTCTTCATACTGTGCTAGACAGAAGAATTCTCAGTAACTTCCTTGTGTTGTGTGTATTCAACTCACAGAGTTGAACGATCCTTTACACAGAGCAGACTTGAAACGCTCTTTTTGTGGAATTTGCAAGTGGAGATTTCAGCCGCGTTGAGGTCAATGGTAGAAAAGGAAATATCTTCGTATAAAAACTAGACAGAATGATTCTCAGAAACTCCTTTGTGATGTGTGCTGTTCAACTCACAGAGTTTAACCTTTCTTTTCATAGAGCAGTTAGGAAACACTCTGTTTGTAAAGTCTGCAAGTGGATATTCAGACCTCTTTGAGGCCTTCGTTGGAAACGGGTTTTTTTCATATAAGGCTAGACAGAAGAATTCTCAGTAACTTCCTTGTGTTGTGTGTATTCAACTGACAGAGTTGAACTTTCATTTAGAGAGAGCAGATTTGAAACACTGTTTTTGTGGAATTTGCAAATGGAGATTTCAAGCGCTTTGGGGCCAAAGGCAGAAAAGGAAATATCTTCGTATAAAAACTAGACAGAATCATTCTCAGAAACTGCTGCGTGATGTGTGCGTTCAACTCTCAGAGTTTAACTTTTCTTTTCATTCAGCGGTTTGGAAACACTCTGTTTGTAAAGTCTGCACGTGGAAATTTTGACCACTTAGAGGCCTTCGTTGGAAACGGGTTTTTTTCATGTAAGGCTAGACAGAAGAATTCCCAGTAACTTCCTTGTGTTGTGTGCATTCAACTCACAGAGTTGAACGTTCCCTTAGACAGAGCAGATTTGAAACACTCTATTTGTGCAATTTGAAAGTGTAGATTTCAAGCGCTTTAAGGTCAACGGCAGAAAAGGAAATATCTTCGTTTCAAAACTAGACAGAATGATTCTCATAAACTCCTTTGTGATGGGTGCGTTCAACTCACAGAGTTTAACCTTTCTTTTCATAGAGCAGTTAGGAAACACTCTGTTTGAAAAGTCTGCAAGTGGATATTCAGACCTCCTTGAGGCCTTCGTTGGAAACGGGATTTCTTCATATTCTGCTAGACAGAAGAATTCTCAGTAACTTCCTTGTGTTGTGTTTATTCAACTCACAGAGTTGAATGATCCTTTACACAGAGCAGACTTGAAACACTCTTTTTGTGGAATTTGCAAGTGGAGATTTCAGCCGCTTTGAGGTCAATGGTAGAATAGGAAATATCTTCGTATAAAGACTAGACAGAATGATTCTCAGAAACTCCTTTGTGATGTGTGCGTTCAACTCACAGAGTTTAACCTTTCTTTTCATAGAGCAGTTAGGAAACACTCTGTTTGTAAAGTCTGCAAGTGGATATTCAGACCTCCTTGAGGCCTTCGTTGGAAACAGGATTTCTTCATATTCTGCTAGACAGAAGAATTCTCAGTAACTTCTTTGTGTTGTGTGTATTCAACTCACAGAGTTGAACGATCCTTTACACAGAGCAGACTTGAAACACTCTTTTTGTGGAATTTGCAAGTGGAGATTACAGCCGCTTTGACGTCAATGGTAGAAAAGGAAATATATTCGTATAAAGACTAGACAGAATCATTCTCAGAAACTACTCTGTGATGTGTGCGTTCAACTCTCCGAGTTTAACTTTTCTTTTCATTCAGTAGTTTGGAAACACTCTGTTTGTAAATCTGCACGTGGATATTTTGACGACTTAGAGGCTTTCGTTGGAAACGGGTTTTTTTCATGTAAGGCTAGACAGAAGAATTCCCAGTAACTTCCTTGTGTTGTGTGCATTCAACTCACAGAGTTGAACGTTCCCTTAGACAGAACAGATTTGAAACACTCTATTTGTGCAATTTGCAAGTGTAGATTTCAAGCGCTTTAAGGTCAATGGCAGAAAAGGAAATATCTTCGTTTCAAAACTAGACAGAATCATTCCCACAAACTGCGTTGTGATGTGCTCGTTCAACTCACAGAGTTTAACCTTTCTGTTCATAGAGCAGTTAGGAAACACTCTGTTTGTAAAGTCTGCAAGTGGATATTCAGACCTCCTTGAGGCCTTCGTTGGAAACGGGATTTCTTCATATTCTGCTAGACAGAATAATTCTCAGTAACTTCCTTGTGTTGTGTGTATTCAACTCACAGAGTTGTACGATCCTTTACACAGAGCAGACTTGAAACACTCTTTTTGTGGAATTTGCAAGTGGAGATTTCAGCCGCTTTGAGGTCAATGGTAGAAAAGGAAATATCTTCGTATAAAGACTAGACAGAATGATTCTCAGAAACTCCTTTGTGATGTGTGCGTTCAACTCACAGAGTTCAACCTTTCTTTTCATAGAGCAGTTAGGAAACACTCTGTTTGTAAAGTCTGCAAGTGGATATTCAGACCTCCTTGAGGCCTTCGTTGGAAACGGGATTTCTTCATATTATGCTAGACAGAAGAATTCTCAGTAACTTCCTTGTGTTGCGTGTATTCAACTCACAGAGTTGAACGATCCTTTACACAGAGCAGACTTGAAACACTCTTTTTGTGGAATTTGCAAGTGGAGATTTCAGCCGCTTTGAGGTCAATGGTAGAATAGGAAATATCTTCCTATAGAAACTAGACAGAATCATTCTCAGAAACTGCTGCGTGATGTGTGCGTTCAACTCTCAGAGTTTAACTTTTCTTTTCATTCAGCGGTTTGGAAACACTCTGTTTGTAAAGTCTGCACGTGGAAATTTTGACCACTTAGAGGCCTTCGTTGGAAACGGGTTTTTTTCATTTAAGGCTAGACAGAAGAATTCCCAGTAACTTCCTTGTGTTGTGTGCATTCAACTCACAGAGTTGAACGTTCCCTTAGACAGAGCAGATTTGAAACACTCTATTTGTGCAATTTGCAAGTGTAGATTTCAAGCGCTTTAAGGTCAACGGCAGAAAAGGAAATATCTTCGTTTCAAAACTAGACAGAATCATTCCCACAAACTGCGTTGTGATGTGTTCGTTCAACTCAGAGTTTAACCTTTCTGTTCATAGAGCAGTTAGGAAACACTCTGTTTGTAAAGTCTGTAAGTGGATATTCTGACATCTTGTGGCCTTCGTTGGAAACGGGATTTCTTCATATTCTGCTAGACAGAAGAATTCTCAGTAACTTCCTTGTGTTGTGTGTATTCAACTCACAGAGTTGAACGATCCTTTACACAGAGCAGACTTGTAACACTCTTTTTGTGGAATTTGCAAGTGGAGATTTCAGCCGCTTTGAAGTCCAAGGTAGAAAAGGAAATATCTTCCTATAAAAACTAGACAGAATGATTCTCAGAAACTCCTTTCTGATGTGTGCGTTCAACTCGCAGAGTTTAACTTTTCTTTTCATAGAGCAGTTAGGAAACACTCTGTTTGTAAAGTCTGCAAGTGGATATTCGGACCTCTTTGAGGCCTTCGTTGGAAACGGGAATTCTTCATATTATGCTAGACAGAAGAATTCCCAGTAACTTCCTTGTGTTCTGTGTGTTCAACTCACAGAGTTGAACTTTCATTTACACAGAGCAGATTTGAAACACTCTTTTTGTGGAATTTGCAAGTGGAGATTTCAAGCGCTTTGAGGCCAAAGGCAGAAAAGGAAATATCTTCGTTTCAAAACTAGACAGAATCATTCTCAGAAACTGCTGCGTGATGTGTGCGTTCAACTCTCAGAGTTTAACTTTTCTTTTCATTCAGCGGTTTGGAAACACTCTGTTTGTAAAGTCTGCACGTGGAAATTTTGACCACTTAGAGGCCTTCGTTGGAAACGGGTTTTTTTCATGTAAGGCTAGACAGAAGAATTCCCAGTAACTTCCTTGTGTTGTGTGCATTCAACTCACAGAGTTGAACGTTCCATTAGACAGAGCAGATTTGAAACACTCTATTTGTGCAATTTGCAAGTGTAGATTTCAAGCGCTTTAAGGTCAATGGCAGAAAAGGAAATATCTTCGTTTCAAAACTAGACAGAATGATTCTGAGAAACTCCTTTGTGATGTGTGCGTTCAACTCACAGAGTTTAACTTTTCTTTTCATAGAGCAGTTAGGAAACACTCTGTTTGTAAAGTCTGCAAGTGGATATTCAGACCTCCTTGAGGCCTTGGTTGGAAACGGGATTTCTTCATATTATGCTAGACAGAATAATTCTCAGTAACTTCCTTGTGTTGTGTGTATTCAACTCACAGAGTTGAACGATCCTTTACAGAGAGCAGAGTTGAAACACTCTTTTTGTGGAATTTGCAAGTGGAGATTTCAGCCGCTTTGAGGTCAATGGTAGAAAAGGAAATATCTTTGTATAAAGACTAGACAGAATGATTCTCAGAAACTCCTTTGTGATGTGTGCGTTCAACTCACAGAGTTTAACTTTTCTTTTCATAGAGCAGTTAGGAAACACTCTGTTTGTAAAGTCTGCAAGAGGATATTCAGACCTCTTTAAGGCCTTCGTTGGAAAAGGGATTTCTTCATATTCTGCTAGACAGAAGAATTCTCAGTAACTTCCTTGTGTTGTGTGTATTCAACTGACAGAGTTGAACTTTCATTTAGAGAGAGCAGATTTGAAACACTGTTTTTGTGGAATTTGCAAGTGGAGATTTCAAGCACTTTGGGGCCAAAGGCAGAAAACGAAATATCTTCGTATAAAAAGTAGACAGAATCATTCTCAGAAACTGCTGCGTGATGTGTGCGTTCAACTCTCAGACTTTAACTTTTCTTTTCATTCAGCGGTTTGGAAACACTCTGTTTGTAAAGTCTGCACGTGGATATTTTGACCACTTAGAGGCCTTCGTTGGAAACGGGTTTTTTTCATGTAAGGCTAGACAGAAGAATTCCCAGTAACTTCCTTGTGTTGTGTACATTCAACTCACAGAGTTGAACGTTCCCTTAGACAGAGCAGATTTGAAACACTCTTTTTGTGCAATTGGCAAATGGAGATTTCAAGCGCTTTAAGTTCAATGGCAGAAAAGGAAATATCTTCGTTTCAAAACTAGACAGAATCATTCCCACAAACTGCGTTGTGATGTGTTCGTTCAACTCACAGAGTTTAACCTTTCCGTTCATAGAGCAGTTAGGAAACACTCTCTAAAGTCTGTAAGTGGATATTCAGATCTCCTTGAGGTCTTCGTTGGAAACGGGATTTCTTCATATTCTGCTAGACAGAAGAATTCTCAGTAACTTTCCTTGTGTTGTGTGTATTCAACTCACAGAGTTGAACGATCCTTTACACAGAGCAGACTTGTAACACTCTTTTTGTGGAATTTGCAAGTGGAGATTTCAGCCACTTTGAAGTCAAAGGTAGAAAAGGAAATAACTTCCTATAAAAACTAGACAGAATGATTCTCAGAAACTCCTTTGTGATGTGTGCGTTCAACTCACAGAGTTTAACCTTTCTTTTCATAGAGCAGTTAGGAAACACTCTGTTTGTAAAGTCTGCAAGTGGATATTCTGACCTCTTTGAGGCCTTCGTTGGAAACGGGTTTTTTTCATATAAGGCTAGACAGAAGTAATCTCAGTAACTTCCTTGTGTTGTGTGTATTCAACTGACAGAGTTGAAATTTCATTTAGAGGGAGCAGATTTGAAACACTGTTTTTGTGGAATTTGCAAGTGGAGATTTCAAACGCTTTGGGGCCAAAGGCAGAAAAGGAAACATCTTCGTATAAAAACTAGACAGAATCATTCTCAGAAACTGCTGCGTGATGTGTGCGTTCAACTCTCAGAGTTTAACTTTTCTTTTCATTCAGCGGTTTGGAAACACTCTGTTTGTAAAGTCTGCACGTGGAAATTTTGACCACTTAGAGGCCTTCGTTGGAAACGGGATTTTTTCATGTAAGGCTAGACAGAAGAATTCCCAGTAACTTCCTTGTGTTGTGTGCATTCAACTCACAGAGTTGAACGTTCCCTTAGACAGAGCAGATTTGAAACACTCTATTTGTGCAATTTGCAAGTGTAGTTTTCAAGCTCTTTAAGGTCAACGGCAGAAAAGGAAATATCTTCGTTTCAAAACTAGACCGAATCATTCCCACAAACTGCGTTGTGATGTGTTCGTTCAACTCACAGAGTTTAACCTTTCTGTTCATAGAGCAGTTAGGAAATACTCTGTTTGTAAAGTCTGCAAGTGGATATTCAGACCTCCTTGAGGCCTTCGTTGGAAACGGGATTTCTTCATATTCTGCTAGACAGAATAATTCTCAGTAACTTTCCTTGTGTTGTGTGTATTCAACTCACAGAGTTGAACGATCCTTTACACAGAGCAGACTTGAAACACTCTATTTGTAGAATTTGCAAGTGGAGATTTCAGCCGCTTTGAGGTCAATAGTAGAAAAGGAAATATCTTCGTAGAAAAACTAGACAGAATGATTCTCAGAAACTCCTTTGTGATGTGTGCGTTCAACTCACAGAGTTTAACCTTTCTTTTCATAGAGCAGTTAGGAAACACTGTGTTTGTAAAGTCTGCAAGTGGATATTCAGACCTCCTTGAGGCCTTCGTTGGAAACGGGATTTCTTCATATTATGCTAGACAGAAGAATTCTCAGTAACTTCCTTGTGTTGTGTGTATTCAACTCACAGAGTTGAACGATCCTTTACACAGAGCATACTTGAAACACTCTTCTTGTGGAATTTGCAAGTGGAGATTTCAGCCACTTTGAGGTCAATGGTAGAATAGGAAATATCTTCCTATAGAAACTAGACAGAATGATTCTCAGAAACTCCTTTGTGATGTGTGTGTTCAACTCACAGAGTTTAACCTTTCTTTTCATACAGCATTTAGTAAACACTCTGTTTATAACGTCTGCAAGTGGATATTCAGACCCCTTTGAGGCCTTCGTTGGAAACGGGATTTCTTCATATTATGCTAGACAGAAGAATTCCCAGTAACTTCCTTGTGTTGTGTGCATTCAACTCACAGAGTTGAACGTTCCCTTAGACAGAGCAGATTTGAAACACTCTATTTGTGCAATTTGCAAGTGTAGATTTCAAGCGCTTTAAGGTCAACGGCAGAAAAGGAAATATCTTCGTTTCAAAACTAGACAGAATCATTACCACAAACTGCGTTGTGATGTGTTCGTTCAACCCACAGAGTTTAAGCTTTCTCTTCATAGAGCAGTTAGGAAACACTCTGTTTGTGAAGTCTGTAAGTGGATATTCTGACATCTTGTGGCCTTCGTTGGAAACGGGATTTCTTCATATTCTGCTAGACAGAAGAATTCTCAGAATCTTCCTTGTGTTGTGTGTATTCAACTCACAGAGTTGAACGATCCTTTACACAGAGCAGACTTGAAACACTCTTTTTGTGGAATTTGTAAGTGGAGATTTCAGCCGCTTTGAGGTCCATGGTAGAAAAGGAAATATCTTCGTATAAAAACTAGACAGAATGATTCTCAGAAACTCCTTTGTGATGTGTGCATTCAACTCACAGAGTTCAACCTTTCTTTTCATAGAGCAGTTGGGAAACACTCTGTTTGTAAAGTCTGCAAGTGGATATTCAGACTTCTTTGAGGCCTTCGTTGGAAGCGGGATTTCTTCATGTTCTGCTAGACAGAAGAATTCCCAGTAACTTCCCTTGTGTTGGCTGTGTTCAACTCACAGAGTTGAACTTTCATTTACACAGAGCAGATTTGAAACACTCTTTTTGTGGAATTTGCAAATGGAGATTTCAAGCGCTTTGAGGCCAAAGGCAGAAAAGGAAATATCTTCGTATAAAAACTCGACAGAATCATTCTCAGAAACTGCTCTGCGATGTGTGCGTTCAACTCTCAGAGTTTAACTTTTCTTTTCATTCAGCAGTTTGGAAACACTCTGTTTGTAAAGTCTGCACGTGGATAACTTGACCACTTAGAGGCCTTCGTTGGAAACGGGTTTTTTTCATGTAAGGCTAGACAGAAGAATTCCCAGTAACTTCCTTGTGTTGTGTGCATTAAACTCACATAGTTGAACGTTTCCTTAGACAGAGCTGAATTGAAACACGCTATTTGTGCAATTTGCAAGTGTAGATTTCAAGCGCTTTAAGGTCAATGGCAGAAAAGGAAATATCTTCGTTTCAAAACTAGACAGAATCATTCCCAAAAACTGCGTTATGATGTGTTCGTTCATCTCACAGAGTTTAACCTTTCTTTTCATAGAGCAGTTAGGAAACAGTCTGTTTGTAAATTCTGTAAGTGGATATTCTGACATCTTGTGGCCTTCGTTGGAAACGGGATTTCTTCATATTCTGCTAGACAGAAGAATTCTCAGTAACTTCCTTGTGTTGTGTGTATTCAACTCACAGAGTTGAACGATCATTTACACAGAGCAGACTTGAAACACTCTTTTTGTGGAATTTGCAAGTGGAGATTTCAGCCGCTTTGAGGTCAATGGTAGAAAAGGAAATATCTTCGTATAAAGACTAGACAGAACGATTCTCAGAAACTCCTTTGTGATGTGTGCGTTCAACTCACAGAGTTTAACCTTTCTTTTCATAGAGCAGTTAGGAAACACTTTGTTTGTAAAGTCTGCAAGTGGATATTCAGACCTCTTTGAGGCCTTCGTTGGAAACGGGATTTCTTCCTATTCTGCTAGACAGAAGAATTCTCAGTAACTTCCTTGTGTTGTGTGTATTCAACTCACAGAGTTGAACGATCCTTTACACAGAGCAGAGTTGAAACACTCTTTTTGTGGAATTTGCAAGTGGAGATTTCAGCCGCTTTGAGGTCAATAGTAGAAAAGGAAATATCTTCGTAGAAAAACTAGACAGAATCATTCTCAGAAAGTGCTCTGCGATGTGTGCGTTCAACTCTCAGAGTTTAACTTTGCTTTTCATTCAGCAGTTTGGAAACACTCTGTTTGTAAAGTCTGCACGTGGATAATTTGACCACTTAGAGGCCTTCGTTGGAAACGGGTTTTTTTCATGTAAGGCTAGACAGAAGAATTCCCAGTAACTTCCTTGTGTTGTGTACATTCAACTCACAGAGTTGAACGTTCCCTTAGACAGAGCAGATTTGAAACACTCTTTTTGTGCAATTGGCAAGTGGAGATTTCAAGCGCTTTGAGGTCAATGGCAGAAAAGGAAATATCTTCGTTTCAAAACTAGACAGAATCATTCCCACAAACTGCGTTGTGATGTGTTCGTTCAACTCACAGAGTTTAACCTTTCTTTTCATAGAGCAGTTAGGAAACAGTCTGTTTGAAAATTCTGTAAGTGGATATTCTGACATCTTGTGGCCTTCGTTGGAAACGGGATTTCTTCATATTACTGCTAGACAGAAGAATTCTCAGTAACTTCCGCGTGTTGTGTGTATTCAACTCACAGAGTTGAACGATCCTTTACACAGAGCAGACTTGAAACACTCTTTTTGTGGAATTTGCAAGTGGAGATTTCAGCCGCTTTGAGGTCAATGGTAGAAAAGGAAATACCTTCCTATAAAAACTAGACAGAATGATTCTCAGAAACTCCTTTGTGATGTGTGCGTTCAACTCACAGAGTTTAACCTTTCTTTTCATAGAGCAGTTAGGAAACACTCTGTTTGTAAAGTCTGCAAGTGGATATTCAGACCTCTTTGAGGCCTTCGTTGAAAACGGGATTTCTTCATATTCTGCTAGGGAGAAGAATTCTCAGTAACTTCCTTGTGTTGTGTGTATTCAACTGACAGAGTTGAACTTTCATGTAGAGAGAGCAGATTTGAAACACTGTTTTTGTGGAATTTGCAAGTGGAGATTTCAAGCGCTTTGGGGCCAAGGGCAGAAAAGGAAATATCTTCGTATAAAAACTAGACAGAATCATTCTCAGAAACTGCTCTGCGATGTGTGCGTTCAACTCTCAGAGTTTAACTTTTCTTTTCATTCAGCAGTTTGGAAGCACTCTGTTTGTAAAGTCTGCACGTGGATAATTTGACCACTTAGAGGCCTTCGTTGGAAACGGGTTTTTTTCATATAAGGCTAGACAGAAGAATTCCCAGTAACTTCCTTGTGTTGTGTGCATTCAACTCACAGAGTTGAACGTTCCCTTAGACAGAGCAGATTTGAAACACTCTATTTGTGCAATTTGCAAGTGTAGATTTCAAGCGCTTTAAGGTCAATGGCAGAAAAGGAAATATCGTCGTTTCAAAACTAGACAGAATGATTCTCAGAATCTCCTTTGTGATGTGTGCGTTCAACTCACAGAGTTCAACCTTTCTTTTCATAGAGCAGTTGGGAAACACTCTGTTTGTAAAGTCTGCAAGTGGATATTCAGACTTCTTTGAGGCCTTCGTTGGAAGCGGGATTTCTTCATGTTCTGCTAGACAGAAGAATTCTCAGTAACTTCTTTGTGTTGCGTGTATTCAACTCACAGAGTTGAACGATCCTTTACACAGAGGAGACTTGAAACACTCTTTTTGTGGAATTTGCAAGTGGAGATTACAGCCGCTTTGAGGTCAATGGTAGAAAAGGAAATATCTTCGTATAAAGACTAGACAGAATGATTCTCAGAAACTCCTTTGTGATGTGTGCGTTCAACTCACAGAGCTTAACCTTTCTTTTCATAGAGCAGTTAGGAAACACTCTGTTTGTAAAGTCTGCAAGTGGATATTCAGACACCTTTGAGGCCTTCGTTGGAAACGGGATTTCTTCATGTTCTGCTAGACACAAGAATTCCCAGTAACTTCCTTGTGTTGTGTGTGTTCAACTCACAGAGTTGAACTTTGATTTACACAGAGCAGATTTGAAACACTCTTTTTGTGGAATTTGCAAGAGGAGATTTCAAGCGCTTTGAGGCCAAAGGCAGAAAAGGAAATATCTTCGTATAAAAACTAGACAGAATCATTCTCAGAAACTGCTCTGCGATGTGTGCGTTCAACTCTCAGAGTTTAACTTCTCTTTTCATTCAGCAGTTTGGAAACACTCTGTTTGTAAAGTCTGCACGTGGATAACTTGACCACTTAGAGGCCTTCGTTGGAAACGGGTTTTTTTCATGTAAGGCTAGACAGAAGAATTCCCAGTAACTTCCTTGTGTTGTGTACATTCAACTCACAGAGTTGAACGATCCCTTAGTCAGAGCAGATTTGAAACACTCTTTTTGTGCAATTGGCAAGTGGAGACTTCAAGCGCTTTAAGGTCAATGGCAGAAAAGGAAATATCTTCGTTTCAAAACTAGACAGAATCATTCCCACAAACTGCGTTGTGATGTGTTCGTTCATCTCACAGAGTTTAACCTTTCTTTTCATAGAGCAGTTAGGAAACAGTCTGTTTGTAAATTCTGTAAGTGGATATTCTGACATCTTGTGGCCTTCGTTGGAAACGGGATTTCTTCATATTCTGCTAGACAGAAATAATTCTCAGTAACTTCCTTGTGTTGTGTGTATTCAACTCACAGAGTTGAACGATCCTTTACAGAGAGCAGACTTGAAACACTCTTTTTGTGGAATTTGCAAGTGGAGATTTCAGCCGCTTTGAGGTCAATGGTAGAATAGGAAATATCTTCCAATAGAAACTAGACAGAATGATTCTCAGAAACTCCTTTGTGATGTGTGTGTTCAACTCACAGAGTTTCACCTTTCTTTTCATAGAGCAGTTAGGAAACACTCTGTTTGTAAAGTCTGCAAGTGGATATTCAGACCTCCTTGAGGCCTTCGTTGGAAACGGGATTTCTTCATATTCTGCTAGACAGAAGAATTCCCAGTAACTTCCTTGTGTTGTGTGTGTTCAACTCACAGAGTTGAACTTTCATTTACCCAGAGCAGATTTGAAACACTCTTTTTGTGGAATTTGCAAGTGGAGATTTCAAGCGCTTTGAGACCAAAGGCAGAAAAGGAAATATCTTCGTTTCAAAACTAGACAGAATCATTCTCATAAACTGCTCTGCGATGTGTGCGTTCAACTCTCAGAGTTTAACTTTTCTTCTCATTCAGCAGTTTGGAAACACTCTGTTTGTAAAGTCTGCACGTGGATAATTTGACCACTTAGAGGCCTTCGTTGGAAACGGGTTTTTTTCATGTAAGGCTAGACAGAAGAATTCCCAGTAACTTCCTTGTGTTGTGTACATTCAACTCACAGAGTTGAACGTTCCCTTAGACAGAGTAGATTTGAAACACTCTTTTTGTGCAACTGGCAAATGGAGATTTCAAGCGCTTTAAGGTCAATGGCAGAAAAGGAAATATCTTCGTTTCAAAACTAGACAGAATGATTCTCATGAACTCCTTTGTGATGTGTGCGTTCAACTCACAGAGTTTAACCTTTGTTTTCATAGAGCAGTTAGGAAACACTCTGTTTGTAAAGTCTGCAAGTGGATATTCAGACCTCCTTGAGGCCTTTTTTGGAAACGGGATTTCTTCATATTCTGCTAGACAGAAGAATTCTCAGTAACTTCCTTGTGTTGTGTGTATTCAACTCACAGAGTTGAATGATCCTTTACACAGAACAGTCTTGAAACACTCTTTTTGTGGAATTTGGAAGTGGAGATTTCAGCCGCTTTGAGGTCAATGGTAGAATAGGAAATATCTTCCTATAGAAACTAGACAGAATGATTCTCAGAAACTCCTTTGTGATGTGGGCGTTCAACTCACAGAGTTTAACCTTTCTTTTCATAGAGCAGTTAGGAAACACTCTGTTTGTAAAGTCTGCAAGTGGATATTCAGACATCTTTGAGGCTTTCGTTGGAAACGGGATTTCTTCATATTCTGATATACAGAAGAATTCTCAGAAACTTCCTTGTGTTGTGTGTATTCAACTCACAGAGTTGAACGATCGTTTACACAGAGCAGACTTGAGACACTCTTTTTGTGGAATTTGTAAGTGGAGATTTCAGCCGCTTTGAGGTCAATGGTAGAGAAGGAAATATCTTCATATAAAAACTAGACAGAATCATTCTCAGAAACTACTCTGCAATGTGTGCGTTCAACTCTCAGAGTTTAACTCTTCTTTTCATTCAGCAGTTTGGAAACACTCTGTTTGTAAACTCTGCACGTGGATATTTTGACCACTTAGAGGCCTTCGTTGGAAACGGGTTTTTTTCCTGTAAGGCTAGACAGAAGAATTCCCAGTAACTTCCTTGTGTTGTGTGCATTCAACTCACAGAGTTGAACGTTCCCTTAGACAGAGCAGATTTGAAACACTCTATTTGTGCAATTTGCAAGTGTAGTTTTCAAGCTCTTTAAGGTCAACGGCAGAAAAGGAAATATCTTCGTTTCAAAACTAGACAGAATCATTCCCACAAACTGCGTTGTGATGTGTTCGTTCAACTCACAGAGTTTAACCTTTCTTTTCATAGAGCAGTTAGGAAACAGTCTGTTTGTAAATTCTGTAAGTGGATATTCTGACATCTTGTGGCCTTCGTTGGAAACGGGATTTCTTCATATTCTGCTAGACAGAAGAATTCTCAGTAACTTCCTTGTGTTGTGTGTATTCAACTCACAGAGTTGAACGATCCTTTACACAGAGCAGACATGAAACACTCTTTTTGTGGAATTTGCAAGTGGAGATTTCAGCCGCTTTGGGGTCAATGGTAGAAAAGGAAATATCTTCGTATAAAGACTAGACAGAATGATTCTCAGTAACTCCTTTGTGATGTGTGCGTTCAACTCACAGAGTTTAACCTTTCTTTTCATAGAGCAGTTAGGAAACACTCTGTTTGTAAAGTCTGCAAGTGGATATTCAGACCTCTTTGAGGCCTTCGTTGGAAACGGGTTTTTTTCATATAAGGCTAGACAGAAGAATTCCCAGTAACTTCCTTGTGTTGTGTGTGTTCAACTCACAGAGTTGAACTTTCATTTACACAGAGCAGATTTGAAACACTCTTTTTGTGGAATTTGCAAGTGGAGATTTCAAGCGCTTTGAGGCCAAAGGCAGAAAAGGAAATATCTTCGTTTAAAAACTAGACAGAATCATTCTCAGAAACTGCTCTGCGATGTGTGCGTTCAACTCTCAGAGTTTAACTTTTCTTTTCATTCAGCAGTTTGGAAACACTCTGTTTGTAAAGTCTGCACGTGGATATTTTGACCATTTAGAGGCCTTCGTTGGAAACGGGTTTTTTTCCTGTAAGGCTAGACAGTAGAATTCCCAGTAACTTCCTTGTGTTGTGTACATTCAACTCACAGAGTTGAACGTTCCCTAAGACAGAGCAGATTTGAAACACTCTTTTTGTGCAATTGGCAAGTGGTTATTTCAGCCGCTTTGAGGTCAATGGTAGAAAAGGAAATATCTTCGTATAAAAACTAGACAGAATGATTCTCAGAAACTCCTTTGTGATGTGTGCGTTCAACTCACACAGTTTAACCTTTCTTTTCATAGAGCAGTTAGGAAACACTCTGTTTGTAAAGTCTGCAAGTGGATATTCAGACCTCCTTGAGGCCTTCGTTGGAAACGGGATTTCTTCATATTATGCTAGAAAGAAGAATTCTCAGAAACTTCGTTGTGTTGCGTGTTTTCAACTCACAGAGTTCAACGATCCTTTACACAGAGTAGACTTGAAACACTCTTTTTGTGGAATTTGCAAGTGGAGATTTCAGCCGCTTAGAGGTCAATGGTAGAAAAGGAAATATCTTCGTATAAAAACTAGACAGAATGATTCTCAGAAACTCCTTTGTGATGTGTGCGTTCAACTCACAGAGTTCAACCTTTCTTTTCATAGAGCAGTTGGGAAACACTCTGTTTGTAAAGCCTGCAAGTGGATATTCAGACTTCTTTGAGGCCTTCGTTGGAAGCGGGATTTCTTCATATTCTGCTAGACAGAAGAATTCCCAGTAACTTCCTTGTGTTGTGTGTGTTCAACTCACAGAGTTGAACGTTCCCTCAGACAGAGCAGATTTGAAACACTCTTTTTGTGGAATTTGCAAGTGGAGATTTCAAGCGCTTTGAGGCCAAAGGCAGAAAAGGAAATATCTTCGTATAAAAACTAGACAGAATCATTCTCAGAAACTGCTCTGCGATGTGTGCGTTCAACTCTCAGAGTTTAACTTTTCTTTTCATTCAGCAGTTTGGAAACACTCTGTTTGTAAAGTCTGCACGTGGATAATTTGACCACTTAGAGGCCTTCGTTGGAAACGGGTTTTTTTCATGTAAGGCTAGACAGAAGAATTCCCAGTAACTTCCTTGTGTTGTGTGCATTCAACTCACAGAGTTGAACGTTCCCTTAGACAGAGCAGATTTGAAACACTCTATTTGTGCAATTTGCAAGCGTAGATTTCAAGCGCTTTAAGGTCAATGGCAGAAAAGGAAATATCTTCGTTTCAAAACTAGACAGAATCATTCCCACAAACTGCGTTGTGATGTGTTCGTTCAACTAACAGAGTTTAACCTTTCTGTTCATAGAGCAGTTAGGAAACACTCTGTTTGTAAAGTCTGTAAGTGGATATTCTGACATCTTGTGGCCTTCGTTGGAAACGGGATTTCTTCATATTCTGCTAGACAGAAGAATTCTCAGTAACTTCCTTGTGTTGTGTGTATTCAACTCACAGAGTTGAAGGATCCTTTACAGAGAGCAGGCTTGAAACACTCTTTTTGTGGAATTTGCAAGTGGAGATTTCAGCCGCTTTGAGGTCAATGGTAGAATAGGAAATATCTTCTTATAGAAACTAGACAGAATGATTCTCAGAAACTCCTTTGTGATGTGTGTGTTCAACTCACAGAGTTTAACCTTTCTTTTCATAGAGCAGTTAGTAAACACTCTGTTTATAAAGTCTGCAAGTGGATATTCAGACCCCTTTGGGGCCTTCGTTGGAAACGGGATTTCTTCATATTATGCTAGACAGAAGATTTCCCAGTAACTTCCTTGTGTTGTGTGTTTTCAACTCACAGAGTTGAACTTTCATTTACACAGAGCAGATTTGAAACACACTTTTTGTGGAATTTGCAAATGGAGATTTCAAGCGCTTTGAGGCCAAAGGCAGAAAAGGAAATATCTTCGTTTCAAAACTAGACAGAATCATTCTCAGAAACTGCTCTGCGATGTGTGCGTTCAACTCTCAGAGTTTAAATTTTCTTTTCATTCAGCAGTTTGGAAACACTCTGTTTGTAAAGTCTGCACGTGGATATTTTGACCACTTAGAAGCCTTCGTTGGAAACGGGTTTTTTTCCTGTAAGGCTAGACAGAAGAATTCCCAGTAACTTCCTTGTGTTGTGTACATTCAACTCACAGAGTTGAACGTTTCCTTAGACAGAGCAGATTTGAAACACTCTTTTTGTGCAATTGGCAAGTGGAGATTTCAAGCGCTTTAAGGTCAATGGCAGAAAAGGAAATATCTTCGTTTCAAAACTAGACAGAATCATTCCCACAAACTGCGTTGTGATGTGTACGTTCAACTCACAGAGTTTAACCTTTCTGTTCATAGAGCAGTTAGGAAACACTCTGTTTGTAAAGTCTGTAAGTGGATATTCTGACATCTTGTGGCCTTCGTTGGAAACGGGATTTCTTCATATTCTGCTAGACAGAATAATTCTCAGTAACTTCCTTGTGTTGTGTGTATTCAAGTCACAGAGTTGAACGATCCTTTACAGAGAGCAGACTTGAAACACTCTTTTTGTGGAATTTGCAAGTGGAGATTTCAGCCGCTTTGAGGTCAATGTTAGAAAAGGAAATATCTTCGTATAAAGACTAGACAGAATGATTCTCAGAAACTCCTTTGTGATGTGTGCGTTCAACTCACAGAGTTCAACCTTTCTTTTAATAGAGCAGTTGGGAAACACTCTGTTTGTAAAGTCTGCAAGTGGATATTCAGACTTCTTTGAGGCCTTCGTTGGAAGCGGGATTTCTTCATATTCGGCTAGACAGAAGAATTCTCGGTAACTTCCTTGTGTTGTGTGTATTCAACTCACAGAGTTGAACGATCCTTTACACAGAGCGGACTTGAAACACTCTTTTTGTGGAATTTGCAAGTGGAGATTTCAGCCGCGTTGAGGTCAATGGTAGAAAAGGAAATATCTTCGTATAAAAACTAGACAGAATGATTCTCAGAAACTCCTTTGTGATGTGTGCGTTCAACTCACAGAGTTCAACCTTTCTTTTCATAGAGCAGTTAGGAAACACTCTGTTTGTAATGTCTGCAAGTGGATATTCAGACCTCCTTGAGGCCTTCGTTGGAAACGGGATTTCTTCATATTATGCTAGACAGAAGAATTCTCAGTAACTTCCTTGTGTTGTGTGTATTCAACTGACAGACTTGAACTTTCATTTAGAGAGAGCAGATTTGAAACACTGTTTTTGTGGAATTTGCAAGTGGAGATTTCAAGCGCTTTGGGGCCAAAGGCAGAAAAGGAAATATCTTCGTATAAAAAGTAGACAGAATCATTCTCAGAAACTGCTCTGCGATGTGTGCGTTCAACTCTCAGAGTTTAACTTTTCTTTTCATTCAGCAGTTTGGAAACACTCTGTTTGTAAGGTCTGCACGTGGATAATTTGACCACTTAGAGGCCTTCGTTGGAAACGGGTTTTTTTCATGTAAGGCTAGACAGAAGAATTCCCAGTAACTTCCTTGTGTTGTGTGCATTCAACTCACAGAGTTGAACGTTCCCTTAGACAGAGCAGATTTGAAACACTCTATTTGTGCAATTTGCAAGTGTAGATTTCAAGCGCTTTAAGGTCAATGGCAGAAAAGGAAATATCTTCGTTTCAAAACTAGACAGAGTGATTCTCAGAAACTCCTTTGTGATGTCTGCGTTCAACTCACAGAGTTTAACGTTTCTTTTCATAGAGCAGTTAGGAAACACTCTGTTTGTAAAGTCTGCAAGTGGATATACAGACCTCCTTGAGGCCTTCGTTGGAAACGGGATTTCTTCATATTCTGCTATACAGAAGAATTCTCAGAAACTTCCTTGTGTTGTGTGTATTCAACTCACAGAGTTGAACGATCCTTTACACAGAACAGACTTGAGACACTCTTTTTGTGGAATTTGCAAGTGGAGATTTCAGCCGCTTTGAGGTCAATGGTAGAAAAGGAAATATCTTCGTATAAAAACTAGACAGAATGATTCTCAGAAACTCCTTTGTGATGTGTGCGTTCAACTCACAGAGTTTAACCTTTCTTTTCATAGAGCAGTTAGGAAACACTCTGTTTGTAAAGTCTGCAAGTGGATATTCAGACATCCTTGAGGCTTTCGTTGGAAACGGGATTTCTTCCTATTCTGCTAGAAAGAAGAATTCCCAGTAACTTCCTTGTGTTGTGTGTGTTCGACTCACAGAGTTGAACTTTCATTTACACAGAGCAGATTTGAAACACTCTTTTTGTGGAATTTGCAAGTGGAGATTTCAAGCGCTTTGAGGCCAAAGGCAGAAAAGGAAATATCTTCGTTTCAAAACTAGGCAGAATCATTCTCAGAAACTGCTCTGCGATGTGTGCGTTCAACTCTCAGAGTTTAACTTTTCTTTTCATTCAGCAGTTTGGAAACACTCTGTTTGTAAAGTCTGCACGTGGATATTTTGACCACTTAGAGGCCTTCGTTGGTAACGGGTTTTTTTCCTGTAAGGCTAGACAGAAGAATTCCCAGTAACTTCCTTGTGTTGTGTGCATTCAACTCACAGTAGTTGAACGTTCCCTTAGACAGAGCAGATTTGAAACACTCTATTTGTGCAATTTGCAAGTGTAGTTTTCAAGCTCTTTAAGGTCAACGGCAGAAAAGGAAATATCTTCGTTTCAAAACTAGACAGAATGATTCTCATAAACTCCTTTGTGATGTGTGCGTTCAACTCACAGAGTTTAACTTTTCTTTTCATAGAGCAGTTAGGAAACACTCTGTTTGTAAAGTCTGCAAGTGGATATTCAGACCTCTTTGAGGCCTTCGTTGGAAACGGGATTTCTTCATATTATGCTAGACAAAATAATTCTCAGTAACTTCCTTGTGTTGTGTGTATTCAACTCACAGAGTTGAACGATCCTTTACACAGAGCAGACTTGAAACACTCTTTTTGTGGAATTTGCAAGTGGAGATTTCATCCAATTTGAGGTCAATAGTAGAAAAGGAAATATCTTCGTAGAAAAACTAGACAGAATGATTCTCAGAAACTCCTTTGTGATGTGTGCGTTCAACTCACAGAGTTTAACCTTTCTTTTCATAGAGCAGTTAGGAAACACTCTGTTTGTAAAGTCTGCATGTGGATATTCAGACATCTTTGAGGCTTTCGTTGGAAACGGGATTTCTTCATATTCTGCTAGACAGAAGAATTCTCAGTAACTTCCTTGTGTTGTGTGTATTCAACTGACACAGTTGAACTTTCATTTAGAGAGAGCAGATTTGAAACACTGTTTTTGTGGAATTTGCAAGTGGAGATTTCAAGCGCTTTCGGGCCAAAGGCAGAAAACGAAATATCTTCGTATAAAAACTAGACAGAATCATTCTCAGAAACTGCTCTGCGATGTGTGCGTTCAACTCTCAGAGTTTAACTTTTCTTTTCATTCAGCAGTTTGGAAACACTCTGTTTGTAAAGTCTGCACGTGGATATTTTGACCACTTAGAGGCCTTCGTTGGAAACGGGTTTTTTTCATGTAAGGCTAGACAGAAGAATTCCCAGTAACTTCCTTGTGTTGTGTACATTCAACTCACAGAGTTGAACGTTCCCTTAGACAGAGCAGATTTGAAACACTCTTTTTGTGCAATTGGCAAGTGGTGATTTCAGCCGCTTTGAAGTCTATGGTAGAAAAGGAAATATCTTCGTATAAAAACTAGACAGAATCATTCCCACAAACTGCGTTGTGATGTGTTCGTTCAACTCACAGAGTTTAACCTTTCTGTTACATAGAGCAGTTAGGAAACACTCTGTTTGTAATGTCTGTAAGTGGATATTCTGACATCTTGTGGCCTTCGTTGGAAACGGGATTTCTTCATATTCTGCTAGACAGAATAATTCTCAGTAACTTTCCTTGTGTTGTGTGTATTCAACTCACAGAGTTGAAGGATCCTTTACAGAGAGCAGGCTTGAAACACTCTTTTTGTCGAATTTGCAAGTGGAGATTTCAGCCGCTTTGAGGTCAATGGTAGAATAGGAAATATCTTCTTATAGAAACTAGACAGAATGATTCTCAGAAACTCCTTTGTGATGTGTGTGTTCAACTCACAGAGTTTAACCTTTCTTTTCATAGAGCAGCTAGTAAACACTCTGTTTATAAAGTCTGCAAGTGGATATTCAGACCCCTTTGAGGCCTTCGTTGGAAACGGGATTTCTTCATATTATGCTAGACAGAAGAATTCCCAGTAACTTCCTTGTGTTGTGTGTGTTCAACTCACAGAGTTGAACTTTCATTTACACAGAGCAGATTTGAAACACTCTTTTTGTGGAATTTGCAAATGGAGATTTCAAGCGCTTTGAGGCCAAAGGCAGAAAAGGAAATATCTTTGTATAAAAACTAGACAGAATCATTCTCAGAAACTGCTCTGCGATGTGTGCGTTCAACTCTCAGAGTTTAACTTTTCTTTTCATTCAGCAGTTTGGAAACACTCTGTTTGTAAAGTCTGCACGTGGATATTTCGACCACTTAGAGGCCTTCGTTGGAAACGGGTTTTTTTCCTGTAAGGCTAGACAGAAGAATTCCCAGTAACTTCCTTGTGTTGTGTACATTCAACTCACAGAGTTGAACGTTCCCTTAGACAGAGCAGATTTGAAACACTCTTTTTGTGCAATTGGCAAATGGAGATTTCAAGCGCTTTAAGGTCAATGGCAGGAAAGGAAATATCTTCGTTTCAAAACTAGACAGAATGATTCTCAGAAAATCCTTTGTGATGTGTGCGTTCAACTCACAGAGTTTAACTTTTCTTTTCATAGAGCAGTTAGGAAACACTCTGTTTGTAAAGTCTGCAAGTGGATATTCAGACCTCTTTGAGGCCTTCATTGGAAACGGGATTTCTTCATATTATGCTAGACAGAATAATTCTCAGTAACTTCCTTGTGTTGTGTGTATTCAACTCACAGAGTTGAACGATCCTTTACAGAGAGCAGACTTGAAACACTCTTTTTGTGGAATTTGCAAGTGGAGATTTCAGCCGCTTTGAGGTCAATGGTAGAATAGGAAATATCTTCCTATAGAAACTAGACAGAATGATTCTCAGAAACTCCTTTGTGATGCGTGCGTTCAACTCACAGAGTTTAACCTTTCTTTTCATAGAGCAGTTGGGAAACACTCTGTTTGTAAAGTCTGCAAGTGGATATTCAGACTTCTTTGAGGCTTTCGTTGGAAACGGGATTTCTTCATATTCTGCTAGAAAGAAGAATTCCCAGTAACTTCCTTGTGTTGTGTGTGTTCAACTCACAGAGTTGAACTTTCATTTACACAGAGCAGATTTGAAACACTCTTTTTGTGGAATTTGCAAGTGGAGATTTCAAGCGCTTTGAGGCTAAAGGCAGAAAAGGAAATATCTTCGTATAAAAACTAGACAGAATCATTCTCAGAAACTGCTGCGTGATGTGTGCGATCAACACTCAGAGTTTAACTTTTCTTTTCATTCAGCGGTTTGGAAACACTCTGTTTGTAAAGTCTGCACGTGGAAATTTTGACAACTTAGAGACCTTCGTTGGAAACGGGATTTTTTCATGTAAGGCTAGACAGAAGAATTCCCAGTAACTTCCTTGTGTTGTGTACATTCAACTCACAGAGTTGAACGTTCCCTTAGACAGAGCAGATTTGAAACACTCTTTTTGTGCAATTGGCAAATGGAGATTTCAAGCGCTTTAAGGTCAATGCAGAAAAGGAAATATCTTCGTTTCAAAACTAGGCAGAATCATTCCCACAAACTGCGTTGTGATGTGTTCGTTCAACTCACAGAGTTTAACCTTTATGTTCATAGAGCAGTTAGGAAACACTCTGTTTGTAAAGTCTGTAAGTGGATATTCCGACATCTTGTGGCCTTCGTTGGAAACGGGATTTCTTCATATTCTGCTAGACGGAAGAATTCTCATAAACTTCCTTGTGTTGTGTGTTTTCAACTCACAGAGTTGAACGATCCTTTACACAGAGCAGACTTGAAACACTCCTTTTGTGGAATTTGCAAGTGGAGATTTCAGCCGCTTTGAGGTCAATGGTAGAATAGGAAATATCTTCCTATAGAAACTAGACAGAATGATTCTCAGAAACTTCTTTGTGATGTGTGCGTTCAACTCACAGAGTTTAACCTTTCCTTTCATAGAGCAGTTAGGAAACACTCTGTAAACTCTGCAAGTGGATATTCAGACCTCTTTGAGGCCTTCGTTGGAAACGGGATTTCTTCATACTATGCTAGACAGAAGAATTCTCAGTAACTTCCTTGTGTTGTGTGTATTCAACTGACAGAGTTGAACATTCATTTAGAGAGAGCAGATTTGAAACACTGTTTTTGTGGAATTTGCAAGTGGAGATTTCAAGCGCTTTGGGGCCAAAGGCAGAAAAGGTAATATCTTCGTATAAAAACTAGACAGAATCTTTCTCAGAAACTGCTCTGCGATGTATGCGTTCAACTCTCAGAGTTTAACTTTTCTTTTCATTCAGCAGTTTGGAAACACTCTGTTTGTAAAGTCTGCACGTGGATATTTTGACCACTTAGAGGCCTTCGTTGGAAACGGGTTTTTTTCCTGTAAGGCTAGACAGAAGAATTCCCAGTAACTTCCTTGTGTTGTGTACATTCAACTCACAGAGTTGAACGTTCCCTTAGACAGAGCAGATTTGAAACACTCTTTTTGTGCAATTGGCAAATGGAGATTTCAAGCGCTTTAAGTTCAATGGCAGAAAAGGAAATATCTTCGTTTCAAAACTAGACAGAATGATTCTCAGAAACTCCTTTGTGATGTGTGCGTTCAACTCACAGAGTTTAACTTTTCTTTTCATTCAGCAGTTTGGAAACACTCTGTTTGTAAAGTCTGCACGTGGATAATTTGACCACTTAGAGGCCTTCATTGGAAACGGGTTTTTTTCATGTAAGGCTAGACAGAGCAATTCCCAGTAACTTCCTTGTGTTGTGTACATTCAACTCACAGAGTTGAACGTTCCCTTAGACAGAACAGATATGAAACACTCTTTTTCTGCAATTGGCAAGTGGTGATTTCAGCCGCTTTGAGGTCAATGGTAGAAAAGGAAATATCTTCGTATAAAAACTAGACAGAATGATTCTCAGAAACTTCATTGTGACGTGTGCGTTCAACTCACAGAGTTTAACCTTTCTTTTCATAGAGCAGTTAGGAAACACTCTGTTTGTAAAGTCTGCAAGTGGATATTCAGACCTCTTTGAGGCCTTCGTTGGAAACGGGATTTCTTCATACTGTGCTAGACAGAAGAATTCTCAGTAACTTCCTTGTGTTGTGTGTATTCAACTCACAGAGTTGAACGATCCTTTACACAGAGCGGACTTGAAACACACTTTTTGTGGAACTTGCAAGTGGAGATTTCAGCCGCGTTGAGGTCAATGGTAGAAAAGGAAATATCTTCGTATAAAAACTAGACAGAATGATTCTCAGAAACTCCTTTGTGATGTGTGTGTTCAACTCACAGAGTTTAACCTTTCTTTTCATAGAGCAGTTAGGAAACACTCTGTTTGTAAAGTCTGCAAGAGGATATTCAGACCTCTTTGAGGCCTTCTTTGGAAACGGGTTTTTTTCATATAAGGCTAGACGGAAGAATTCCCAGTAACTTCCTTGTGTTGTGTGTGTTCAACTCACAGAGTTGAACTTTCATTTACACAGAGCACATTTGAAACACTCTTTTTGTGGAATTTGCAAATGGAGATTTCAAGCGCTTTGAGGCCAAAGGCAGAAAAGGAAATATCTTCGTATAAAAACTAGACAGAATCATTCTCAGAAACTGCTCTGCGATGTGTGCGTTCAACTCTCAGAGTTTAACTTTTCTTTTCATTCAGCAGTTCGGAAACACTCTGTTTGTAAAGTCTGCACGTGGATAACTTGACCACTTAGAGGCCTTCGTTGGAAACAGGTTTTTTTCACGTAAGGTTAGACGGAAGAATTCTCAGTAACTTCCTTGTGTTGTGTGTATTCAACTCACAGAGTTGAACGATCCTTTACACAGAGCAGACTTGAAACACTCTATTTGTAGAATTTGCAAGTGGAGATTTCAGCCGCTTTGACGTCAATAGTAGAAAAGGAAATATCTTCGTAGAAAAACTAGACAGAATGATTCTCAGAAACTCCTTTGTGATGTGTGCGTTCAACTCACAGAGTTTAACCTTTCTGTTCATAGAGCAGTTAGGAAACACTCTGTTTGTAAAGTCTGCAAGTGGATATTCAGATCTCCTTGAGGCCTTCGTTGGAAACGGGATTTCTTCATATTCTGCTAGACAGAAGAATTCCCAGTAACTTCCTTGTGTTGTGTGTGTTCAACTCACAGAGTTGAACTTTCATTTACACAGAGCAGATTTGAAACACTCTTTTTGTGGAATTTGCAAATGGAGATTTCAAGCGCTTTGAGGCCAAAGGCAGAAAAGGAAATATCTTCGTATAAAAACTAGACAGAATCATTCTCAGAAACTGCTCTGCGATGTGTGCGTTCAACTCTCAGAGTTTAACTTTTCTTTTCATTCAGCAGTTTGGAAACACTCTGTAAAGTCTGCACGTGGATAACTTGACCACTTAGAGGCCTTCGTTGGAAACGGGTTTTTTTCCTGTAAGGCTAGACAAAAGAATTCCCAGTAACTTCCTTGTGTTGTGTACATTCAACTCACAGAGTTGAACGTTCCCTTAGACAGAGCAGATTTGAAACACTCTTTTTGTGCAATTGGCAAGTGGAGATTTCAAGCGCTTTGAGGTCAATGGCAGAAAAGGAAATATCTTCGTTTCAAAACTAGACAGAATCATTCCCACAAACTGCGTTGTGATGTGTTCGTTCTACTCACAGAGTGTAACCTTTCTTTTCATAGAGCAGTTAGGAAACAGTCTGTTTGAAAATTCTGTAAGGGGATATTCTGACATCTTGTGGCCTTCGTTGGAAACGGGATTTCTTCATATTCTGCTAGACAGAAGAATTCTCAGTAACTTCCCTGTGTTGTGTGTATTCAACTCACAGAGTTGAATGATCCTTTACACAGAGCAGACTTGAAACACTCTTTTTGTGGAATTTGCAAGTGGAGATTTCAGCCGCTTTGAGTTCAATGGTAGAATAGGAAATATCTTCCTATAGAAACTAGACAGAATGATTCTCAGAAACTCCTTTGTGATGTGTGCGTTCAACTCACAGAGTTTAACCTTTCTTTTCATAGAGCAGTTAGGAAACACTCTGTTTGTAAAGTCTGCAAGTGGATATTCAGACCTCTTTGAGGCCTTCGTTGGAAACGGGTTTTTTTCATATAAGCTAGACAGAAGAATTCCCAGTAACTTCCTTGTGTTGTGTGTGTTCAACTCACAGAGTTGAACTTTCATTTACACAGAGCAGATTTGAAACACTCTTTTTGTGGAATTTGCAAGTGGAGATTTCAAGCGCTTTGAGGCCAAAGGCAGAAAAGTTAATATCTTCGTTTGAAAACTAGACAGAATCATTCTCAGAAACTGCTGCGTGATGTGTGCGTTCAACTCTAAGAGTTTAACTATTCTTTTCATTCAGCGGTTTGGAAACACTCTGTTTGTAAAGTCTGCACGTGGATATTTTGACCACTTAGAGGCCTTCGTTGGAAACGGGTTTTTTGCATGTAAGGCTAGACAGAAGAATTCCCAGTAACTTCCTTGTGTTGTCCACATTCAACTCACAGAGTTGAACGTTCCCTTAGACAGAGCAGATTTGAAACACTCTTTTTGTGCAATTGGTAAGTGGTGATTTCAGGCGCTTTGAGGTCAATGGTAGAAAAGGAAATATCTTCGTATAAAAACTAGACAGAAATGATTCTCAGAAACTCCTTTGAGATGTGTGTGTTCAACTCACAGGAGTTTAACCTTTCTTTTCATAGAGCAGTTAGGAAACACTCTGTTTGTAAACTCTGCAAGTGGATATTCAGACCTCTTTGAGGCCTTCGTTGGAAACCGGATTTCTTCATACTGTGCTAGACAGAAGAATTCTCATTAACTTCCTTGTGTTGTGTTTATTCAACTCACAGAGTTGAATGATCCTTTACACAGAGCAGACTTGAAACACTCTTTTTGTGGAATTTGCAAGTGGAGATTTCAGCCGCTTTGAGGTCAATGGTAGAAAAGTAAATATCTTCGTATAAAGACTAGACAGAATGATTCTCAGAAACTCCTTTGTGATGTGTGCGTTCAACTCACACAGTTTAACCTTTCTTTTCATAGAGCTGTTAGGAAACACTCTGTTTGTAAAGTCTGCAAGTGGATATTCAGACCTCCTTGAGGCCTTCGTTGGAAACGGGATTTCTTCATATTCTGCTAGAAAGAAGAATTCTCAGTAACTTCCTTGTGTTGTGTGTACTCAACTCACAGAGTTGAACGATCCTTTACACAAAGCAGACTTGAAACACTCTTTTAGTGGAATTTGCAAGTGGAGATTTCAGCCGCTTTGAGGTCAATAGTAGAAAAGGAAATATCTTCGTAGAAAAACTAGACAGAATCATGCTCAGAAACTGCTCTGCGATGTGTGCGTTCAACTCTCAGAGTTTAACTTTTCCTTTCATTCAGCAGTTTGGAAACACTCTGTTTGTAAAGTCTGCACGTGCATAATTTGACCGCTTAGAGGCCTTCGTTGGAAACGGGTTTTTTTCATGTAAGGCTAGACAGAAGAATTCCCAGTAACTTCCTTTTGTTGTGTGCATTCAACTCACAGAGTTGAACGTTCCCTTAGACAGAGCAGATTTGAAACACTCTATTTGTGCAATTTGCAAGTGTAGATTTCAAGCGCTTTAAGGTCAATGGCAGAAAAGGAAATATCTTCGTTTCAAAACTAGACAGAATCATTCCCACAAACTGCGTTGTGATGTGTTCGTTCAACTCACAGAGTTTAACCTTTCTGTTCATAGAGCAGTTAGGAAACACTCTGTTTGTAAAGTCTGTAAGTGGATATTCTGACATCTTGTGGCGTTCGTTGGAAACGGGATTTCTTCATATTCTGCTAGACAGAAGAATTCTCAGTAACTTCCTTGTGTTGTTTGTATTCAACTCACAGAGTGGAACGATCCTTTACACAGAGCAGACTTGAAACACTCTTTTTGTGGAATTTGCAAGTGGAGATTTCAGCCGCTTTGAGGTCAATGGTAGAAAAGGAAATATCTTCGTAAAAAAACTAGACAGAATGATTCTCAGAAACTCCTTTGTGATGTGTGCGTTCATCTCACAGGGTTTAACCTTTCTTTTCATAGAGCAGTTAGGAAACACTCGGTTTGTAAAGTCTGCACGTGGATATTTGGACTTCTTTGAGGCCTTCGTTGGAAACGGGTTTTTTCATGTAAGGCTAGACAGAAGAATTCCCAGTAACTTCCCTTGTGTTGTGTGTGTTGAACTCACAGAGTTGAACTTTCATTTAGACAGAGCAGATTTGAAACACTCTTTTTGTGGAATTTGCAAATGGAGAATTCATGCACTTTGAGGCCAAAGGCAGAAAAGGAAATATCTTCGTATAAAAACTAGACAGAATCATTCTCAGAAACTGCTGCGTGATGTGCGCGTTCAACTCTCAGAATTTAACTTTTCTTTTCATTCAGCGGTTTGGAAACACTGTGTTTGTAAAGTCTGCACGTGGATATTTTGACCACTTAGAGGCCTTCGTTGGAAACGGGTTTTTTTCATGTAAGGCTAGACAGAAGAATTCCCAGTAACTTCCTTGTGTTGTGTGCATTCAACTCACAGAGTTGAACGTTCCCTTAGACAGAGCAGATTTGAAACACTCTATTTGTGCAATTTGCAAGTGTAGATTTCAAGCGCTTTAAGGTCAGTGGCAGAAAAGGAAATATCTTCGTTTCAAAACTAGACAGAATCATTCCCACAAACTGCGTTGTGATGTGTTCGTTCAACTCACAGAGTTTAACCTTTCTCTTCATAGAGCAGTTAGGAAACACTCTGTTTGTAAAGTCTGTAAGTGGATATTCTGACATCTTGTGGCCTTCGTTGGAAAAGGGATTTCTTCATATTCTGCTAGACAGAAGAATTCTCAGTAACTTCCTTGTGTTGTGTGTATTCAACTCACAGAGTTGAACGATCCTTTACACAGAGCAGACTTGAAACACACTTTTTGTGGAATTTGCAAGTGGAGATTTCAGCCGCTTTGAGGTCAATGGTAGAATAGGAAATATCTTCCTATAGAAACTAGACAGACAATGATTCTCAGAAACTCCTTTGTGATGTGTGCGTTCAACTCACAGCAGTTTAACCTTTCTTTTCATAGAGCAGTTAGGAAACACTCTGTTTGTAAAGTCTGCAAGTGGATATTCAGACCTCTTTGAGGCCTTCGTTGGAAACGGGTTTTTTTCATATAAGGCTAGACAGAAGAATTCCCAGTAACTTCCTTGTGTTGTGTGTGTTCAACTCACAGAGTTGAACTTTCATTTACACAGAGCAGATTTGAAACACTCTTTTTGTGGAATTTGCAAGTGGAGATTTCAAGCGCTTTGAGGCCAAAGGCAGAAAAGGAAATATCTTCGTTTCAAAACTGGACAGAATCATTCTCAGAAACTGCTCTGCGATGTGTGCGTTCAACTCTCAGAGTTTAACTTTTCTTTTCATTCAGCAGTTTGGAAACACTCTGTTTGTAAAGTCTGCACGTGGATAATTTGACCACTTAGAGGCCTTCGTTGGAAACGGGTTTTTTTCATGTAAGGCTAGACAGAAGAATTCCCAGGAACTTCCTTGTGTTGTGTACATTCAACTCACAGAGTTGAACGTTCCCTTAGACAGAGCAGATTTGAAACACTCTTTTTGTGCAATTGGCAAGTGGTGATTTCAGCCGCTTTGAGGTCAATGGTAGAAAAGGAAATATGTTCGTATAAAAACTAGACAGAATGATTCTCAGAAACTCCTTTGTGATGTGTGCGTTCAACTCACAGAGTTTAACCTTTCTTTTCATAGAGCAGTTAGGAAACACTCTGTTTGTAAACTCTGCAAGTGGATATTTAGACCTCTTTGAGGCCTTCGTTGGAAACGGGATTTCTTCATACTGTGCTAGACAGAAGAATTCTCAGAAACTTCCTTGTGTTGTGTGTTTTCAACTCACAGAGTTGAACGATGCTTTACACTGAGTAGACTTGAAACACACTTTTTGTGTAATTTGCAAGTGGAGATTTCAGCCGCTTTGAGTTCAATGGTAGAAAAGGAAATATCTTCGTATAAAAACTAGACAGAATGATTCTCAGAAACTTCTTTGTGATGTGTGCGTTCAACTCACAGAGTTTAACCTTTCTTTTCATAGAGCAGTTAGGAAACACTCTGTTTGTAAAGTCTGCAAGTGGATATTCAGACCTCCTTGAGGCCTTCGTTGGAAACGGGTTTTTTTCATATAAGGCTAGACAGAAGAATTCTCAGTAACTTCCTTGTGTTGTGTGTATTCAAGTGACAGAGTTGAACTTTCATTTAGAGAGAGCAGATTTGAAACACTGTTTTTGTGGAATTTGCACGTGGAGATTTCAAGCGCTTTGGGGCCAAAGGCAGAAAAAGATATATCTTCGTATAAAAACTAGACAGAATCATTCTCAGAAACTGCTGCGTAATGTGTGCGTTCAACTCTCAGAGTTTAACTTTTCTTTTCATTCAGCGGTTTGGAAACACTCTGTTTGTAAAGTCTACACGTGGAAATTTTGACCACTTAGAGGCCTTCGTTGGAAACGGGTTTTTTTCATGTAAGGCTAGACAGAAGAATTCCCAGTAACTTCCTTGTGTTGTGTGCATTCAACTCACAGAGTTGAACGTTCCCTTAGACAGAGCAGATTTGAAACACTCTATTTGTGCAATTTGCAAGTGTAGTTTTCAAGCTCTTTAAGGTCAACGGCAGAAAAGGAAATATCTTCGTTTCAAAACTAGACAGAATGATTCTCATAAACTCCTTTGTGATGTGTGCGTTCAACTCACAGAGTCTAACCTTTCTTTTCATAGAGCAGTTAGGAAACACTCTGTTTGTAAAGTCTGCAAGTGGATATTCAGACCTCCTTGAGGCCTTCGTTGGAAACGGGATTTCTTCATATTCTGCTAGACAGAAGAATTCTCAGTAACTTCCTTGTGTTGTGTTTATTCAACTCACAGAGTTGAATGATCCTTTACACAGAGCAGACTTGAAACACTCTTTTTGTGGAATTTGCAAGTGGAGATTTCAGCCGCTTTGAGGTCAATGGTAGAAAAGTAAATATCTTCGTATAAAGACTAGACAGAATGATTCTCAGAAACTTCTTTGTGATGTGTGCGTTCAACTCACAGAGTTTAACCTTTCTTTTCATAGAGCAGTTAGGAAACACTCTGTTTGTAAACTCTGCAAGTTGATATTCAGACCTCTTTGAGGCCTTCGTTGGAAACGGGATTTCTTCATACTATGCTAGACAGAAGAATTCTCAGTAACTTCCGCGTGTTGTGTGTATTCAACTCACAGAGTTGAACGATCCTTTACACAGAGCAGACTTGAAACACTCTTTTTGTGGAATTTGCAAGTGGAGATTTCAGCCGCTTTGAGGTCAAAGGTAGAAAAGGAAATATCTTCCTATAAAAACTAGACAGAATCATTCCCACAAACTGCGTTGTGATGTGTTCGTTCAACTCACAGAGTTTAACCTTTCTTTTCATAGAGCAGTTAGGAAACACTCTGTTGGTAAATTCTGTAAGTGGATATTCTGACATCTTGTGGCCTACCGTTGGAAACGGGATTTCTTCATATTCTGCTAGACAGAAGAATTCCCAGTAACTTCCTTGTGTTGTGTGCATTCAACTCACAGAGTTGAACGTTCCCTTAGACAGAGCAGATTTGAAACACTCTATTTGTGCAATTTGCAAGTGTAGATTTCAAGCTCTTTATGGTCAACGGCAGAAAAGGAAATATCTTCGTTTCAAAACTAGACAGAATCATTCCCACAAACTGCGTTGTGATGTGTTCGTTCAACTCACAGAGTTTAACCTTTCTGTTCATAGAGCAGTTAGGAAACACTCTGTTTGTAAAGTCTGCAAGTGGATATTCAGACCTCCTTGAGGCCTTCGTTGGAAACGGGATTTCATCATATTATGCTAGACAGAAGAATTCTCAGTAACTTCCTTGTGTTGTGTGTATTCAACTCACAGAGTTGAACGATCCTTTACAGAGAGCAGACTTGAAACACTCTTTTTGTGGAATTTGCAAGTGGAGATTTCAGCCGCTTTGAGGTCAATGGTAGAAAAGGATATATCTTCGTATAAAGAATAGACAGAATGATTCTCAGAAACTCCTTTGTGATGTGTGCGTTCAACTCACAGAGTTTCACCTTTCTTTTCATAGAGCAGTTAGGAAACACTCTGTTTGTAAAGTCTGCAAGTGGATATTCAGACCTCCTTGAGGCCTTCGTTGGAAACGGGATTTCTTCATATTCTGCTAGACAGAAGAATTCCCAGTAACTTCCTTGTGTTGTGTGTGTTCAACTCACAGAGTTGAACTTTCATTTACACAGAGCAGATTTGAAACACTCTTTTTGTGGAATTTGCAAATGGAGATTTCAAGCGCTTTGAGGCCAAAGACAGAAAAGGAAATATCTTCGTATAAAAACTAGACAGAATCATTCTCAGAAACTGCTGCGTGATGTGTGCGTTCAACTCTCAGAGTTTAACTTTTCTTTTCATTCAGCGGTTTGGAAACACTCTGTTTGTAAATTCTGCACGTGGAAATTTTGACCACTTAGAGGCCTTCGTTGGAAACGGGTTTTTTTCATGTAAGGCTAGACAGAAGAATTCCCAGTAACTTCCTTGTGTTGTGTGCATTCAACTCACAGAGTTGAACGTTCCCTTAGACAGAGCAGATTTGAAACACTCTATTTGTGCAATTTGCAAGTGTAGATTTCAAGCGCTTTAAGGTCAACGGCAGAAAAGGAAATATCTTCGTTTCAAAACTAGACAGAATGATTCTCAGAAACTCCTTTGTGATGTGTGCGTTCAACTCACAGAGTTTAACCTTTCTGTTCATAGAGCAGTTAGGAAACACTCTGTTTGTAAAGTCTGCAAGTGGATATTCAGACCTCCTTTAGGCCTTCGTTGGAAACGGGATTTCTTCATATTCTGCTAGACAGAAGAATTCTCAGTAACTTCCTTGTGTTGTGTGTATTCAACTCACAGAGTTGAACAATCCTTTACACAGAGCAGACTTGAAACACTCTTTTTGTGGAATTTGCAAGTGGAGATTTCAGCCGCTTTGAGGTCAATGGTAGAAAAGGAAATATCTTCGTATAAAGACTAGACAGAATGATTCTCAGAAACTCCTTTGTGATGTGTGCGTTCAACTCACAGAGTTTAAACTTTCTTTTCATAGAGCAGTTAGGAAACACTCTGTTTGTAAAGTCTGCAAGTGGATATTCACACATCCTTGAAGCTTTCGTTGGAAACGGGATTTCTTCATATTCTGCTAGAAAGAAGAATTCCCAGTAACTTCCTTGTGTTGTGTGTGTTCAACTCACAGATTTGAACTTTCATTTACACAGAGCAGATTTGAAACACTCTTTTTGTGGAATTTGCAAGTGGAGATTTCAAGCGCTTTGAGGCCAAAGGCAGAAAAGGAAATATCTTCGTTTCAAAACTAGACAGAATCATTCTCAGAAACTGCTGCGTGATGTGTGCGTTCAACTCTCAGAGTTTAACTTTTCTTTTCATTCAGCGGTTTGGAAACACTCTGTTTGTAAAGTCTGCACGTGGAAATTTTGACCACTTAGAGGCCTTCGTTGGAAACGGGTTTTTTTCATGTAAGGCTAGAGAGAAGAATTCCCAGTAACTTCCTTGTGTTGTGTGCATTCAACTCACAGAGTTGAACGTTCCCTTAGACAGAGCAGATTTGAAACACTCTATTTGTGCAATTTGCAAGTGTAGATTTCAAGCGCTTTAAGGTCAACGGCAGAAAAGGAAATATCTTCGTTTCAAAACTAGACAGAATGATTCTCAGAAACTCCTTTGTGATGTGTGTGTCCAACTCACAGAGTTTAACCTTTCTTTTCATAGAGCAGTTAGGAAACACTCTGTTTGTAAAGTCTGCAAGAGGATATTCAGACCTCTTTGAGGCCTTCGTTGGAAACGGGTTTTTTTCCTGTAAGGCTAGACAGAAGAATTCCCAGTAACTTCCTTGTGTTGTGTGTGTTCAACTCACAGAGTTGAACTTTCATTTACACAGAGCAGATTTGAAACACTCTTTTTGTGGAATTTGCAAATGGAGATTTCAGCCGCGTTGAGGTCAATGGTAGAAAAGGAAATATCTTCGTTTCAAAACTAGACAGAATGATTCTCAGAAACTCCTTTGTGATGTGTGCGTTCAACTCACAGAGTTTAACCTTTCTTTTCATAGAGCAGTTAGGAAACACTCTGTTTGTAAAGTCTGCACGTGGATATTTGGACTTCTTTGAGGCCTTCGTTGGCAACGGGGTTTTTTCATATAAGGCTAGACAGAAGAATTCTCAGTAACTTCCTTGTGTTGTGTGTATTCAACTGACAGAGTTGAACTTTCATTTAGAGAGAGCAGATTTGAAACACTGTTTTTGTGGAATTTGCAAGTGGAGATTTCAAGCGCTTTGGGGCCAAAGGCAGAAAAGGAAATATCTTCGTATAAAAACTCAGCAGAATCATTCTCAGAAACTGCTCTGCGATGTGTGCGTTCAACTCTCAGAGTTTAACTTTTCTTTTCATTCAGCAGTTAGGAAACACTCTGTTTGTAAAGTCTGCAAGTGGATATTCAGACCTCTTTGAGGCCTTCGTTGGAAACGGGTTTTTTTCATATAAGGCTAGACAGAAGAATTCCCAGTAACTTCCTTGCGTTGTGTACATTCAACTCACAGAGTTGAACGTTCCCTTAGACAGAGCAGATTTGAAACACTCTTTTTGTGCAATTGGCAAGTGGAGATTTCAAGCGCTTTAAGGTCAATGGCAGAAAAGGAAATATCTTCGTTTCAAAACTAGACAGAATGATTCTCAGAAACTCCTTTCTGATGTGTGCGTTCAACTCGCAGAGTTTAACTTTTCTTTTCATAGAGCAGTTAGGAAACACTCTGTTTGTAAAGTCTGCAAGTGGATATTCAGACCTCTTTGAGGCCTTCGTTGGAAACGGGATTTCTTCATATTCTGCTAGACAGAAGAATTCTCAGAATCTTCCCTTGTGTTGTGTGTATTCAACTCACAGAGTTGAAAGACCCTTTACACAGAGCGGACTTGAAACACTCTTTTTGTGGAATTTGCAAGTGGAGATTTCAGCCGCGTTGAGGTCAATGGTAGAAAAGGAAATATCTTCGTATAAAAACTAGACAGAATGATTCTCAGAAACTCCTTTGTGATGTGTGCGTTCAACTCACAGAGTTTAACCTTTCTATTCATAGAGTAGTTAGGAAACACTCTGTTTGTAATGTCTGCAAGTGGATATTTTGACCTCTTTGAGGCCTTCGTTGGAAACGGGTTTTTTTCATGTAAGGCTAGACAGAAGAATTCCCAGTAACTTCCTTGTGTTGTGTGTGTTCAACTCACAGAGTTGAACTTTCATTTACACAGAGCAGATTTGAAACACTCTTTTTGTGGAATTTGCAAGTGGAGACTTCAAGCGCTTTGAGGCCAAAGGCAGAAAAGGAAATATCTTCGTTTCAAAACTAGACAGAATCATTCTCAGAAACTGCTGCATGATATGTGCGTTCAACTCTCAGAGTTTAACTTTTCTTTTCATTCAGCGGTTTGGAAACACTCTGTTTGTAAAGTCTGCACGTGGATATTTTGACCACTTAGAGGCCTTCGTTGGAAACGGGTTTTTTTCATGTAAGGCTAGACAGAAGAATTCTCAGTAACTTCCTTGTGTTGTGTGTATTCAACTCACAGAGTTGAACGATCCTTTACACAGAGCAGACTTGAAACACTCTATTTGTGCAATTTGCAAGTGTAGATTTCAAGCGCTTTAAGGTCAATGGCAGAAAAGGAAATATCTTCGTTTTAAAACTAGACAGAATCATTCCCACAAACTGCGTTGTGATGTGTTCGTTCAACTCACAGAGTTTAACCTTTCTGTTCATAGAGCAGTGAGGAAACACTCTGTTTGTAAAGTCTGTAAGTGGATATTCTGACATCTTGTGGCCTTCGTTGGAAACAGGATTTCTTCATATTCTGCTAGACAGAATAATTCTCAGTAACTTCCTTGTGTTGTGTGTATTCAACTCACAGAGTTGAAGGATCCTTTAGAGAGAGCAGGCTTGAAACACTCTGTTTGTCGAATTTGCAAGTGGAGATTTCAGCCGCTTTGAGGTCAATGGTAGAATAGGAAATATCTTCTTATAGAAACTAGACAGAATGATTCTCAGAAACTTCTTTGTGATGTGTGCGTTCAACTCACAGAGTTTAACCTTTCTTTTCATAGAGCAGTTAGGAAACACTCTGTTTGTAAACTCTGCAAGTGGATATTCAGACCTGTTTGAGGCCTTCGTTGGAAACGGGATTTCTTCATACTATGCTAGACAGAAGAATTCTCAGTAACTTCCTTGTGTTGTGTGTATTCAACTCACAGAGTTGAACGATCCTTTACACAGAGCAGACTTCTAACACTCTTTTTGTGGAATTTGCAAGTGGAGATTTCAGCCGCTTTGAAGTCAAAGGTAGAAAAGGAAATATCTTCCTATAAAAACTAGACAGAATGATTCTCAGAAACTCCTTTGTGATGTGTGCGTTCAACTCACAGAGATTAACCTTTCTTTTCATAGAGCAGTTAGGAAACACTCTGTTTGTAAAGTCTTCAAGTGGATATTCAGACCTCTTTGAGGCCTTCGTTGGAAACGGGATTTCTTCATATTCTGCTAGACAGAAGAATTCTCAGTAACTTCCTTGTGTTGTGTGTATTCAACTCACAGAGTTGAACGGATCCTTTACACAGAGCAGACTTGAAACACTCTATTTGTGCAATTTGCAAGTGTAGATTTCAAGCGCTTTAAGGTCAATGGCAGAAAAGGAAATATCTTCGTTTTAAAACTAGACAGAAATCATTCCCAAAAACTGCGTTGTGATGTGTTCGTTCATCTCACAGAGTTTAACCTTTCTTTTCATAGAGCAGTTAGGAAACAGTCTGTTTGTAAATTCTGTAAGTGGATATTCTGACATCTTGTGGCCTTCGTTGGAAACGGGATTTCTTCATATTCTGCTAGACAGAATAATTCTCAGTAACTTCCTTGTGTTGTGTGTATTCAACTCACAGAGTTGAACGGTCCTTTACACAGAGCAGACTTGAAACATTCTTTTTGTGGAATTTGCAAGTGGAGATTTCAGCCGCTTTGAGGTCAATGGTAGAATAGGAAATATCTTCCTATAGAAACTAGACAGAATGATTCTCAGAAACTCCTTTGTGATGTGTGCGTTCAACTCACAGAGTTTAACCTTTCTTTTCATAGAGCAGTTAGGAAACACTCTGTTTGTAAAGTCTGCAAGTGGATATTCAGACCTCCTTGAGGCCTTCGTTGGAAGCGGGATTTCTTCATGTTCAGCTAGACAGAAGAATTCTCAGAAACTTCCTTGTGTTGTGTGTTTTCAACTCACAGAGTTGAACGATCCTTTACACAGAGCAGACTTGAAACACTCTTTTTGTGGAATTTGCTAGTGGAGATTTCAGCCGCTTTGAGGTCAATGGTAGAATAGGAAATATCTTCCTATAGAAACTAGACAGAACGATTCTCAGAAACTCCTTTGTGATGTGTGCGTTCAACTCACAGTAGTTTAACTTTTCTTTTCATAGAGCAGTTAGGAAACACTCTGTTTGTAAAGTCTGCAAGTGGATATTCAGACCTCTTTGAGGCCTTCGTTGGAAACGGGATTTCTTCCTATTCTGCTAGACAGAATAAATCTCAGTAACTTCCTTGTGTTGTGTGTATTCAACTCACAGAGTTGAACGATCCTTTACACAGAGCAGACTTGAAACACTCTTTTTGTGGAATTTGCAAGTGGAGATTTCAGCCGCTTTGAGGTCAATAGTAGAAAAGGAAATATCTTCGTAGAAAAACTAGACAGAATCATTCCCACAAACTGCGCTGTGATGTGCTCGTTCAACTCACAGAGTTTAACCTTTCTGTTCATAGAGCAGTTAGGAAACACTCTGTTTGTAAAGTCTGTAAGTGGATATTCTGACATCTTGTGGCCTTCGTTGGAAACGGGTTTTCCTCATATTCTGCCAGACAGAAGAATTCTCAGTAACTTCCTTGTGTTGTGTGTATTCAACTCACAGAGTTGAACGATCCTTTACACAGAGCAGACTTGAAACTCTCTTTTTGTGGAATTTGCAAGTGGAGATTTCAGCCGCTTTGAGGTCAATGGTAGAATAGGAAATATCTTCCTATAGAAAATAGACAGAATGATTCTCAGAAACTCCTTTGTGATGTGTGCGTTCAACTCACAGATTTTAACCTTTCTTTTCATAGAGCAGTTAGGAAACACTCTGCTTGTAAAGTCTGCAAGTGGATATTCAGCCCTCTTTGAGGCCTTCGTTGGAAACGGGTTTTTTTCATATAAAGCTAGACAGAAGGATTCCCAGTAACTTCCTTGTGTTGTGTGTGTTCAACTCACAGAGTTGAACTTTCATTTACAATGAGCAGATTTGAAACACTCTTTTTGTGGAATTTGCAAGTGGAGATTTCAAGCGCTTTGAGGCCAAAGGCAGAAAAGGAAATATCTTCGTATAAAAACTAGACAGAATCATTCTCAGAAACTGCTCTGTGATGTGTGCGTTCAACTCTCAGAGTTTAACTTTTCTTTTCATTCAGCAGTTTGGAAACACTCTGTTTGTAAAGTCTGCACGTGGATAATTTGATCACTTAGAGGCCTTCGTTGGAAAGGGGTTTTTTTCATGTAAGGCTAGACAGAAGAATTCCCAGTAACTTCCTTGTGTTGTGTGCATTCAACTCACAGAGTTGAACGTTCCCTTAGACAGAGCAGATTTGAAACACTCTATTTGTGCAATTTGCAAGTGTAGTTTTCAAGCTCTTTAAGGTCAACGGCAGAAAAGGAAATATCTTGGTTTCAAAACTAGACAGAATGATTCTGAGATATCCTTTGTGATGTGTGCGTTCAACTCACAGAGTTCAACCTTTCTTTTCATAGAGCAGTTAGGAAACACTCTGTTTGTAAAGTCTGCAAGTGGATATTCAGACCTCCTTGAGGCCTTCGTTGGAAACGGGATTTCTTCATATTATGCTAGACAGAGGAATTCTCAGGAACTTCCTTGTGTTGTGTGTATTCAACTCACAGAGTTGAACGATCCTTTACACAGAGCAGACTTGAAACACTCTTTTTGTGGAATTTGCAAGTGGAGATTTCAGCCGCTTTGAGTTCAATGGTAGAATAGGAAATATCTTCCTATAGAAACTACACAGAATGATTCTCAGAAACTCCTTTGTGATGTGTGCGTTCAACTCACAGAGTTTAACCTTTCTTTTCATAGAGCAGTTAGGAAACACTCTGTTTGTAAAGTCTGCAAGTGGATATTCAGACCTCTTTGAGGCCTTCGTTGGAAACGGGATTTCTTCCTATTCTGCTAGACAGAAGAATTCTCAGTAACTTCCTTGTGTTGTGTGTATTCAACTCACAGAGTTGAACGATCCTTTACACAGAGCAGACTTGAGACACTCTTTTTGTGGAATTTGCAAGTGGAGATTTCAGCCGCTTTCAGGTCAATAGTAGAAAAGGAAATATCTTCGTAGAAAAACTAGACAGAATCATTCTCAGAAACTGCTGCGTGATGTGTGCGTTCAACTCTCAGAGTTTAACTTTTCTTTTCATTCAGCGTTTTGGAAACACTCTGTTTGTAAAGTCTGCACGTGGATATTTTGACCACTTAGAGGCCTTCGTTGGAAACGGGTTTTTTTTCATGTAAGGCTAGACAGAAGAATTCCCAGTAACTTCCTTGTGTTGTGTGCATTCAACTCACAGAGTTGAACGTTCCCTTAGACAGAGCAGATTTGAAACACTCTATTTGTGCAATTTGCAAGTGTAGATTTCAAGCGCTTTAAGGTCAACGGCAGAAAAGGAAATATCTTCGTTTCAAAACTAGACAGAATGATTCTCAGAAACTCCTTTGTGATGTGTGCGTTCAACTCACAGAGTTTAACCTTTCTGTTCATAGAGCTGTTAGGAAACACTCTGTTTGTAAAGTCTGCAAGTGGATATTCAGACCTCCTTGAGGCCTTCGTTGGAAACGGGATTTCTTCCTATTCTGCTAGACAGAATAATTCTCAGTAACTTCCTTGTGTTGTGTGTATTCAACTCACAGTAGTTGAACGATCCTTTACACAGAGCAGACTTGAAACACTCTTTTTGTGGAATTTGCAAGTGGAGATTTCAGCCGCTTTGAGGTCAATAGTAGAAAAGGAAATATCTTCGTAGAAAAACTAGACAGAATGATTCTCAGAAACTCCTTGTTGATGTGTGCGTTCAACTCACAGAGTTTAACTTTTCTTCTCATAGAGCAGTTAGGAAACACTCTGTTTGTAAAGTCTGCAAGTGGATATTCAGACCTCTTTGAGGCCTTCGTTGGAAACGGGTTTTCTTCATATTATGCTAGACAGAAGAATTCCCAGTAACTTTCCTTGTGTTGTGTGTGTTCAACTCACAGAGTTGAACTTTCATTTACACAGAGCAGATTTGAAACACTCTTTTTGTGGAATTTGCAAGTGGAGATTTCAAGCGCTGTGAAGCCAAAGGCAGAAAAGGAAATATCTTCGTATAAAAACTAGACAGAATCATTCTCAGAAACTGCTCTGCGATGTGTGCGTTCAACTCTCAGAGTTTAACTTTTCTTTTCATTCAGCAGTTTGGAAACACTCTGTTTGTAAAGTCTGCACGTGGATAATTTGACCCCTTAGAGGCCTTCGTTGGAAACGGGTTTTTTTCATGTAAGGCTAGACAGAAGAATTCCCAGTAACTTCCTTGTGTTGTGTGCATTCAACTCACAGAGTTGAACGTTCCCTTAGACAGAGCAGATTTGAAACACTCTATTTGTGCAATTTGCAAGTGTAGATTTCAAGCGCTTTAAGGTCAAAGGCAGAAAAGGAAATATCTTCGTTTCAAAACTAGACAGAAATCATTCCCACAAACTGCGTTGTGATGTGTTCGTTCAACTCACAGTAGTTTAACCTTTCTGTTCATAGAGCAGTTAGGAAACACTCTGTTTGTAAAGTCTGTAAGTGGATATTCTGACATCTTGTGGCCTTCGTTGGAAACGGGATTTCTTCATATTCTGCTAGACAGAAGAATTCTCAGTAACTTCCTTGTGTTGTGTGTATTCAACTCACAGAGTTGAACGATCCTTTACACAGAGCAGACTTGAAGTACTCTTTTTGTGGAATTTGCAAGTGGAGATTTCAGCCGCTTTGAGGTCAATGGTAGAAAAGGAAACTACCTTCATATAAAGACTAGACAGAATGATTCTCAGAAAATCTTTTGTGATGTGTGCGTTCAACTCACAGAGTTTAACTTTTCTTCTCATAGAGCAGTTAGGAAACACTCTGTTTGTAAAGTCTGCAAGTGGATATTCAGACCTCTTTGAGGCCTTCTTTGGAAACGGGATTTCTTCATATTCTGCTAGACAGAAGAATTCCCAGTAACTTCCTTGTGTTGTGTGTGTTCGACTCACAGAGTTGAACTTTCATTTACACAGAGCAGATTTGAAACACTCTTTTTGTGGAATTTGCAAGTGGAGATTTCAAGCGCTTTGAGGCCAAAGGCAGAAAAGGAAATATCTTTGTTTCAAAACTAGACAGAATCATTCTCAGAAACTGCTCTGCGATGTGTGCGTTCAACTCTCAGAGTTTAACTTTTCTTTTCATTCAGCAGTTTGGAAACACTCTGTTTGTAAAGTCTGCACGTGGATATTTTGACCACTTAGTGGCCTTCGTTGGAAACGGGTTTTCTTCCTGTAAGTCTAGACAGAAGAATTCCCAGTAACTTCCTTGTGTTGTGTACATTCAACTCACAGAGTTGAACGTTCCCTTAGACAGAGCAGATTTGAAACACTCTTTTTGTGCAATTGGCAAATGGAGATTTCAATCGCTTTAAGGTCAATGGCAGAAAAGGAAATATCTTCGTTTCAAAACTAGACAGACATCATTCCCACAAACTGCGTTGTGATGTGTTCGTTCATCTCACAGAGTTTAACCTTTCTTTTCATAGAGCAGTTAGGAAACAGTCTGTTTGTAAATTCTGTAAGTGGATATTCTGACATCTTGTGGCCTTCGTTGGAAACGGGATTTCTTCATATTCTGCTAGACAGAAGAATTCTCAGAATCTTCCTTGTGTTGTGTGTATTCAACTCACAGAGTTGAATGATGGTTTACACAGAGCAGATTTGAAACACTCTTTTTGTGGAATTTGCAAGTGGACATTTCAGCCGCTTTGAGGTCAATGGTAGAAAAGGAAATATCTTCGTATAAAAACTAGACAGAATGATTCTCAGAAACTCCTTTGTGATGTGTGTGTTCAACTCACAGAGTTTAACCTTTCTTTTCATAGAACAGTTAGTAAACACTCTGTTTATAAAGTCTGCAAGTGGATATTCAGACCCATTTGAGGCCTTCGTTGGAAACGGGATTTCTTCATATTATGCTAGACAGAAGAATTCCCAGTAACTTCCTTGTGTTGTGTGTGTTCAGCTCACAGAGGTGAACTTTCATTTACACAGAGCAGATTTGAAACACTCTTTTTGTGGAATTTGCAAGTGGAGATTTCAAGCGCTTTGAGGCCAAAGGCAGAAAAGGAAATATCTTCGTATAAAAAGTAGACAGAATCATACTCAGAAACTGCTGCGTGATGTGTGCGTTCAACTCTCAGAGTTTAACTTTTCTTTTCATTCAACGGTTTGGAAACACTCTGTTTGTAAAGTCTGCACGTGGATATTTTGACCACTTAGAGGCCTTCGTTAGAAACGGGTTTTTTTCATGTAAGGCTAGACAGAAGAATTCCCAGTAACTTCCTTGTGTTGTGTACATTCAACTCACAGAGTTGAACGTTCCCTTAGACAGAGCAGATTTGAAACACACTTTTTGTGCAATTGGCAAGTGGTGATTTCAGCCGCTTTGAGGTCAATGGTAGAAAAGGAAATATCTTCGTATAAAAACTAGACAGAATCATTCCCACAAACTGCGTTGTGATGTGTTCGTTCAACTCACAGAGTTTAACCTTTCTTTTCATAGCGCAGTTAGGAAACAGTCTGTTTGAAAATTCTGTAAGTGGATATTCTGACATCTTGTGGCCTTCGTTGGAAACGGGATTTCTTCATATTCTGCTAGACAGAAGAATTCTCAGTAACTTCCTTCTGTTGTGTGTATTCAACTCACAGAGTTCAACGATTCTTTACACAGAGCAGACTTGAGACACTGTTTTCGTGGAATTTGCAAGTGGAGATTTCAACCGCTTTGAGGTCAATTGTAGAAAAGGAAATATCTTCGTATAAAAACTAGACAGAACGATTCTCAGAAACTCCTTTGTGATGTGTGCGTTCAACTCACAGAGTTTAACTTTTCTTTTCATAGAGCAGTTAGGAAACACTCTGTTTGTAAAGTCTGCAAGTGGATATTCAGACCCCTTTGAGGCCTTCGTTGAAAACGGGATTTCTTCATATTCTGCTAGACAGAAGAATTCCCAGTAACTTCCTTGTGTTGTGTGTGTTCAACTCACAGAGTTGAACTTTCATTTACACAGAGCAGATTTGAAACACTCTTTTTGTGGAATTTGCAAGTGGAGATTTCAAGCGCTTTGAGGCCAAAGGCAGAAAAGGAAATATATTCGTATAAAAACTAGACAGAATCATTCTCAGAAACTGCTCTGCGATGTGTGCGTTCAACTCTCAGAGTTTAACTTTTCTTTTCATTCAGCAGTTTGGAAACACTCTGTTTGTAAAGTCTGCAAGTGGATATTTTGACCTCTTTGAGGCCTTCGTTGGAAACGGGTTTTTTTCATGTAAGGCTAGACAGAAGAATTCACAGTAACTTCCTTGTGTTGTGTACATTCAACTCACAGAGTTGAACGTTCCCTTAGACAGAGCAGATTTGAAACACTCTTTTTGTGCAATTGGCAAGTGGAGATTTCAAGCGCTTTAAGGTCAATGGCAGAAAAGGAAATATCTTCCTTTCAAAACTAGACAGAATCATTCCCACAAACTGCGTTGAGATGTGTTCGTTCAACTCACAGAGTTTAACCTTTCTTTTCATAGAGCAGTTAGGAAACAGTCTGTTTGTCAATTCTGTAAGTGGATATTCTGACATCTTGTGGCCTTCGATGGAAACGGGATTTCTTCATATTCTGCTAGAGAGAAGAATTCTCAGAATCTTCCTTGTGTTGTGTGTATTCAACTCACAGAGTTGAACGATCCTTTACACAGAGCAGACTTGAAACACTCTTTTTGTGGAATTTGCAAGTGGAGATTTCAGCCGCTTTGAGGTCCATGGTAGAAAAGGAAATATCTTCGTATAAAAACTAGACAGAATGATTCTCAGAAACTCCTTTGTGATGTGTGTGTTCAACTCACAGAGTTTAACCTTTCTTTTCATAGAGCAGTTAGGAAACACTCTGTTTGTAAAGTCTGCAAGTGGATATTCAGACCTCGTTGAGACCTTCGTTGGAAACGGGATTTCTTCATATTCTGCTAGACAGAAGAATTCTCAGTAACTTCCTTGTGTTGTGTTTATTCAACTCACAGAATTGAATGATCCTTTACACAGAGCAGACTTGAAACACTCTTTTTGTGGAATTTGCAAGTGGAGATTTCAGCCGCTTTGTGGTCAATGGTAGAAAAGGAAATATCTTCGTATAAAGACTAGACAGAATCATTCTCAGAAACTGCTGCGTGATGTGTGCGTTCAACTCTCAGAGTTTAACTTTTCTTTTCATTCAGCGGTTTGGAAACACTCTGTTTGTAAAGTCTGCACGTGGAAATTTTGACCACTTAGAGGCCTTCGTTGGAAACGGGTTTTTTTCATGTAAGGCTAGACAGAAGAATTCCCAGTAACTTCCTTGTGTTGTGTACATTCAACTCACAGAGTTGAACGTTCCCTTAGACAGAGCAGATTTGAAACACTCTTTTTGTGCAATTGGCAAGTGGAGATTTCAAGCGCTTTGAGGTCAATGGCAGAAAAGGAAATATCTTCGTTTCAAAACTAGACAGAATCATTCCCACAAACTGCGTTGTGATGTGTTCGTTCAACTCACAGAGTTTAACCTTTCTGTTCATAGAGCAGTTAGGAAACACTCTGTTTGTAAAGTCTGCAAGTGGATATTCAGACCTCCTTGAGGCCTTCGTTGGAAACGGGATTTCTTCATATTCTGCTAGACAGAAGTATTCTCAGTAACTTCCTTGTGTTGTGTGTATTCAACTCTCAGAGTTGAACGATCCTTTACACAGAGCGGACTTGTAACACTCTTTTTGTGGAATTTGCAAGTGGAGATTTCAGCCGCTTTGAAGTCAAAGTTAGAAAAGGAAATAACTTCCTATAAAAACTAGACAGAATGATTCTCAGAAACTCCTTTGTGATGTGTGAGTTCAACTCACAGAGTTTAACCTTTCTTTTCATAGAGCAGTTAGGAAACACTCTGTTTCTAAAGTCTGCAAGTGGATATTCAGACCTCTTTGAGGCCTTCGTTGGAAACGGGTTTTTTTCATATAAGGCTAGAGAGAAGAAATCCCAGTAACTTCCTTGTGTTGTGTGTGTTCAACTCACAGAGATGAACTCTCATTTACACAGAGCAGATTTGAAACTCTCTTTTTGTGGAATTTGCAAATGGAGATTTCAAGCGCTTTGAGGCCAAAGGCAGAAAAGGAAATATCTTCGTATAAAAACTAGACAGAATCATTCTCAGAAACTGCTGCGTGATGTGTGCGTTCAACTCTCAGAGTTTAACTTTTCTTTTCATTCAGCGGTTTGGAAACACTCAGTTTGTAAAGTCTGCACGTGGATATTTTCACCACTTAGAGGCCTTCGTTGGAAACGGGTTTTTTTTCATGTAAGGCTAGACAGAAGAATTCCCAGTAACTTCCTTGTGTTGTGTACATTCAACTCACAGAGTTGAACGTTCCCTTAGACAGAGCAGATTTGAAACACTCTTTTTCTGCAATTGGCAAGTGGAGATTTCAAGCGCTTTGAGGTCAATGGCAGAAAAGGAAATATCTTCGTTTCAAAACTAGACAGAATCATTCCCACAAACTGCGTTGTGATGTGTTCCTTCAACTCACAGAGTTTAACCTTTCTTTTCATAGAGCAGTTAGGAAACAGTCTGTTTGTCAATTCTGTAAGTGGATATTCTGACATCTTGTGGCCTTCGTTGGAAACGGGATTTCTTCATATTCTGCTAGACAGAAGAATTCTCAGTAACTGCCTTGTGTTGTGTGTATTCAACTCACAGAGTTGAACGATCGTTTACACAGAGCAGACTTGAAACACTCTTTTTGTGGAATTTGCAAGTGGAGATTTCAGCCGCTTTGAGGTCAATGGTAGAATAGGAAATATCTTCCTATAGAAACTAGACAGAATGATTCTCAGAAACTCCTTTGTGATGTGTGCGTTCAACTCACAGAGTTTAACCTTTCTTTTCATAGAGCAGTTAGGAAACACTCTGTTTGTAAAGGCTGCAAGTGGATATTCAGACATCTTTGAGGCCTTCGTTGGAAAAGGGATTTCTTCATGTTCTGCTAGAAAGAAGAATTCCCAGTAACTTCCTTGTGTTGTGTGTGTTCAACTCACAGAGTTGAACTTTCATTTACACAGAGCAGATTGGAAACACTCTTTTTGTGGAATTTGCAAGGGGAGATTTCAAGCGCTTTGAGGCCAAAGGCAGAAAAGGAAATATCTTCGTATAAAAACTAGACAGAATCATTCTCAGAAACTGCTGCGTGATGTGTGCGTTCAACTCTCAGAGTTTAACTTTTCTTTTCATTCAGCAGTTTGGAAACACTCTGTTTGTAAAGTCTGCACGTGGATATTTTGACCACTTAGAGGCCTTCGTTGGAAACGGGTTTTTTTCATGTAAGGCTAGACAGAAGAATTCCCAGTAACTTCCTTGTGTTGTGTGCATTCAACTCACAGAGTTGAACGTTCCCTTAGACAGAGCAGATTTGAAACACTCTATTTGTGCAATTTGCAAGTGTAGATTTCAAGCTCTTTAAGGTCAATGGCAGAAAAGGAAATATCTTCGTTTCAAAACTAGACAGAATGATTCTCAGAAACTCCTTTGTGATGTGTGCGTTCAACTCACAGAGTTTAACCTTTCTTTTCATAGAGCAGTTAGGAAACACTCTGTTTGTAAAGTCTACAAGTGGATATTCAGACATCTTTGAGGCTTTCGTTGGAAACGGGATTTCTTCATATTCTGCTGGACAGAAGAATTCTCAGAAACTTCGTTGTGTTGTGTGTTTTCAAATCACAGAGTTCAACGATCCTTTACACAGAGTAGACTTGAAACACTCTTTTTGTGGAATTGGCAGGGTGGAGATTTCAGCCGCTTTCAGGTCAATGGTAGAAAAGGAAATATCTTCGTATAAAAACTAGACAGAATGATTGTCAGAAACTCCTTTGTGATGTGTGCGTTCAACTCACAGAGTTTAACCTTTCTTTTCATAGAGCAGTTAGGAAACACTCTGTTTGTAAAGTCTGCAAGTGGATATTCAGACCTCTTTGAGGCCTTCGTTGGAAACGGGATTTCTTCATATTCTGCTAGACAGAAGAATTCCCAGTAACTTCCATGTGTTGTGTGTGTTCAACTCACAGAGTTGAACTTTCATTTACACAGAGCAGATTTGAAACACTCTTTTTGTGGAATTTGCAAATGGAGATTTCAAGCACTTTGAGGCCAAAGGCAGAAAAGGAAATATCTTCGTAGAAAAACTAGACAGAATCATTCTCAGAAACTGCTCTGCGATGTGTGCGTTCAACTCTCAGAGTTTAACTTTTCTTTTCATTCAGCAGTTTGGAAACACTCTGTTTGTAAAGTCTGCACGTGGATAACTTGACCACTTAGAGGTCTTCGTTGGAAACGGGTTTTTTTCATGTAAGGCTAGACAGAAGAATTCCCAGTAACTTCCTTGTGTTGTGTACATTCAACTCACAGAGTTGAACGTTCCCTTAGACAGAGCAGATTTGAAACACTCTTTTTGTGCAATTGGCAAGTGGTGATTTCAGCCGCTTTGAGGTCAATGGTAGAAAAGGAAATATCTTCGTATAAAAACTAGACAGAATCATTCCCACAAACTGCGTTCTGATGTGTTCGTTCAACTCACAGAGTTTAACCTTTCTGTTCATAGAGCAGTTAGGAAACACTCTGTTTGTAAAGTCTGTAAGTGGATATTCTGACATCTTGTGGCCTTCGTTGGAAACGGGATTTCTTCATATTCTGCTAGACAGAAGAATTCTCAGTAACTTCCTTGTGTTGTGTGTATTCAACACACAGAGTTGAACGATGCTTTACACAGAGCAGACTTGAAACACTCTTTTTGTGGAATTTGCAAGTGGAGATTTCAGCCGCTTTGAGGTCAATGGTAGAAAAGGAAATATCTTCGTATAAAGACTAGACAGAATGATTCTCAGAAACTCCTTTGTGATGTGTGCGTTCAACTCACAGAGTTTAACGTTTCTTTTCATAGAGCAGTTAGGAAACACTCTGTTTGTAATGTCTGCAAGTGGATATTCAGACCCCTTTGAGGCCTTCGTTGGAAACGGGATTTCTTCATATTATGCTAGACAGAAAGAATTCCCAGTAACTTCCTTGTGTTGTGTGTGTTCAACTCACAGAGTTGAACTTTGATTTACACAGAGCAGATTTGAAACACTCTTTTTGTGGAATTTGCAAGTGGAGATTTCAAGCGCTTTGAGGCCAAAGGCAGAAAAGGAAATATCTTCGTATAAAAACTAGACAGATCATTCTCAGAAACTGCTCTGCGATGTGTGCGTTCAAGTCTCAGAGTTTAACTTTTCTTTTCATTCAGCAGTTTGGAAACACTCTGTTTGTAAAGTCTGCACCTGGATAATTTGACCACTTAGAGGCCTTCGTTGGAAACGGGTTTTTTTCCTGTAAGGCTAGACAGAAGAATTCCCAGTAACTTCCTTGCGTTGTGTACATTCAACTCACAGAGTTGAACGTTCCCTTAGACAGAGCAGATTTGAAACACTCTTTTTGTGCAATTGGCAAGTGGAGATTTCAAGCGCTTTAAGGTCAATGGCAGAAAAGGAAATATCTTCGTTTCAAAACTAGACAGAATGATTCTCAGAAACTCCTTTGTGATGTGTGCGTTCAACTCACAGAGTTTAACCTTTCTTTTCATAGAGCAGTTAGGAAACACTCTGATTGTAAAGTCTGCAAGTGGATATTCAGAACTCCTTGAGGCCTTCGTTGGAAACGGGATTTCTTCATATTATGCTAGACAGAATAATTCTCAGTAACTTCCTTGTGTTGTGTGTATTCAACTCACAGAGTTGAACGATCCTTTACACAGAGCAGACTTGAAACACTCTATTTGTAGAATTTGCAAGTGGAGATTTCAGCCGCTTTGAGGTCAATAGTAGAATAGGAAATATCTTCGTAGAAAAACTAGACAGAATGATTCTCAGAAACTCCTTTGTGATGTGTGCGTTCAACTCACAGAGTTTAACATTTCTTTTCATAGAGCAGTTAGGAAACACTCTGTTTGTAAAGTCTGCAAGTGGATATTCAGACCTCCTTGAGGCCTTCGTTGGAAACGGGATTTCTTCATATTATGCTACACAGAAGAATTCTCAGTAACTTCCTTGTGTTGTGTGTATTCAACTGACAGAGTTGAACTTTCATTTAGAGAGAGCAGATTTGAAACACTGTTTTTGTGGAATTTGCAATTGGAGATTTCAAGCGCTTTGGGGCCAAAGGCAGAAAAGGAAATATCTTCGTATAAAAACTAGACAGAATGATTCTCAGAAAGTCCTTTGTGATGTGTGCGTTCAACTCACAGAGTTTAACCTTTCTGTTCATAGAGCTGTTAGGAAACACTCTGTTTGTAAAGTCTGCACGTGGAAATTTTGACCACTTAGAGGCCTTCGTTGGAAACGGGTTTTTTTCATGTAAGGCTAGACAGAAGAATTCCCAGTAACTTCCTTGTGTTGTGTACATTCAACTCACAGGAGTTGAACGTTCCCTTAGACAGAGCAGATTTGAAACACTCTTTTTGTGCAATTGGCAAATGGAGATTTCAAGCGCTTTAAGTTCAAAGGCAGAAAAGGAAATATCTTCGTTTCAAAACTAGACAGAATCATTCCCACAAACTGCGTTGTGATGTGTTCGTTCAACTCACAGAGTTTAACCTTTCTTTTCATAGAGCAGTTAGGAAACAGTCTGTTTGTCAATTCTGTAAGTGGATATTCTGACATCTTGTGGCATTCGTTGGAAACGGGATTTCTTCATATTCTGCTAGACAGAAGAATTCTCAGAATCTTCCTTGTGTTGTGTGTATTCAACTCACAGAGTTGAACGATCCTTTACACAGAGCAGACTTGAAACACTCTTTTTGTGGAATTTGCAAGTGGAGATTTCAGCCGCTTTGAGGTCCATGGTAGAAAAGGAAATATCTTCGTATAAAAACTAGACGGAATGATTCTCAGAAACTCCTTTGTGATGTGTGCGTTCAACTCACAGAGTTAAACCTTTCTTTTCATAGAGCAGTTAGGAAACACTCTGTTTGTAAAGTCTGCAAGTGGATATTCAGACCTCCTTGAGGCCTTCGTTGGAAACGGGATTTCTTCATATTCTGCTAGACAGAAGAATTCTCAGTAACTTCCTTTTGTTGTGTGTATTCAACTGACAGAGTTGAACTTTCATTTAGACAGAGCAGATTTGAAACACTCTTTTTCTGGAATTTGCAAGTGGAGATTTCAAGCGCTTTGAGGCCAAAGGCAGAAAAGGATATATCTTCGTATAAAAACTAGACGGAATCATTCTCAGAAACTGCTCTGCGATGTATGCGTTCAACTCTCAGAGTTTAACTTTTCTTTTCATTCAGCAGTTTGGAAACACTCTGTTTGTAAATTCTGCACGTGGATATTTTGACCACTTAGAGGCCTTCGTTGGAAACGGGTTTTTTTCATGTAAGGCTAGACAGAAGAATTCCCAGTAACTTCCTTGTGTTGTGTGCATTCAACTCACAGAGTTGAACGTTCCCTTAGACCGAGCAGGTTTGAAACACTCTATTTGTGCAATTTGCAAGTGTAGTTTTCAAGCTCTTTAAGGTCAACGGCAGAAAAGGAAATATCTTCGTTTCAAAACTAGACAGAATCATTCCCACAAACTGCGTTGTGATGTGTTCGTTCAACTCACAGAGTTTAACCTTTCTGTTCATAGAGCAGTTAGGAAACACTCTGTGTGTAAAGTCTGCAAGTGGATATTCAGACCTCTTTGAGGCCTTCGTTGGAAACGGGATTTCTTCATATTCTGCTAGACAGAAGAATTCTCAGTAACTTCCTTGTGTTGTGTGTATTCAACTCATAGAGTTGAACGATCCTTTACACAGAGCAGACTTGAAACACTCTATTTGTAGAATTTGCAAGTGGAGATTTCAGCCGCTTTGAGGTCAATAGTAGAAAAGGAAATATCTTCGTAGAAAAACTAGACAGAACGATTCTCAGAAACTCCTTTGTGATGTGTGCGTTCAACTCACAGAGTTTAAACTTTCTTTTCATAGAGCAGTTAGGAAACACTCTGTTTGTAAAGTCTGCAAGCGGATATTCAGACCTCTTTGAAGCCTTCGTTGGAAACGGGATTTCTTCATATTATGCTAGACAGAAGAATTCCCAGTAACTTCCTTGTGTTGTGTGTGTTCAACTCACAGAGTTGAACTTTCATTTACACAGAGCAGATTTGAAACACTCTTTTTGTGGAATTTGCAATTGGAGATTTCAAGCGCTTGGAGGCCAAAGGCAGAAAAGGAAATATCTTCGTATAAAAACTAGACAGAATCATTCTCAGAAACTGCTGCGTGATGTGTGCGTTCAACTCTCAGAGTTTAACTTTTCTTTTCATTCAGCGGTTTGGAAACACTCTGTTTGTAAAGTCTGCACGTGTATATTTTGACCACTTAGAGGCCTTCGTTGGAAACGGGTTTTTTCATGTAAGGCTAGACAGAAGAATTCCCAGTAACTTCCTTGTGTTGTGTGCATTCAACTCACAGAGTTGAACGTTCCCTTAGACAGAGCAGATTTGAAACACTCTATTTGTGCAATTTGCAAGTGTAGATTTCAAGCACTTTAAGGTCAATGGCAGAAAAGGAAATATCTTCGTTTCAAAACTAGACAGAATGATTCTCAGAAACTCCTTTGTGATGTGTGCGTTCAACTCACAGAGTTTAACCTTTCTTTTCATAGAGCAGTTAGGAAACACTCTGTTGGTAAAGTCTGCAAGTGGATATTCAGACCTCTTTGAGGCCTTCTTTGGAAACGGAATTTCTTCATATTCTGCTAGACAGAAGAATTCTCAGAAACTTCCTGGTGTTGCGTGTTTTCAACTCACAGAGTTCAACGATCCTTTACACAGAGTAGACTTGAAAAACTCTTTTTGTTGAATTGGCCAGTGGAGATTTCAGCCGCTTTGAGGTCAATGGTAGAAAAGGAAATATCTTCGTATAAAAACTAGACAGAATCATTCTCAGAAACTCCTTTGTGATGTGTGTGCCCAACTCACAGAGTTTAACCTTTCTTTTCATAGAGCTGTTAGGAAACACTCTGTTTGTAAAGTCTGCAAGAGGATATTCAGACCTCTTTGAGGCCTTCGTTGGAAACGGGTTTTTTTCATATAAGGCTAGACAGAAGAATTCTCAGTAACTTCCTTGTGTTGTGTGTATTCAACTGACGGAGTTGAACTTTCATTTAGAGAGAGCAGATTTGTAACACTGTTTTTGTGGAATTTGCAAGTGGAGATTTCATGCGCTTTGGGGCCAAAGGCAGAAAAGGAAATATCTTCGTATAAAAACTAGACAGAATCATTCTCAGAAACTGCTCTGCGATGTGTGCGTTCAACTCTCAGAGTTTAACTTTTCTTTTAATTCAGCAGTTTGGAAACACTCTGTTTGTAAAGTCTGCACGTGGATATTTTGACCACTTAGAGGCCTTCGTTGGAAACGGGTTTTTTTCCTGTAAGGCTAGACAGAAGAATTCCCAGTAACTTCCTTGTGTTGTGTGCATTCAACTCAAAGAGTTGAACGTTCCCTTAGACAGAGCAGATTTGAAAAACTCTATTTGTGCAATTTGCAAGTGTAGATTTCAAGCGCTTTAAGGTCAATGGCAGAAAAGGAAATATCTTCGTTTCAAAACTAGACAGAATCATTCCCACAAACTGCGTTGTGATGTGTTCGTTCAACTCACAGAGTTTAACCTTTCTGTTCATAGAGCAGTTAGGAAACACTCTGTTTGTAAAGTCTGTAAGTGGATATTCTGACATCTTGTGGCCTTCGTTGGAAAAGGGATTTCATCATATTCTGCTAGACAGAAGAATTCTCAGTAACTTCCATGTATTGTGTGTATTCAACTCACAGAGTTGAACGATCCTTTACACAGAGCAGACTTGAAACACTCTTTTTGTGAAATTTGCAAGTGGAGATTTCAGCCGCTTTGTGGTCAATGGTAGAATAGGAAATATCTTCCTATAGAAACTAGACAGAATGATTCTCAGAAACTCCTTTGTGATGTGTGCGTTCAACTCACAGAGTTTAACCTTTCTTTTCATAGAGCCGTTAGGAAACACTCTGTTTGTAAAGTCTGCAAGTGGATATTCAGACCTCCTTGAGGCCTTCGTTGGAAACGGGATTTCTTCATATTATGCTAGACAGAAGAATTCCCAGTAACTTCCTTGTGTTGTGTGTGTTCAACTCACAGAGTTGAACTTTCATTTAGACAGAGCAGATTTGAAACACTCTTTTTGTGGAATTTGCAAGTGGAGATTTCAAGCGCTTTGAGGCCAAAGGCAGAAAAGGAAATATCTTCGTATAAAAACTAGACAGAATCATTCTCAGAAACTGCTCTGCGATGTGTGCGTTCAACTCTCAGAGTTTAACTTTTCTTTTCATTCAGCAGTTTGGAAACACTCTGTTTGTAAAGTCTGCACGTGGATATTTTGACCACTTAGAGGCCTTAGTTGGAAACGGTTTTTTTTCCTGTAAGGCTAGACAGAAGAATTCCCAGTAACTTCCTTGTGTTGTGTACATTCAACTCACAGAGTTGAACGTTCCCTTAGACAGAGCAGATTTGAAACACTCTTTTTGTGCAATTGGCAAATGGAGATTTCAAGCGCTTTAAGGTCAATGGCAGGAAAGGAAATATCTTCGTTTCAAAACTAGACAGAATCATTCCCACAAACTGCGTTGTGATGTGTTCGTTCAACTCACAGAGTTTAACCTTTCTTTTCATAGAGCAGTTAGGAAACAGTCTGTTTGTCAATTCTGTAAGTGGATATTTTGACATCTTGTGGCCTTCGTTGGAAACGGGATTTCTTCATATTCTGCTAGACAGAAGAATTCTCAGTAACTTCCTTGTGTTGTGTGTATTCAACTCACAGAGTTGAAGGATCCTTTACAGAGAGCAGGCTTGAAACACTCTTTTTGTCGAATTTGCAAGTGGAGATTTCAGCCGCTTTGAGGTGAATGGTAGAATAGGAAATATCTTCTTATAGAAACTAGACAGAATGATTCTCAGAAACTTCTTTGTGATGTGTGCCTTCAACTCACAGAGTTTAACCTTTCTTTTCATAGAGCAGTTAGGAAACACTCTGTTTGTAAACTCTGCAAGTGGATATTCAGACCTCTTTGAGGCCTTCGTTGGAAACGGGATTTCTCCATACTATGCTAGACAGAAGAATTCCCAGTAACTTCCTTGTGTTGTGTGTGTTCAACTCACAGAGTTGAACTTTCATTTACACAGAGCAGATTTGAAACACTCTTTTTGTGGAATTTACAAGTGGAGATTTCAAGCGCTTTGAGGCCAAAGGCAGAAAAGGAAATATCTTCGTATAAAAACTAGACAGAATCATTCTCAGAAAGTGCTCTGCGATGTGTGCGTTCAACTCTCAGAGTTTAACTTTGCTTTTCATTCAGCAGTTTGGAAACACTCTGTTTGTAAAGTCTGCACGTGGATAATTTGACCACTTAGAGGCCTTCGTTGGAAACGGGTTTTTTTCATGTAAGGCTAGACAGAAGAATTCCCAGTAACTTCCTTGTGTTGTGTGCTTTCAACTCACAGAGTTGAACGTTCCCTTAGACAGAGCAGATTTGAAACACTCTATTTGTGCAATTTGCAAGTGTAGATTTCAAGCGCTTTAAGGTCAATGGCAGAAAAGGAAATATCTTCGTTTCAAAACTAGACAGAATCATTCCCACAAACTGCGTTGTGATGTGTTCCTTCATCTCACAGAGTTTAACCTTTCTTTTCGTAGAGCAGTTAGGAAACAGTCTGTTTGTAAATTCTGTAAGTGGATATTCTGACATCTTGTGGCCTTCGTTGGAAACGGGATTTCTTCATATTCTGCTAGACAGAATAATTCTCAGTAACTTCCTTGTGTTGTGTGTATTCAACTGTCAGAGTTGAACGATCCTTTACAGAGAGCAGACTTGAAACACTCTTTTTGTGGAATTTGCAAGTGGAGATTTCAGCCGCTTTGAGGTCAATGGTAGAATAGGAAATATCTTCCTATACAAACTAGACAGAATGATTCTGAGAAACTCCTTTGTGATGTGGGCGTTCAACTCACAGAGTTTAACCTTTCTTTTCATAGAGCAGTTAGGAAACACACTGTTTGTAAAGTCTGCAAGTGGATATTCAGACCTCCTTGAGGTCTTCGTTGGAAACGGGATTTCTTCATATTATGCTAGACAGAAGAATTCTCAGTAACTTCCTTGTGTTGTGTGTATTCAACTCAGAGAGTTGAACGATCCTTTACACAGAGCAGAGTTGAAACACTGTTTTTGTGGAATTTGCAAGTGGAGATTTCAGCCGCTTTGAGGTCAATGGTAGAATAGGAAATTTCTTCCTATAGAAACTAGAGAGAATCATTCTCAGAAACTGCTCTGCGATGTGTGCGTTCAACTCTCAGAGTTTAACTTTTCTTTTCATTCAGCAGTTTGGAAACACTCTGTTTGTAAAGTCTGCAGGTGGATATTTTGACCACTCAGAGGCCTTCGTTGGAAACGGGTTTTTTTCCTGTAAGGCTAGACAGAAGAATTCCCAGTAACTTCCTTGTGTTGTGTACATTCAACTCACAGAGTTGAACGTTCCCTTAGACAGAGCAGATTTGAAACACTCTTTTTGTGCAATTGGCAAATGGAGATTTCAAGCGCTTTAAGGTCAATGGCAGAAAAGGAAATATCTTCGTTTCAAAACTAGACAGAATCATTCCCACAAACTGCGTTGTGATGTGTTCGTTCAACTCACAGAGTTTAACCTTTCTTTTCATAGAGCAGTTAGGAAACAGTCTGTTTGTCAATTCTGTAAGTGGATATTCTGACATCTTGTGGCCTTCGTTGGAAACGGCATTTCTTCATATTCTGCTAGACAGAAGAATTCTCAGTAACTTCCTTGTGTTGTGTGTATTCAACTCACAAAGTTGAACGATCCTTTACACAGAGCAGACTTGAAACACTCTTTTTGTGGAATTTGCAAGTGGAGATTTCAGCCGCTTTGAGTTCAATGGTAGAATAGGAAATATCTTCCTATAGAAACTAGACAGAATGATTCTCGGAATCTCCTTTGTAATGTGTGCGTTCAACTCACAGAGTTTAACCTTTCTTTTCATAGAGCAGTTAGGAAACACTCTGTTTGTAAAGTCTGCAAGTGGATATTCAGACCTCTTTTAGGCCTTCGTTGGAAACGGGATTTCTTCATATTCTGCTAGACAGAAGAGTTCTCAGTAACTTCTTTGCGTTGTGTGTATTCAACTGACAGAGTTGAACTTTCATTTAGAGAGAGCAGATTTGAACCACTGTTTTTGTGGAATTTGCAAGTGGAGATTTCAAGCGCTTTGGGGCCAAAGGCAGAAAAGGAAATAAATTCGTATAAAAACTAGACATAATCATTCTCAGAAACTGCTCTGCGATGTGTGCGTTCAACTCTCAGAGTTTAACTTTTCTTTTCATTCAGCAGTTTGGAAACACTCTGTTTGTAAAGTCTGCACGTGGATATTTTGACCACTTAGAGGCCTTCGTTGGAAATGGGTTTTTTTCCTGTAAGGCTAGACAGAAGAATTCCCAGTAACTTCCTTGTGTTGTGTACATTCAACTCACAGAGTTGAACATTCCCTTAGACAGAGCAGATTTGAAACACTCTTTTTGTGCAATTGGCAAGTGGAGATTTCAAGAGTTTTAAGGTCAATGGCAGAAAAGGAAATATCTTGGTTTCAAAACTAGACAGAATGATTCTCAGAAACTCCTTTGTGATGTGTGCGTTCAACTCACAGAGTTTAACCTTTGTGTTCATAGAGCAGTTAGGAAACACTCTGTTTGTAAAGTCTGCAAGTGGATATTCAGACCTCCTTGAGGCCTTCTTTGGAAACGGGATTTCTTCATATTCTGCTAGACAGAAGAATTCTCAGTAACTTCCTTGTGTTGTGTGTATTCAACTCACAGAGTTGAACGATCCTTTACAGAGAGCAGACTTTAAACACTCTTTTTGTGGAATTTGCAAGTGGAGATTTCAGCCGCTTTGAGGTCAATGGTACAAAAGGAAATATCTTCGTATAAAGACTAGACAGAATGATTCTCAGAAACTCCTTTGTGATGTGTGCGTTCAACTCACAGAGTTTAACTTTTCTTTTCATAGAGCAGTTAGGAAACACTCTGTTTGTAAAGTCTGCAGGTGGATATTCAGACCTCTTTGAGGCCTTCGTTGGAAACGGGATTTCTTCATATTATGCTAGACAGAGGAATTCTCAGTAACTTCCTTGTGTTGTGTGTATTCAACTGACAGAGTTGAACTTTCATTTAGAGAGAGCAGATTTGAAACACTGTTTTTGTGGAATTTGCAAGTGGAGATTTCAAGCGCTTTGGGGACAAAGGCAGAAAAGGAAATATCTCCGTATAAAAACTAGACAGAATGATTCTCAGAAACTCCTTTGTGATGTGTGTGTTGAACTCACAGAGTTTAACCTTTCTTTTCATAGAGCAGTTAGGAAACACTCTGTTTGTAAAGTCTGCAAGTGGATATTCAGACCTCTTTGAGGCCTTCGTTGGAAACGGGTTTTTTTCATATAAGCCTAGACAGAAGAATTCCCAGTAACTTCCTTGTGTTGTGTGTGTTCAACTCACAGAGTTGAACTTTCATTTACACAGAGCAGATTTGAAACACTCTTTTTGTGCAATTGGCAAGTGGAGATTTCAAGCACTTTAAGGTCAATGGCAGAAAAGGAAATATCTTCGTTTCAAAACTAGACAGAATCATTCCCACAAACTGCGTTGTGATGTGTCCGTTCATCTCACAGAGTTTAACCTTTCTTTTCATAGAGCAGTTAGGAAACAGTCTGTTTGTAAATTCTGTAAGTGGATATTCTGACATCTTGTGGCCTTCGTTGGAAACGGGATTTCTTCATATTCTGCTAGACAGAATAATTCTCAGTAACTTCCTTGTGTTGTGTGTATTCAACTCACAGAGTTGAACGATCCTTTACAGAGAGCAGACTTGAAACACTCTTTTTGTGGAATTTGCAAGTGGAGATTTCAGCCGCTTTGAGGTCAACGGTAGAATAGGAAATATCTTCCTATAGAAACTAGACAGAATGATTCTCAGAAAATCCTTTGTGATGTGTGCGTTCAACTCACAGAGTTTAACTTTTCTTTTCATAGAGCAGTTAGGAAACACTCTGTTTGTAAAGTCTGCAAGTGGATATTCAGACCTCTTTGAGGCCTTCGTTGGAAACGGGATTTCTTCATATTATGCGAGACAGAAGAATTCCCTGTAACTTCCTTGTGTTGTGTGTGTTCAACTCACAGAGTTGAACTTTCATTTACACAGAGCAGATTTGAAACACTCTTTTTGTGGAATTTGCAAATGGAGATTTCAGCCGCGTTGAGGTCAATGGTAGAAAAGGAAATATCTTCGTTTCAAAACTAGACAGAATCATTCTCAGAAACTGCTCTGCGATGTGTGCGTTCAACTCTCAGAGTTTAACTTTTCTTTTCATTCAGCAGTGTGGAAACACTCTGTTTGTAAAGTCTGCACGTGGATATTTTGACCACTTAGAGGCCTTCGTTGGAAACGGGTTTTTTTCCTGTAAGGCTAGACAGAAGAATTCCCAGTAACTTCCTTGTGTTGTGTACATTCAACTCACAGAGTTGAAGGTTCCCTTAGACAGAGCAGACTTGTAACACTCTTTTTGTGGAATTTGCAAGTGGAGATTTCAGCCGCTTTGAAGTCAAAGGTAGAAAAGGAAATATCTTCCTATAAAAACTAGACAGAATGATTCTCAGAAACTCCTTTGTGATGTGTGCGTTCAACTCACAGAGTTTAACTTTTCTTTTCATAGAGCAGTTGGGAAACACTCTGTTTGTAAAGTCTGCAAGTGGATATTCAGACATCCTTGAGGCTTTCGTTGGAAACGGGATTTCTTCATATACTGCTAGAAAGAAGAATTCTCAGTAACTTCCTTGTGTTGTGTGTTTTCAACTCACAGAGTTGAACGATCCTTTACACAGAGCAGACTTGAAACACTCCTTTTGTGGAATTTGCAAGTGGAGATTTCAGCCGCTTTGAGGTCAATGGTAGAATAGGAAATATCTTCCTATAGAAACTAGACAGAATGATTGTCAGAAACTCCTTTGTGATGTGTGCGTTCAACTCACAGAATTTAACCTTTCTTTTCATAGAGAAGTTAGGAGACACTGGGTTGGTAAAGTCTAAAAGTGGATATTCAGACATCTTTGAGGGTTTCGTTGGAAAAGGGATTTATTCATATTCTGCTAGACAGAAGAATTCCCAGTAACTTCCTTGTGTTGTGTGTGTTCATCTCACAGAGTTGAACTTTCATTTACACAGAGCAGATTTGAAACACTCTTTTTGTGGAATTTGCAAATGGAGATTTCAAGCGCTTTGAGGCCAAAGGCAGAAAAGGAAATATCTTCGTATAAAAACTAGACAGAATCATTCTCAGAAACTGCTCTGCGATGTGTGCGTTCAACTCTCAGAGTTTAACTTTTCTTTTCATTCAGCAGTTTGGAAACACTCTGGTTGTAAAGTCTGCACGTGGATAACTTGACCACTTAGAGGCCTTCGTTGGAAACGGGTTTTTTTCCTGTAAGGCTAGACAGAAGAATTCTCAGTAACTTCCTTGTGTTGTGTGTATTCAACTCACAGAGTTGAACGATCCTTTACACAGAGCAGACTTGAAACACTCTTTTTGTGGAATTTGCAAGTGGAGATTTCAGCCGCTTTGAGGTCAATGGTAGAAAAGGAAACTATCGTCGTATAAAGACTAGACAGAATGATTCTCAGAAAATGCTTTGTGATGTGTGCGTTCAACTCACAGAGTTTAACTTTTCTTTTCATAGAGCAGTTAGGAAACACTCTGTTTGTAAAGTCTGCAAGTGGATATTCAGACCTCTTTGAGGCCTTCTTTGGAAACGGGATTTCTACATATTCTGCTAGACAGAAGAATTCTCAGTAACTTCCTTGTGTTCTGTGTATTCAACTCACAGAGTTGAATGATCCTTTACAGAGAGCAGACTTGAAACACTCTTTTTGTGGAATTTGCAAGTGGAGATTTCAGCCGCTTTGAGGTCAATGGTAGAATAGGAAATATCTTCGAAGAAAAACTAGACAGAATGATTCTCAGAAACTCCTTTGTGATGTGTGTGTTCAACTCACAGAGTTTAACCTTTGTTTTCATAGAGCAGTTAGTAAACACTCTGTTTATAAAGTCTGCAAGTGGATATTCAGACCCCTTTGAGGCCTTCGTTGGAAACGGGATTTCTTCATATTATGCTAGACAGAAGAATTCTCAGTAACTTCCTTTTGTTGTGTGTATTCAACTGACAGAGTTGAACTTTCATTTAGAGAGAGCAGATTTGAAACACTGTTTTTGTGGAATTTGCAAGTGGAGATTTCAAGCGCTTTGGGGCCAAAGGCAGAAAAGGAAATATCTTCGTATAAAAACTAGACAGAATCATTCTCAGAAACTGCTCTGTGATGTGTGCGTTCAACTCTCAGAGTTTAACTTTTCTTTTCATTCAGCAGTTTGGAAACACTCTGTTTGTAAAGTCTGCACGTGGATATTTTGACCACTTAGAGGCCTTCGTTGGAAACGGGTTTTTTTTTCACGTAAGGCTAGACAGAAGAATTCCCAGTAACTTCCTTGTGTTGTGTACATTCAACTCACAGAGTTGAAAGTTCCCTTAGACAGAGCAGACTTGTAACACTCTTTTTGTGGAATTTGCAAGTGGAGATTTCAGCCGCTTTGAAGTCAAAGGTAGAAAAGGAAATATCTTCCTATAAAAACTAGACAGAATCATTCCCACAAACTGCGTTGCGATGTGTTCGTTCAACTCACAGAGTTTAACATTTCTTTTCATAGAGCACTTAGGAAACAGTCTGTTTGTAAATTCTGTAAGTGGATATTCTGACATCTTGTGGCCTTCGTTGGAAACGGGATTTCTTCATATTCTGCTAGACAGAAGAATTCTCGGAAACTTCCTTGTGTTGTGTGTATTCAACTCACAGAGTTGAACGATCCTTTACACAGAGCAGACTGGAAACACTCTTTTTGTGAAATTTGCAAGTGGAGATTTCAGCCGCTTTAAGGTCAATGGTAAAATAGGAAATATCTTCCTATAGAAACTAGACAGAATGATTCTCAGAAACCCCTTTGTGATGTGTACGTTCAACTCACAGAGTTTAACCTTTCTTTTCATAGAGCAGTTAGGAAACACTCTGTTTGTAAAGTCTGCAAGTGGATATTCAGACCTCCTTGAGGCCTTCGTTGGAAACTGCATTTCTTCATATTATGCTAGACAGAAGAATTCTCAGTAACTTCCTTGTGTTGTGTGTATTCAACTGACAGAGTTGAACTTTCATTTAGAGAGAGCAGATTTGAAATACTGTTTTTGTGGAATTTGCAAGTGGAGATTTCAAACGCTTTGGGGCCAAAGGCAGAAAAGGAAATATCTTCGTATAAAAACTAGACAGAATCATTCTCAGAAACTGCTGCGTGATGTGTGCGTTCAACTCTCAGAGTTTAACTTTTCTTTTCATTCAGCGGTTTGGAAACACTCTGTTTGTAAAGTCTGCACGTGGATATTTTGACCACTTAGAGGCCTTCGTTGGAAACGGGTTTTCTTCATGTAAGGCTAGACAGAAGAATTCCCAGTAACTTACCTTGTGTTGTGTACATTCAACTCACAGAGTTGAACGTTCCCTTAGACAGAGCAGATTTGAAACACTCTTTTTGTGCAATTGGCAAGTGGAGATTTCAAGCGCTTTAAGGTCAATGGCAGAAAAGGAAATATCTTCGTTTCAAAACTAGACAGAATCATTCCCACAAACTGCGTTGTAATGTGTTCGTTCAACTCACAGAGTTTAACCTTTCTGTTCATAGAGCAGTTAGGAAACACTCTGTTTGTAAAGTCTGTAAGTGGATATTCTGACATCTTGTGGCCTTCGTTGGAAACGGGATTTCTTCATATTCTGCTAGACAGAAGAATTCTCAGTAACTTCCTTGTGTTGTGTGTATTCAACTCACAGAGTTGAACGATCCTTTACACAGAGCAGACTTGAAACACTCTTTTTGTGGAATTTGCAAGTGGAGATTTCAGCCGCTTTGAGGTCAATGGTATAATAGGAAATATCTTCCTATAGAAACTAGACAGAATGATTGTCAGAAACTCCTTGGTGCTGTGTGCGTTCAACTCACAGAGTTTAAACTTTCTTTTCATAGAGCAGTTAGGAAACACTCTGTTTGTAAAGTCTGCAGGTGGATTTTCAGACATCATTGAGGCTTTCGTTGGAAACGGGATTTCTTCATATTCTGCTAGACAGAAGAATTCCCAGTAACTTCCTTGTGTTGTGTGTGTTCAACTCACAGAGTTGAACTTTCATTTACACAGAGCAGATTTGAAACACTCTTTTTGTGGAATTTGCAAATGGAGATTTCAAGGGCTTTGAGGCCAAAGGCAGAAAAGGAAATGTCTTCGTTTCAAAACTAGACAGAATCATTCTCAGAAACTGCTTCTGGCGATGTGTGCGTTCAACTCTCAGAGTTTAACTTTTCTTTTCATTCAGCAGTTTGGAAACACTCTGTTTGTAAAGTCTGCACGTGGATATTTTGACGACTTAGAGGCCTTCGTTGGAAACGGGTTTTTTTCCTGTAAGGCTAGACAGAAGAATTCCCAGTAACTTCCTTGTGTTGTGTACATTCAACTCACAGAGTTGAACGTTCCCTTAGACAGAGCAGATTTGAAACACTCTTTTTGTGCAATTGGCAAATGGAGATTTCAAGCGCTTTAAGTTCAATGGCAGAAAAGGAAATATCTTCGTTTCAAAACTGGACAGAATCATTCCCACAAACTGCGTTGTGATGTGTTCGTTCAACTCACAGAGTTTAACCTTTCTTTTCATAGAGCAGTTAGGAAACAGTCTGTTTGAAAATTCTGTAAGTGGATATTCTGACATCTTGTGGCCTTCGTTGGAAACGGGATTTCTTCATATTCTGCTAGACAGAAGAATTCTCAGTAACTTCCTTGTGTTGTGTGTATTCAACTCACAGAGTTGAACGATCCTTTACACAGAGCAGACTTGAAACACTCTTTTTGCGGAATTTGTAAGTGGAGATTTCAGCCGCTTTGAGGTCAATGGTAGAAAAGGAATTATCTTCGTATAAAAACTAGACAGAATCATTCTCAGAAACTCCTTTGTGATGTGTGCGTTCAACTCACAGAGTTTAACCTTTCTTTTCATAGAGCAGTTAGGAAACACTCTGTTTGTAAAGTCTGCAAGTGGATATTCAGACCTCCTTGAGGCCTTCGTTGGAAACGGGATTTCTTCATATTATGCTAGACAGAATAATTCTCAGTAACTTCCTTGTGTTGTGTGTATTCAACTCACAGAGTTGAAGGATCCTTTACAGAGAGCAGGCTTGAAACACTCTTTTTGTGGAATTTGCAAGTGGAGATTTCAGCCGCTTTGAGGTCAATGGTAGAATAGGAAATATCTTCTTATACAAACTAGACAGAATCATTCTCAGAAACTGCTGTGTGATGTGTGCGTTCAACTCTCAGAGTTTAACTTTTCTTTTCATTCAGCGGTTTGGAAACACTCTGTTTGTAAAGTCTGCACGTGGATATTTTGACCACTTAGAGGCCTTCGTTGGAAACGGGTTTTTTTCATGTAAGGCTAGACAGAAGAATTCCCAGTAACTTCCTTGTGTTGTGTACATTCAACTCACAGTGTTGAACGTTCCCTTAGACAGAGCAGATTTGAAACACTCTTTTTGTGCAACTGGCAAGTGGAGATTTCAAGCGCTTTAAGGTCCATGGCAGAAAAGGAAATATCTTCGTTTCAAAACTAGACAGAATCATTCCCACAAACTGCGTTGTGATGTGTTCGTTCAACTCACAGAGTTTAACCTTTCTTTTCATAGAGCAGTTAGGAAACACTCTGTTGGTAAATTCTGTAAGTGGATATTCTGACATCTTGTGGCCTTCGTTGGAAACGGGATTTCTACATATTCTGCCAGACAGAATAATTCTCATTAACTTCCTTGTGTTGTGTGTATTCCACTCACAGAGTTGAACGATCCTTTACAGAGAGCAGACTTGAAACACTCTTTTTGTGGAATTTGCAAGTGGAGATTTCAGCCGCTTTGAGGTCAATGGTAGAATAGGAAATATCTTCCTATGGAAACTAGACAGAATGATTCTCAGAAACTCCTTTGTGATGTGTGTGTTCAACTCACAGAGTTTAACCTTTCTTTTCATAGAGCAGTTAGTAAAAAGTCTGTTTATAAAGTCTGCAGGTGGATATTCAGACCCCTTTGAGGCCTTCGTTGGAAACGGGATTTCTTCATATTATGCTAGACAGAAGAATTCCCAGTAACTTCCTTGTGTTGTGTGTGTTCAACTCACAGAGTTGAACTTTGATTTACACAGAGCAGATTTGAAACACTCTTTTTGTGGAATTTGCAAGTGGAGATTTCAAGCGCTTTGAGGCCAAAGGCAGAAAAGGAAATATCTTCGTTTCAAAACTAGACAGAATCATTCTCAGAAACTGCTGCGTGATGTGTGCGTTCAACTCTCAGAGTTTAACTTTTCTTTTCATTCAGCGGTTTGGAAACACTCTGTGTGTAAAGTCTGCACGTGGATATTTTGACCACTTAGAGACCTTCGTTGGAAACGGGATTTTTTCATGTAAGGCTAGACAGAAGAATTCCCAGTAACTTCCTTGTGTTGTGTGCATTCAACTCACAGAGTTGAACGTTCCCTTAGACAGAGCAGATTTGAAACACTCTATTTGAGCAATTTGCAAGTGTAGATTTCAAGCGCTTTAAGGTCAATGGCAGAAAAGGTAATATCTTCGTTTCAAAACTAGACAGAATCATTCCCACAAACTGCGTTGTGATGTGTTCGTTCAACTCACAGAGTTTAACCTTTCTGTTCATAGAGCAGTTAGGAAACACTCTGTTTGTAAAGTCTGTAAGTGGATATTCTGACATCATGTGGCCTTCGTTGGAAACGGGATTTCTTCATATTCTGCTAGACAGAAGAATTCTCAGAAACTTCCTTGTGTTGTGTGTTTTCAACTCACAGAGTTGAACGATCCTTTACACAGAGCAGACTGGAAACACTCCTTTTGTGGAATTTGCAAGTGGAGATTTCAGCCGCTTTGAGGTCAATGGTAGAATAGGAAATATCTTCCTATAGAAAGTAGACAGAATGATTCTCAGAAACTCCTTTGTGATGTGTACGTTCAACTCACAGAGTTTAACCTTTCTTTTCATAGAGCAGTTGGGAAACACTCTGTTTGTAAAGTCTGCAAGTGGATATTCCGACATCCTTGAGGCTTTCGTTGGAAACGGGATTTCTTCATATTCTGCTAGAAAGAAGAATTCTCAGTAACTTCCTTGTGTTGTGTGTATTCAACTCACAGAGTTGAACGATCCTTTACACAGAGCAGACTTGAAACACTCTTTTTGTGGAATTTGCAAGTGGAGATTTCAGCCGCTTTGAGGTCAATGGTAGAATAGGAAATATCTTCCTATAGAAACTAGACATAATCATTCTCAGAAACTGCTGCGTGATGTGTGCCTTCAACTCTCAGAGTTTAACTTTTCTTTTCATTCAGCGGTTTGGAAACACTCTGTTTGTAAAGTCTGCACGTGGATATTTTGACCACTTAGAGGCCTTCGTTGGAAACGGGTTTTTTTCATGTAAGGCTAGACAGAAGAATTCCCAGTAACTTCCTTGTGTTGTGTGCATTCAACTCACAGAGTTGAACGTTCCCTTAGACAGAGCAGATTTGAAACACTCTATTTGTGCAATTTGCAAGTGTAGATTTCAAGCGCTTTAAGGTCAATGGCAGAAAAGGAAATATCTTCGTTTCAAAACTAGACAGAATGATTCTCAGAAACTCCTTTGTGATGTGTGCGTTCAACTCACAGAGTTTAACGTTTCTTTTCATAGAGCAGTTAGGAAACACTCTGTTTGTAAAGTCTGCAAGTGGATATTCAGACATCTTTGAGGCTTTCGTTGGAAACGGGATTTCTTCATATTCTGCTAGAAAGAAGAATTCTCAGTAACTTCCTTGTGTTGTGTGTATTCAACTCACAGAGTTGAATGATCCTTTACACAGAACAGTCTTGAAACACTCTTTTTGTGGAATTTGCAAGTGGAGATTTCAGCCGCTTTGAGGTCAATGGTAGAATAGGAAATATCTTCCTATAGAAACTAGACAGAATGATTCTCAGAAACTCCTTTGTGATGTGTGCGTTCAACTCACAGAGTTCAACCTTTCTTTTCATAGAGCAGTTGGAAAACACTCTGTTTGTAAAGTCTGCAAGTGGATATTCAAACTTCTTTGAGGCCTTCGTTGGAAGCGGGATTTCTTCATATTCTGCTAGACAGAAGGATTCCTAGTAACTTCCTTGTGTTGTGTGTGTTCAACTCACAGAGTTGAACTTTCATTTACAAAGAGCAGATTTGAAACACTCTTTTTGTGGAATTTGCAAGTGGAGATTTCAAGCGCTTTGAGGCCAAAGGCAGAAAAGGAAATATCTTCGTATAAAAACTAGACAGAATCATTCTCAGAAACTGCTGCGTGATGTGTGCGTTCAACTCTCAGAGTTTAACTTTTCTTTTCATTCAGCGGTTTGGAAACACTCTGTTTGTAAAGTCTGCACGTGGATGTTTTGACCACTTAGAGGCCTTCGTTAGAAACTGGTTTTTTTCATGTAAGGCTAGACAGAAGAATTCACAGTAACTTCCTTGTGTTGTGTGCATTCAACTCACATAGTTGAACGTTCCCTTAGACAGAGCAGATTTGAAACACTCTATTTGTGCAATTCGCAAGTGTAGATTTCAAGCGCTTTAAGGTCAATGGCAGAAAAGGAAATATCTTCGTTTCAAAACTAGACAGAATCATTCTCACAAACTGCGTTGTGATGTGTTCGTTCAACTCACAGAGATTAACCTTTCTGTTCATAGAGCAGTGAGGAAACACTCTGTTTGTAAAGTCTGTAAGTGGATATTCTGACATCTTGTGGCCTTCGTTGGAAACGGGATTTCTTCATATTCTGCTAGACAGAAGAATTCTCAGTAACTTCCTTGTGTTGTGTGTATTCAACTCACAGAGTTGAACGATCCTTTACACAGAGCAGACTTGAAACACTCTTTTTGCGGAATTTGCAAGTGGAGATTTCAGCCGCTTTGAGGTCAATGGTAGAATAGGAAATATCGTCCTATAGAAACTAGACAGAAATGATTCTCAGAAACTCCTTTGTGATGTGTGTGTTCAACTCACAGAGTTTAACATTTCTTTTCATAGAGCAGTTAGGAAACACTCTGTTTGTAAAGTCTGCAAGTGGATATTCAGACCTCTTTGAGGCCTTCGTTGGAAACGGGTTTTTTTCATATAAGGCTAGACAGAAGAATTCCCAGTAACTTCCTTGTGTTGTGTGTGTTCAACTCACAGAGTTGAACTTTCATTTACACAGAGCAGATTTGAAACACTCTTTTTGTGGAATTTACAAATGGAGATTTCAAGCGCTTTGAGGCCAAAGGCAGAAAAGGAAATATCTACGTATAAAAACTAGACAGAATCATTCTCAGAAACTGCTGCGTGATGTGTGCGTTCAACTCTCAGAGTTTAACTTTTCTTTACATTCAGCGGTTTGGAAACACTCTGTTTGTAAAGTCTGCACGTGGATATTTTGACCACTTAGAGGCCTTCGATGGAAACGGGATTTTTTCATGTAAGGCTAGACAGAAGAATTCCCAGTAACTTCCTTGTGTTGTGTGCATTCAACTCACAGAGTTGAACGTTCCCTTAGACAGAGCAGATTTGAAACACTCTATTTGTGCAATTTGCAAGTGTAGATTTCAAGCGCTTTAAGGTCAACGGCAGAAAAGGAAATATCTTCGTTTCAAAACTAGACAGAATCATTCCCACAAACTGCGTTGTGATGTGTTCGTTCAACTCACAGAGTTTAACCTTTCTTTTCATAGAGCAGTTAGGAAACAGTCTGTTTGAAAATTCTGTAAGTGGATATTCTGACATCTTGTGGCCTTCGTTGGAAACGGGATTTCTTCATATTCTGCTAGACAGAAGAATTCTCAGTAACTTCCTTGTGTTGTGTGTATTCAACTCACAGAGTTGAACGATCCTTTACAGAGAGCAGACTTGAAACACTCTTTTTGTGGAATTTGCAAGTGGAGATTTCAGCCGCTTTGAGGTCAATGGCAGAAAAGGAAATATCTTCGTATAAAGACTAGACAGAATGATTCTCAGAAACTCCTTTGTGATGTGTGCGTTCAACACACAGAGTTTAACTTTTCTTTTCATAGAGCAGTTAGGAAACACTCTGTTTGTAAAGTCTGCAAGTGGATATTCAGACCTCTTTGAGGCCTTCGTTGGAAACGGGATTTCTTCATATTATGCTAGACAGAATAATTCTCCGTAACTTCCTTGTGTTGTGTGTATTCAACTCACAGAGTTGAACGATCCTTTACAGAGAGCAGACTTGAAACACTCTTTTTGTGGAATTTGCAAGTGGAGATTTCAGCCGCTTTGAGGTCAATGGTAGAATGGGAAATATCTTCCTATAGAAACTAGACAGAATCTTTCTCAGAAACTGCTCTGCGATGTGTGCGTTCACCTCTCAGAGTTTAACTTTTCTTTTCATTCAGCAGTTTGGAAACACTCTGTTTGTAAAGTCTGCACGTGGATATTTTGACCACTTAGAGTCCTTCGTTGGAAACGGGTTTTTTTCATGTAAGGCTAGACAGAAGAATTCCCAGTAACTTCCTTGTGTTGTGTGCATTCAACTCACAGAGATGAACGTTCCCTTAGACAGAGCAGATGTGAAACACTCTATTTGTGCAATTTGCAAGTGTAGATTTCAAGCACTTTAAGGTCAATGGCATAAAAGGAAATATCTTCGTTTCAAAACTAGACAGAATCATTCCCACAAACTGCGTTGTGATGTGTTCGTTCAACTCACAGAGTTTAACCTTTCTTTTCATAGAGCAGTTAGGAAACAGTCTGTTTGTCAATTCTGTAAGTGGATATTCTGACATCTTGTGGCCTTCTTTGGAAACGGGATTTCTTCATATTCTCCTAGACAGAAGAATTCTCAGAATCTTCCTTGTGTTGTGTGTATTCAACTCACACAGTTGAACGATGGTTTACACAGAGCAGATTTGACACACTCTTTTTGTGGAATTTGCAATTGGAAATTTCAGCCGCTTTGAGGTCAATGGTAGAAAAGGAAATATCTTCGTATAAAAACTAGACAGAATGATTCTCAGAAACTCCTTTGTGATGTGTGCGTTCAACTCAAAGAGTTTAACTTTTCTTTTCATAGAGCAGTTAGGAAACACTCTGTTTGTAAAGTCTGCAAGTGGATATTCAGACCTCTTTGAGGCCTTCGTTGGAAACGGGATTTCTTCATATTATGCTAGACAGAAGAATTCTCAGTAACTTCCTTGTGTTGTGTGTAGTCAACTCACAGAGTTGAACGATCCTTTACACAGAGCAGACTTGAAACATTCTTTTTGTGGAATTTGCAAGTGGAGATTTCAGCCGCTTTGAGGTCAATAGTAGAAAAGGAAATATCTTCGTAGAAAAACTAGACAGAATCATTCTCAGAAACTGCTCTGCGATGTGTGCATTCAACTCTCAGAGTTTAATTTTTCTTTTCATTCAGCAGTTTGGAAACATTCTCTTTGTAAAGTCTGCACGTGGATATTTTGACCACTTAGAGGCCTTCGTTGGAAACGGGTTTTATTCTTGTAAGGCTAGACAGAAGAATTCCCAGTAACTTCCTTGTGTTGTGTACATTCAACTCACAGAGTTGAACGTTCCCTTAGACAGAGCAGATTTGAAACACTCTTTTTGTGCAATTGGCAAGTGGAGATTTCAAGCGCTTTGAGGTCAATGGCAGAAAAGGAAATATCTTCCTTTCAAAACTAGACAGAATCATTCCCACAAACTGCGTTGTGATGTGTTCGTTCAACTCACAGAGTTTAACCTTTCTGTTCATAGAGCAGTTAGGAAACACTCTGTTTGTAAAGTCTGTAAGTGGATATTCTGATATCTTGTGGCCTTCGTTGGAAACGGGATTTCTTCATATTCTGCTAGACAGAAGAATTCTCAGAATCTTCCTTGTGTTGTGTGTATTCAACTCACAGAGGTGAACGATCCTTTACACAGAGCAGACTTGAAACACTCTTTTTGTGGAATTTGCAAGTGGAGATTTCAGCCGCTTTGAGGTCCATGGTAGAAAAGGAAATATCTTCGTATAAAAACTAGACAGAATGATTCTCAGAAACTTCATTGTGACGTGTGCGTTCAACTCACAGAGTTTAACCTTTCTTTTCATAGAGCAGTTAGGAAACACTCTGTTTGTAAAGTCTGCAAGTGGATATTCGGACCTCTTTGAGGCCTTCGTTGGAAACGGGATTTCTTCATACTGTGCTAGACAGAAGAATTCTCAGTAACTTCCTTTTGTTGTGTGTATTCAACTGACAGAGTTGAACTTTCATTTAGAGAGAGCAGATTTGAAACACTGTTTTTGTGCAATTTGCAAGTGGAGATTTCAAGCGCTTTGGGGCCAAAGGCAGAAAAGGAAATATCTTCGTATAAAAACTAGACAGAATCATTCTCAGAAACTGCTGCGTGATGTGTGCGTTCAACTCTCAGAGTTTAACTTTTCTTTTCATTCAGCGGTTTGGAAACACTCTGTTTGTAAAGTCTGCACGTGGATATTTTGACCACTTAGAGGCCTTCGTTGGAAACGGTTTTTTTTCATGTAAGGCTAGACAGAAGAATTCCCAGTAACTTCCTTGTGTTGTGTGCATTCAACTCACAGAGTTGAACGTTCCCTTAGACAGAGCAGATTTGAAACACTCTATTTGTGCAATTTGCAAGTGTAGATTTGAAGCGCTTTAAGGTCAATGGCAGAAAAGGAAATATCTTCGTTTCAAAACTAGACAGAATCATTCCCACAAACTGCATTGTGATGTGTTCGTTCAACTCACAGAGTTTAACCTTTCTGTTCATAGAGCAGTTAGGAAACACTCTGTTTGTAAAGTCTGCAAGTGGATATTCAGACCTCCTTGAGGCCTTCGTTGGAAACGGGATTTCTTCATATTCTGCTAGACAGAAGAATTCTCAGTAACTTCCTTGTGTTGTGTGTATTCAACTCACAGAGTTGAACGATCCTTTACACAGAGCAGACTTGAAACACTCTATTTGTAGAATTTGCAAGTGGAGATTTCAGCCGCTTTGAGGTCAATAGTAGAAAAGGAAATATCTTCGTAGAAAAACTAGACAGAATGATTCTCAGAAACTCCTTTGTGATGTGTGTGTTCAACTCACAGAGTTTAACCTTTCTTTTCCTAGAGCAGTTAGTAAACACTCTGTTTATAAAGTCTGCAAGTGGATATTCAGACCCCTTTGAGGCCTTCGTTGGAAACGGGATTTCTTCATATTATGCTAGACAGAAGAATTCTCAGTAACTTCCTTGTGTTGTGTGTATTCAACTGACAGAGTTGTACTTTCATTTAGAGAGAGCAGATTTGAAACACTGTTTTTGTGGAATTTGCAAGTGGAGATTTCAAGCGCTTTGGGGCCAAAGGCAGAAAAGGAAATATCTTCGTATAAAAACTAGACAGAATGATTCTGAGAAACTCCTTTGTGATGTGTGCGTTCAACTCACCGAGTTTAACCTTTCTTTTCACAGAGCAGTTAGGAAACACTCTGTTTGTAAAGTCTGCAAGTGGATATTCAGACCTCCTTGAGGCCTTCGTTGGAAACGGGATTTCTTCATATTATGCTAGACAGAAGAATTCTCAGTAACTTCCTTGTGTTGTGTGTATTCAACTCACAGAGTTGAACGATCCTTTACACAGAGCAGACTTGAAACACTCTTTTTGTGAAATTTGCAAGTGGAGATTCCAGCCGCTTTGTGGTCAATGGTAGAATAGGAAATATCTTCCTATAGAAACTAGACAGAATGATTCTGAGAAACTCCTTTGTGATGTGTGCGTTCAACTCACAGAGTTTAACCTTTCTTTTCATAGAGCAGTTAGGAAACACTCTGTTTGTAAAGTCTGCAAGTGGATATTCAGACCTCCTTGAAGCCTTCGTTGGAAACGGGATTTCTTCATATTATGCTAGACAGAAGAATTCTCAGTAACTTCCTTGTGTTTTGTGTATTCAACTCACAGAGTTGAACGATCCTTTACACAGAGCAGACTTGAAACACTCTTTTTGTGGAATTTGCAAGTGGAGATTTCAGCCGCTTTGAGTTCAATGGTAGAATAGGAAATATCTTCCTATAGAAACTAGACAGAATTATTCTGAGAAACTCCTTTGTGATGTGTGCGTTCAACTCACAGAGTTTAACCTTTCTTTTCATAGAGCAGTTAGGAAACACTCTGTTTGTAAAGTCTGCAAGTGGATATTCAGACCTCCTTGAGGCCTTCGTTGGAAACGGGATTTCTTCATATTATGCTAGACAGAAGAATTCCCAGTAACTTCCTTGTGTTGTGTGTGATCAACTCACAGAGTTGAACTTTCATTTACACAGAGCAGATTTGAAACACTCTTTTTGTGGAATTTGCAGGTGGAGATTTCAAGCGCTTTGAGGCCAAAGGCAGTAAAGGAAATATCTTCGTATAAAAACTAGACAGAATCATTCTCAGAAACTGCTCTGCGATGTGTGCGTTCAACTCTCAGAGTTTAACTTTTCTTTTCATTCAGCAGTTTGGAAACACTCTGTTTGTAAAGTCTGCATGTGGATAACTTGACCACTTAGAGGACTTCGTTGGAAACGGGTTTTTTTCCTGTAAGGCTAGACAGAAGAATTCCCAGAAACTTCCTTGTGTTGTGTACATTCAACTCACAGAGTTGAACGTTCCCTTAGACAGAGCAGATTTGAAACACTCTTTTTGTGCAATTGGCAAGTGGTGATTTCAGCCGCTTTGAGGTCAATGGTAGAAAAGGGAATATCTTCGTATAAAAACTAGACAGAATCATTCCCACAAACTGCGTTGTGATGTGTTCGTTCAACTCACAGAGTTTAACCTTTCTGTTCATAGAGCAGTTAGGAAACACTCTGTTTGTAAAGTCTGTAAGTAGATATTCTGACATATTGTGGCCTTCGTTGGAAACGGGATTTCTTCATATTATGCTAGACAGAAGAATTCTCAGTAACTTCCTTGTGTTGTGTGTATTCAACTCACAGAGTTGAACGGTCCTTTACAGAGAGCAGACTTGAAACACTCTTTTTGTGGAATTTGCAAGTGGAGATTTCAGCCGCTTTGAGGTCAATGGTAAAATAGGAAATATCTTCGTATAGAAACTAGACAGAATGATTCTCAGAAACTCCTTTGTGATGTGTGTGTTCAACTCACAGAGTTTAACCTTTCTTTTCATAGAGCAGTTAGGAAACACTCTGTTTATAAAGTCTGCAAGTGGATATTCAGACCCCTTTGTGGCCTTCGTTGGAAACGGGATTTCTTCATATTATGCTAGACAGAAGAATTCTCAGTAACTTCCTTGTGTTGTGTGTATTCAACTGACAGAATTGAACTTTCATTTAGAGAGAGCAGATTTGAAACACTGTTTTTGTGGTATTTGCAAGTGGAGATTTCAAGCGCTTTGGGGCCAAAGGCAGAAAAGGAAATATCTTCGTATAAAAACTAGACAGAATCATTCTCAGAAACTGCTGCGTGATGTGTGCGTTCAACTCTCAGAGTTTAACTTTTCTTTTCATTCAGCGGTTTGGAAACACTCTGTTTGTAAAGTCTGCACGTGGAAATTTTGACCACTTAGAGGCCTTCGTTGGAAACGGGATTTTTTCATGTAAGGCTAGACAGAAGAATTCCCAGTAACTTCCTTGTGTTGTGTACGTTCAACTCACAGAGTTGAACGTTCCCTTAGACAGAGCAGATTTGAAACACTCTTTTTGTGCAATTGGCAAGTGGAGATTTCAAGCGCTTTAAGTTCAATGGCAGAAAAGGAAATATCTTCGTTTCAAAACTAGACAGAACGATTCTAAGAAACTCCTTTGTGATGTGTGCGTACAACTCACAGAGTTTAACCTTTCTTTTCATAGAGCAGTTAGGAAACACTCTGTTTGTAAAGTCTGCAAGTGGATATTCAGACCTCTTTGAGTCCTTCGTTGGAAACGGGATTTCTTCATATTCTGCTAGACAGAAGAATTCTCAGTAACTTCCTTGTGTTGTGTGTATTCAACTCACAGAGTTGTACGATCCTTTACACAGAGCAGACTTGAAACACTCTTTTTGTGGAATTTGCAAGTGGAGATTTCAGCCGCTTTGAGGTCAATAGTAGAAAAGGAAATATCTTCGTAGAAAAACTAGACAGAATGATTCTCATAAACTCCTTTGTGATGTGTGAGTTCAAATCACAGAGTTTAACTTTTCTTTTCATAGATCAGTTAGGAAACACTCTGTTTCTAAAGTCTGCAAGTGGATATTCAGATCTCTTTGAGGCCTTCGTTGGAAACGGGATTTCTTCATATTATGCTAGACAGAAGAATTCCCAGTAACTTCCTTGTGTTGTGTGTGTTCAACTCACAGAGTTGAACTTTCATTTACACAGAGCAGATTTGAAACACTCTTTTTGTGGAATTTGCAAACGGAGATTTCAAGCGCTTTGAGGCCAAAGGCAGAAAAGGAAATATCTTCGTTTCAAAACTAGACAGAATCATTCTCAGAAACTGCTCTGCGATGTGTGCGTTCAACTCTCAGAGTTTAACTTTTCTTTTCATTCAGCAGTTTGGAAACACTCTGTTTGTAAAGTCTGCACGTGGATATTTTGACCACTTAGAGGCCTTCTTTGGAAACGGGTTTTTTCCTGTAAGGCTAGACAGAAGAATTCCCAGTAACTTCCTTGTGTTGTGTACATTCAACTCACAGAGTTGAACGTTCCCTTAGACAGAGCAGATTTGAAACACTCTTTTTGTGCAATTGGCAAGTGCAAATTTCAAGCGCTTTAAGGTCAATGGCAGAAAAGGAAATATCTTCGTTTCAAAACTACACAGAATCATTCCCACAAACTGCGTTGTGATGTGTTCGTTCAACTCACAGAGTTTAACCTTTCCGTTCATAGAGCAGTTAGGAAACACTCTGTTTGTAAAGTCTGTAAGAGGATATTCTGACATCTTGTGGCCTTCGTTGGAAACGGGATTTCTTCATATTCTGCTAGACAGAAGAATTCTCAGTAACTTCCTTGTGTTGTGTGTATTCAACTCACAGAGTTGAACGATCCTTTACACAGAGCAGACTTGAAACACTCTTTTTGCGGAATTTGCAAGTGGAGATTTCAGCCGCTTTGAGGTCAATGGTAGAATAGGAAATATCTTCCTGTAGAAACTAGACAGAACGATTCTCAGAAACTCCTTTGTGATGTGTGCGTTCAACTCACAGAGTTTAACTTTTCTTTTCATAGAGCCGTTAGGAAACACTCTGTTTGTAAAGTCTGCAAGTGGATATTCAGACCTCTTTGAGGCCTTCGTTAGAAACGGGATTTCTTCCTATTCTGCTAGACAGAAGAATTCTCAGTAACTGCCTTGTGTTGTGTGTATACAACTCACAGAGTTGAACGATCCTTTACACACAGCAGACTTGAAACACTCTTTTTGTGGAATTTGCAAGTGGAGATTTCAGCCGCTTTGAGGTCAATGGTAGAATAGGAAATATCTTCCTATAGAAACTAGACAGAATCATTCTCAGAAACTGCTCTGCGATGTGTGCGTTGAACTCTCAGAGTTTAACTTTTCTTTTCATTCAGCAATTTGGAAACACTCTGTTTGTAAAGTCTGCACGTGGATATTTTGACCACTTAGAGGCCTTCGTTGGAAACGGGTTTTTTTCCTGTAAGGCTAGACAGAAGAATTCCCAGTAACTTCCTTGTGTTGTGTACATTCAACTCACAGAGTTGAACGTTCCCTTAGACAGAGCAGATTTGAAACACTCTTTTTGTGCAATTGGCAAATGGAGATTTCAAGCGCTTTAAGTTCAATGGCAGAAAAGGAAATATCTTCGTTTCAAAACTAGACAGAATCATTCTCAGAAACTGCTCTGCGATGTGTGCGTTCAACTCTCAGAGTTTAACTTTTCTTTTCATTCAGCAGTTTGGAAACACTCTGTTTGTAAAGTCTGCACGTGGATAATTTGACCACTTAGAGGCTTTCGTTGGAAACGGGTTTTTTTCATGTAAGGCTAGACAGAAGAGTTCTCAGTAACTTCCTTGTGTTGTGTGTATTCAACTCACAGAGTTGAACGATCCTTTACACAGAGCAGACTTGGAACACTCTTTTTGTGGAATTTGCAAGTGGAGATTTCAGCCGCGTTGAGGTCAATGGTAGAAAAGGAAATATCTTCGTATAAAAACTAGACAGAATGATTCTCAGAAACTCCTTTGTGATGTGTGTGTTCAACTCACAGAGTTTAACCTTTCTTTTCATAGAGCAGTTAGGAAACACTCTGTTTATAAAGTCTGCAAGTGGATATTCAGACCTCCTTGAGGCCTTCGTTGGAAACGGGATTTCTTCATATTCTGCTAGACAGAAGAATTCCCAGTAACTCCCTTGTGTTGTGTGTGTTCAACTCACAGAGTTGAACTTTCATTTACACAGAGCAGATTTGAAACACTCTTTTTGTGGAATTTGCAAGTGGAGATTTCAAGCGCTTTGAGGCCAAAGGCAGAAAAGGAAATATCTTCGTATAAAAACTACACAGAATTATTCTCAGAAACTGCTGCGTGATGTGTGCGTTCAACTCTCAGAGTTTAACTTTTCTTTTCATTCAGCGGTTTGGAAACACTCTGTTTGTAAAGTCTGCACGTGGATATTTTGACCACTTAGAGGCCTTCGTTGGAAACGGGTTTTTTTTCATGTAAGGCTAGACAGAAGAATTCCCAGTAACTTCCTTGTGTTGTGTACATTCAACTCACAGAGTTGAACGTTCCCTTAGACAGAGCAGATTTGAAACACTCTTTTTGTGCAATTGGCAAATGGAGATTTCAAGCGCTTTAAGGTCAATGGCAGAAAAGGAAATATCTTCGTTTCAAAACTAGACAGAATCATTCCCACAAACTGCGTTGTGATGTGTTCGTTCAACTCACAGAGTTTAACCTTTCTGTTCATAGAGCAGTTAGGAAACACTCTGTTTGTAAAGTCTGTAAGTGGATATTCTGACATCTTGTGGCCTTCGTTGGAAACGGGATTTCTTCATATTCTGCTGGACAGAAGAATTCCCAGTAACTTCCTTGTGTTGTGAGTGTTCAACTCACAGAGTTGAAATTTCATTTACACAGAGCAGATTTGAAACACTCTTTTTGTGGAATTTGCAAGTGGAGATTTCAGCCGCTTTGAGGTCCTTGGTAGAAAAGGAAATATCTTCGTATAAAAACTAGACAGAATGATTCTCAGAAACTCCTTTGTGATGTGTGTGTTCAACTCACAGAGTTTAACCTTTCTTTTCATAGAGAAGTTAGTAAACACTCTGTTTATAAAGTCTGCAAGTGGATATTCAGACCCCTTTGGGGCCTTCGTTGGAAACGGGATTTCTTCATATTATGCTAGACAGAAGAATTCTCAGAATCTTCCTTGTGTTGTGTGTATTCAACTCACACAGTTGAACGATTGTTTACACAGAGCAGATTTGAAACACTCTTTTTGTGGAATTTGCAAGTGGAGATTTCAAGCGCTTTGAGGCCAAAGGCAGAAAAGGAAATATCTTCGTATAAAAACTAGACAGAATCATTCTCAGAAACTGCTCTGCGATGTGTGCATTCAACTCTCAGAGTTTAACTTTTCTTTTCATTCAGCAGTTTGGAAACACTCTGTTTGTAAAGTCTGCACGTGGATATTTTGACCATTTAGAGGCCTTCGTTGGAAACGGGTTTTTTTCTTGTAAGGCTAGACAGAAGAATTCCCAGTAACTTCCTTGTGTTGTGTGCATTCAACTCACAGAGTTGAACGTTCCCTTAGACAGAGCAGATTTGAAACACTCTATTTGTGCAATTTGCAAGTGTGGATTTCAAGCGCTTTAAGGTCAACGGCAGAAAAGGAAATATCTTCGTTTCAAAACTAGACAGAATCATTCCCACAAACTGCGTTGTGATGTGTTCGTTCAACTCACAGAGTTTAACCTTTCTGTTCATAGAGCAGTTAGGAAACACTCTGTTTGTAAAGTCTGTAAGTGGATATTCTGACATCTTGTGGCCTTCGTTGGAAACGGGATTTCTTCCTATTCTGCTAGACAGAAGAATTCTCAGAAACTTCCCTTGTGTTGTGTGTTTTCAACTCACAGAGTTGAACGATCCTTTACACAGAGCAGACTTGAAACACTCCTTTTGTGGAATTTGCAAGTGGAGATTTCAGCCGCTTTGAGGTCAATGGTAGAATAGGAAATATCTTCCTATAGAAACTAGACAGAATGATTCTCAGAAACTTCTTTGTGATGTGTGCGTTCAACTCACAGACTTTAACTTTTCTTTTCATAGAGCAGTTAGTAAACACTCTGTTTGTAAAGTCTGCAAGTGGATATTCAGACCTCTTTGAGGCCTTCGTTGGAAACGGGATTTCTTCATATTCTGCTAGACAGAAGAATTCTCAGTAACTTCCTTGTGTTGTGTGTATTCAACTGACAGAGTTGAACTTTCATTTAGAGAGAGCAGATTTGAAACACTGTTTTTGTGGAATTTGCAAGTGGAGATTTCAAGCGCTTTGGGGCCAAAGGCAGAAAAGGAAATATCTTCGTATAAAAGCTAGACAGAATCATTCTCAGAAACTGCTGCGTGATGTGTGCGTTCAACTCACAGAGTTTAAGTTTTCTTTTCATTCAGCGGTTTGGAAACACTCTGTTTGTAAAGTCTGCACGTGGATATTTTGACCACTTAGAGGCCTTCGTTGGAAACGGGTTTTTATCATGTAAGGCTAGACAGAAGAATTCCCAGTAACTTTCCTTGTGTTGTGTGCAATCAAATCACAGAGTTGAACGTTCCCTTAGACAGAGTAGATTTGAAACACTCTATTTGTGCAATTTGCAAGTGTAGATTTCAAGCGCTTTAAGGTCAAAGGCAGAAAAGGAAATATCTTCGTTTCAAAACTAGACAGAATCATTCCCACAAACTGCGTTGTGATGTGTTCGTTCAACTCACAGAGTTTAACCTTTCTGTTCATAGAGCAGTTAGGAATCACTCTGTTTGTAAAGTCTGTAAGTGGATATTCTGACATCTTGTGGCCTTCGTTTGAAAAGGGATTTCTTCATATTCTGCTAGACAGAAGAATTCCCAGAAACTTCGTTGTGTTGTGTGTTTTCAACTCACAGAGTTCAACGATCCTTTACACAGAGTAGACTTGAAACACTCTTTTTGTGGAATTGGCAGGGTGGAGATTTCAGCCGCTTTGAGGTCAATGGTAGAAAAGGAAATATCTTCGTATAAAAACTAGACAGAGTGATTCTCAGAAACTCCTTTGTGATGTGTGCGTTCAACTCACAGAGTTAAACCTTTCTTTTCATAGAGCAGTTAGGAAACACTCTGTTTGTAAAGTCTGCAAGTGGGTATTCAGACATCCTTGAGGCTTTCGTTGGAAACGGGATTTCTTCATATTCTGCTAGAAAGAAGGATTCCCAGTAACTTCCTTGTGTTGTGTGTGTTCAACTCACAGAGTTGAACTTTCATTTACAAAGAGCAGATTTGAAACACTCTTTTTGTGGAATTTGCAATTGGAGATTTCAAGCGCTTTGAGACCAAAGGCAGAAAAGGAAATATCTTCGTATAAAAACTAGACAGAATCATTCTCAGAAACTGCTCTGCGATGTGTGCGTTCAACTCTCAGAGTTTAACTTTTCTTTTCATTCAGCAGTTTGGAAACACTCTGTTTGTAAAGTCTGCACGTGGATATTTTGACCACTTACAGGCCTTCGTTGGAAACGGGTTTTTTTCATGTAAGGCTAGACAGAAGAATTCCCAGTAACTTCCTTGCGTTGTGTGCATTCAACTCACAGAGTTGAACGTTCCCTTAGACAGAGCAGATTTGAAACACTGTTTTTGTGCAATTTGCAAGTGGAGATTTCAAGTGCTTTAAGGTCAATGGCAGAAAAGGAAATATCTTCGTTTCAAAACTAGACAGAATCATTCCCACAAACTGCGTTGTGATGTGTTCGTTCAACTCACAGATTTAAACTTTTCTTTTCATAGAGCAGTTAGGAAACACTCTGTTTGTAAAGTCTGTAAGTGGATATTCTGACATCTTGTGGCCTTATTGGAAACGGGATTTCTTCATATTCTGCTAGACAGAAGAATTCTCAGTAACTTCCTTGTGTTGTGAGGATTCAACTCACAGAGTTGAACGATCCTTTACACAGAGCAGACTTGAAACACTCTTTTTGTGGAATTTGCAAGTGGAGATTTCAGCCGCTTTGAGGTCAATGGTAGAAAAGGAAACTATCTTCATATAAAGACTAGACAGAATGATTCTCAGAAACTCCTTTGTGATGTGTGTGTTCAACTCACAGAGTTTAACCTTTCTTTTCATAGAGCAGTTAGTAAACACTCTGTTTATAAAGTCTGCAAGTGGATATTCAGACCCCTTGGAGGCCTTCGTTGGAAACGGGATTTCTTCATATTATGCTAGACAGAAGAATTCTCAGTAACTTCCTTGTGTTGTGTGTATTCAACTGACAGAGTTGAACTTTCATTTAGAGAGAGCAGATTTGAAACACTGTTTTTGTGGAATTTGCAATTGGAGATTTCAAGCGCTTTGGGGCCAAAGGCAGAAAAGGAAATATCTTCGTATAAAAACTAGACAGAATCATTCTCAGAAACTGCTCTGCGATGTGTGCGTTCAACTCTCAGAGTTTAATTTTTCTTTTCATTCAGCAGTTTGGAAACACTCTGTTTGTAAAGTCTGCACGTGGATAATTTGACCACTTAGAGGCCTTCGTTGGAAACGGGTTTTTTTCATGTAAGGCTAGACAGAAGAATTCTCAGTAACTTCCTTGTGTTGTGTGTATTCAACTCACAGAGTTGAACGATCCTTTACACAGAGCAGACTTGTAACACTCTTTTTGTGGAATTTGCAAGTGGAGATTTCAGCCTCTTTGAAGTCAAAGGTAGAAAAGGAAATATCTTCCTATAAAAACTAGACAGAATGATTCTCAGAAACTCCTTTGTGATGTGTGTGTTCAACTCACAGAGTTTAACCTTTTTTTTCATAGAGCAGTTAGTAAACACTCTGTTTATAAAGTCTGCAAGTGGATATTCAGACCCCTTTGAGGCCTTCGTTGGAAACGGGATTTCTTCATATTATGCTAGACAGAAGAATTCTCAGTAACTTCCTTGTGTTGTGTTTATTCAACTCACAGAGTTGAATGATCCTTTACACAGAGCAGACTTGAAACACTCTTTTTGTGGAATTTGCAAGTGGAGGTTTCAGCCGCTTTGAGGTCAATGGTAGAAAAGTAAATATCTTCGTATAAAGACTAGACAGAATGATTCTCAGAAACTCCTTTGTGATGTGTGCGTTCAACTCACAGAGTTTAACCTTTCTGTTCATAGAGCTGTTAGGAAACACTCTGTTTGTAAAGTCTGCAAGTGGATATTCAGACCTCCTTTAGGCCTTCGTTGGAAACGGGATTTCTTCATATTCTGCTAGACAGAAGAATTCTCAGTAACTTCCTTGTGTTGTGTGTATTCAACTCACAGAGTTGAACGATCCTTTACACAGAGCAGACTTGAAACACTCTTTTTGTGGAATTTGCAAGTGGAGATTTCAGCCGCTTTGAGGTCAATAGTAGAAAAGGAAATATCTTTGTAGAAAAACTAGACAGAATGATTCTCAGAAACTCCTTTGTGATGTGTGCGTTCAACTCACAGAGTTTAACCTTTCTTTTCATAGAGCAGTTAGGAAACACTCTGTTTGTAAAGTCTGCAAGTGGATATTCAGACCTCTTTGAGGCCTTCGTTGGAAACGGGTTTTTTTCCTATAAGGCTAGACAGAAGAATTCCCAGTAACTTCCTTGTGTTGTGTGCATTCAACTCACAGAGTTGAACGTTCCCTTAGACAGAGCAGATTTGAAACACTCTATTTGTGCAATTTGCAAGTGTAGATCTCAAGCGCTTTAAGGTCAATGGGAGAAAAGGAAATATCTTCGTTTCAAAACTAGACAGAATCATTCCCACAAACTGCGTTGTGATGTGTTCGTTCAACTCACAGAGTTTAACCTTTCTGTTCATAGAGCAGTTAGGAAACACTCTGTTTGTAAAGTCTGTAAGTGGATATTCTGACATCTTGTGGCCTTCGTTGGAAACGGTATTTCTTCCTATTCTGCTAGACAGAAGAATTCTCAGTAACTTCCTTGTGTTGTGTGTATTCAACTCACATAGTTGAACGATCCTTTACACAGAGCAGACTTGAAACACTCTTTTTGTGGAATTTGCAAGTGGAGATTTCAGCCGCTTTGAGGTCAATAGTAGAAAAGGAAATATCTTCGTAGAAAAACTAGACAGAATGATTCTCAGAAACTCCTTTCTGATGTGTGTGTTCAACTCACAGAGTTTAACCTTTCTTTTCATAGAGCAGTTAGTAAACACTCTGTTTATAAAGTCTGCAAGTGGATATTCAGACCCCTTGGAGGCCTTCGTTGGAAACGGGTTTTCTTCATATTATGCTAGACAGAAGAATTCCCAGTAACTTCCATGTGTTATGTGTGTTCAACTCACAGAGTTGAACTTTCATTTACACAGAGCAGATTTGAAACACTCTTTTTGTGGAATTTGCAAATGGAGATTTCAAGCGCTTTGAGGCCAGAGGCAGAAAAGGAAATATCTTCGTTTAAAAACTAGACAGAATGATTCTCAGAAACTCCTTTGTGATGTGTGCGTTCAACTCACAGTAGTTTAACCTTTCTTTTCATAGAGCAGTTAGGAAACACTCTGGTTGTAAAGACTACAAGTGGATATTCAGACCTCTTTGAGGCCTTCGTTGGAAACGGGTTTTTTTCCTGTAAGTCTAGACAGAAGAATTCCCAGTAACTTCCTTGTGTTGTGTACATTCAACTCACAGAGTTGAACGTTCCCTTAGACAGAGCAGATTTGAAACGCTCTTTTTGTGCAATTGGCAAGTGGAGATTTCAAGCGCTTTAAGGTCAATGGCAGAAAAGGAAATATCTTCGTTTCAAAACTAGACAGAATGATTCTCAGAAAATCTTTTGTGATGTGTGCGTTCAACTCACAGAGTTTAACTTTTCTTCTCATAGAGCAGTTAGGAAACACTCTGTAAAGTCTGCAAGTGGATATTCAGACCTCTTTGAGGCCTTCGTTGGAAACGGGATTTCTTCATATTATGCTAGACAGAATAATTCTCAGTAACTTCCTTGTGTTGTGTGTATTCAACTCACAGAGTTGAAGGATCCTTTACAGAGAGCAGGCTTCAAACACTCTTTTTGTCGAATTTGCAAGTGGAGATTTCAGCCGCTTTGAGGTCAATGGTAGAATAGGAAATATCTTCTTATAGAAACTAGACAGAATGATTCTCAGAAACTCCTTTGTGATGTGTGCGTTCAAATCACAGAGTTTAACTTTTCTTTTCATAGAGCAGTTAGGAAACACTCTGTTTGTAAAGTCTGCAAGTGGATATTCAGACCTCTTTGAGGCCTTCGTTGGAAACGGGATTTCTTCATATTATGCTAGACAGAAGAATTCTCAGTAACTTCCTTGTGTTGTGTGTATTCAACTCACAGAGTTGAATGATCCTTTACACAGTACAGTCTTGAAACACTCTTTTTGTGGAATTTGAAAGTGGAGATTTCAGCCGCTTTGAGGTCAATGGTAGAATAGGAAATACCTTCCTATAGAAACTAGACAGAATCATTCTCAGAAACTGCTCTGTGATGTGTGCGTTCAACTCTCAGAGTTTAACTTTTCTTTTCATTCAGCAGTTTGGAAACACTCTGTTTGTAAAGTCTGCACGTGGATATTTTGACCACTTAGAGGCCTTCGTTGGAAACGGGTTTTTTTTCATGTAAGGCTAGACGGTAGAATTCCCAGTAACTTCCTTGTGTTGTGTACATTCAACTCACAGAGTTGAACGTTCCCTTAGACAGAGCAGATTTGAAACACTCTTTTTGTGCAATTGGCAAGTGGAGATTTCAAGCGCTTTAAGGTCAATGGCAGAAAAGGAAATATCTTCGTTTCAAAACTAGACAGAATGATTCTCAGAAAATCTTTTGTGATGTGTGCGTTCAACTCACAGAGTTTAACTTTTCTTCTCATAGAGCAGTTAGGAAACACTCTGTTTGTAAAGTCTGCAAGTGGATATTCAGACCTCTTTGTGGCCTTCGTTGGAAACGGGATTTCTTCATATTATGCTAGACAGAATAATTCTCAGTAACTTCCTTGTGTTGTGTGTATTCAACTCACAGAGTTGAAGGATCCTTTACAGAGAGCAGGCTTGCAACACTCTTTTTGTCGAATTTGCAAGTGGAGATTTCAGCCGCTTTGAGGTCAATGGTAGAATAGGAAATATCTTCTTATAGAAACTAGACAGAATGATTCTCAGAAAGTCCTTTGTGATGTGTGTGTTCAACTCACAGAGTTTAACCTTTCTATTCATAGAGTAGTTAGGAAACACTCTGTTTGTAAAGTCTGCAAGTGGATATTTTGACCTCTTTGAGGCCTTCTTTGGAAACGGGTTTTTTTCATATAAGGCTAGACAGAAGAATTCCCAGTAACTTCCTTGTGTTTTGTGTGTTCAACTCACAGAGTTGAACTTTCATTTACACAGAGCAGATTTGAAACACTCTTTTTGTGGAATTTGCAAGTGGAGATTTCAAGCGCTTTGAGGCCAAAGGCAGAAAAGGAAATATCTTCGTATAAAAACTAGACAGAATCATTCTCAGAAACTGCTCTGCGATGTGTGCGTTCAACTCTCAGAGTTTAACTTTTCTTTTCATTCAGAAGTTTGGAAACACTCTGTTTGTAAAGTCTGCACGTGGATAACTTGACCACTTAGAGGTCTTCGTTGGAAACGGGTTTTTTTCATGTAAGGCTAGACAGAAGAATTCTCAGAATCTTCCTTGTGTTGTGTGTATTCAACTCACAGAGTTGAACGATGGTTTACACAGAGCAGATTTGAAACACTCTTTTGGTGGAATTTGCATGTGGAGATTTCAGCCGCCTTGAGGTCAATGGTAGAAAAGGAAATATCTTCGTATAAAAACTAGACAGAATGATTCTCAGAAACTTCTTTGTGATGTGTGCGTTCAACTCACAGAGTTTAACCTTTCTTTTCATAGAACAGTTAGGAAACACTCTGTTTGTAAACTCTGCAAGTGGATATTCAGACCTCTTTGAGGCCTTCGTTGGAAACGGGATTTCTTCATACTATGCTATATAGAAGAATTCTCAGTAACTTCCTTGTGTTGTGTGTATTCAACTCACAGAGTTGAACGATCCTTTACACAGAGCAGACCTGAAACACTCTTTTTGTGGAATTTGCAAGTGGAGATTTCAGCCGCTTTGAGGTCAATGGTAGAATAGGAAATATCTTCCTATAGAAACTAGACAGAATGATTCTCAGAAACTCCTTTGTGATGTGTGCGTTCAACTCACAGAGTTTAACCTTTCTTTTCATAGAGCAGTTAGGAAACACTCTGTTTGTAAAGTCTGCAAGTGGATATTCAGACATCTTTGAGGCCTTCGTTGGAAACGGGATTTCTTCATGTTCTGCTAGACAGAAGAATTCTCAGAAACTTTCCTTGTGTTGTGTGTTTTCAACTCACAGAGTTGAACGATGCTTTACACAGAGTAGACTTGAAACACTCTTTTTGTGTAATTTGCAAGTGGAGATTTCAGCCGCTTTGAAGTCAATGGTAGAAAAGGAAATATCTTCGTATAAAAACTAGACAGAATCATTCTCAGAAACTGCTGCGTGATGTGTGCGTTCAACTCTCAGAGTTTAACTTTTCTTTTCATTCAGCGGTTTGGAAACACTCTGTTTGTAAAGTCTGCACGTGGAAATTTTGACCACTTAGAGGCCTTCGTTGGAAACGGGTTTTTTTCATGTAAGGCTAGACAGAAGAATTCCCAGTAACTTCCTTGTGTTGTGTGCATTCAACTCACAGAGTTGAACGTTCCCTTAGACAGAGAAGATTTGAAACACTCTATTTGTGCAATTTCCAAGTGTAGATTTCAAGCGCTTTAAGGTCAACGGCAGAAAAGGAAATATCTTCGTTTCAAAACTAGACAGAATCATTCCCACAAACTGCGTTGTGATGTGTTAGTTCAACTCACAGAGTTTAACCTTTCTTTTCATAGAGCAGTTAGGAAACAGTCTGTTTGTCAATTCTGTAAGTGGATATTCTGACATCTTGTGGCCTTCGTTGGAAACGGGATTTCTTCATATTCTGCTAGACAGAAGAATTCTCAGAAACTTCCTTGTGTTCTGTGTATTCAACTCACAGAGTTGAACGATCCTTTACACAGAGCAGACTTGAAACACTCTTTTTGTGGAATTTGCAAGTGGAGATTTCAGTCGCTTTGAGGTCCATGGTAGAAAAGGAAATATCTTCGTATAAAAACTAGACAGAATGATTCTCAGAAACTGCTTTGTGATGTGTGCGTTCAACTCACAGAGTTTAACCTTTCTTTTCATAGAGCAGTTAGGAAACACTCTGTTTGTAAAGTCTGCAAGTGGATATTCAGACATCTTTGAGGCTTTCGTTGGAAACGGGATTTCTTCATATTCTGCTAGACAGAAGAATTCCCAGTAACTTCCTTGTGTTGTGTGTGTTCAACTCACAGAGTTGAACTTTCATTAACACAGAGCAGATTTGAAACACTCTTTTTGTGGAATTTGCAAGTGGAGATTTCAAGCGCTTTGAGGCCAAAGGCAGAAAAGGAAATGTCTTCGTTTCAAAACTAGACAGAATCATTCTCAGAAACTGCTCTGCGATGTGTGAGTTCAACTCTCAGAGTTTAACTTTTCTTTTCATTCAGCAGTTTGGAAACACTCTGTTTGTAAAGTCTCCACGTGGATATTTTGACCATTTAGAGGCTTTCGTTGGAAACGGGTTTTTTTCTTGTAAGGCTAGACAGAAGAATTCCCAGGAACTTCCTTGTGTTGTGTACATTCAACTCACAGAGTTGAACGTTCCCTTAGACAGAGCAGATTTGAAACACTCTTTTTGTGCAATTGGCAAGTGGTGATTTCAGCCGCTTTGAGGTCAATGGTAGAAAAGGAAATATCTTCGTATAAAAACTAGACAGAATTATTCTCATAAACTCCTTTGTGATGTGTGCGTTCAACTCACAGAGTTTAACCTTTCTTTTCATAGAGCAGTTAGGAAACACTCTGTTTGTAAAGTCTGCAAGTGGATATTCAGACCTCTTTGAGGCCTTCGTTGGAAACGGGATTTCTTCATATTCTGCTAGACAGAAGAATTCTCAGAATCTTCCTTGTGTTGTGTGTATTCAACTCACACAGTTGAACGATTGTTTATACAGAGCAGATTTGAAACACTCTTTTTGTGGAATTTGCAAGTGGAGATTTCAGCCGCTTTGAGGTCAATGGTAGAAAAGGAAATATCTTCGTATAAAAACTAGACAGAATGATTCTCAGAAACTTCTTTGTGATGTGTGCGTTCAACTCACAGAGTTTAACCTTTCTTTTCATAGAGCAGTTAGGAAACACTCTGTTTGTAAACTCTGCAAGTGGATATTCAGACCTCTTTGAGGCCTTCGTTGGAAACGGGATTTCTTCAAACTATGCTAGACAGAAGAATTCTCAGAATCTTCCTTGTGTTGTGTGTTTTCAACTCACAGAGTTGAACGATCCTTTACACAGAGCAGACTTGAAACACTCCTTTTGTGGAATTTGCAAGTGGAGATTTCAGCCGCTTTGAGGTCAATGGTAGAATAGGAAATATCTTCGTATAGAAAGTAGACAGAATCATTCTCAGAAACTGCTCTGCGATGTGTGCGTTCAACTCTCAGAGTTTAACTTTTCTTTTCATTCAGCAGTTTGGAAACACTCTGTTTGTAAAGTCTGCACGTGGATATTTTGACCACTTAGAGGCCTTCGTTGGAAACGGGTTTTTTTCCTGTAAGGCTGGACAGAAGAATTCCCAGTAACTTCCTTGTGTTGTGTACATTCAACTCACAGAGTTGAACGTTCCCTTAGACAGAGCAGATTTGAAACACTCTTTTTGTGCAATTGGCAAGTGGAGATTTCAAGCGCTTTAAGGTCAATGGCAGAAAAGGAAATATCTTCGTTTCAAAACTAGACAGAATCATTCCCACAAACTGCGTTGTGATGTGTTCGTTCAACTCACAGAGTTTAACCTTTCTTTTCATAGAGCAGTTAGGAAACACTCTGTTGGTAAATTCTGTAAGTGGATATTCTGACATCTTGTGGCCTCCGTTGGAAACGGGATTTCTTCATATTCTGCTAGACAGAAGAATTCTCAGAATCTTCCCTTGTGTTGTGTGTATTCAACTCACAGAGTTGAACGATCCTTTACACAGAGCAGACTTGAAACACTCTTTTTGTGGAATTTGCAAGTGGACATTTCAGCCGCTTTGAGGTCCATGGTAGAAAAGGAAATATCTTCGTACAAAAACTAGACAGAACGATTCTCAGAAACTCCTTTGTGATGTGTGCGTTGAACTCACAGAGTTTAACCTTTCTTTTCATAGAGCAGTTAGGAAACACTCTGTTTGTAAAGTCTGCAAGTGGATATTCAGACCTCTTTGAGGCCTTCGTTGGAAACGGGATTTCTTCATATTCTGCTAGACAGAAGAATTCTCAGTAACTTCCTTGTGTTGTGTGTATTCAACTGACAGAGTTGAACTTTCATTTAGAGAGAGCAGATTTGAAACACTGTTTTTGTGGAATTTGCAAATGGTGACTTCAAGCGCTTTGGGGCCAAACGCAGAAAAGGAAATATCTTCGTATAAAAACTAGACAGAATCATTCTCAGAAACTGCTCTGTGATGTGTGCGTTCAACTCTAAGAGTTTAACTTTTCTTTTCATTCAGCAGTTTGGAAACACTCTGTTTGTAAAGTCTGCACGTGGATATTTTGACCACTTAGAGGCCTTCTTTGGAAACGGGTTTTTTTTCATGTAAGGCTAGACAGAAGAATTCCCAGTAACTTCCTTGTGTTGTGTACATTCAACTCACAGAGTTGAACGTTCCCTTAGACAGAGCAGATTTGAAACACTCTTTTTGTGCAATTGGCAAATGGAGATTTCAAGCGCTTTAAGGTCAATGGCAGAAAAGGAAATATCTTCGTTTCAAAACTAGACAGAATCATTCCCACAAACTGCGTTGTGATGTGTTCGTTCAACTCACAGAGTTTAACCTTTCTGTTCATAGAGCAGTTAGGAAACACTCTGTTTGTAAAGTCTGTAAGTGGATATTCTGACATCTTGTAGCCTTCGTTGGAAACGGGATTTCTTCATATTCTGCTAGACAGAAGAATTCTCAGTAACTTCCTTGTGTTGTGTGCATTCAACTCACAGAGTTGAAAGATCCTTTACACAGAGCAGGTTAGAAACAATATTTTTGTGGATTTTGCAAGTGGAGATTTCAGCCACTTTGAGGTCAATGGTAGAAAAGGAAATATCTTCATAAAAAAACTACACAGAATGATTCTCAGAAACTCCTTTGTGATGTGTGTGTTCAACTCACAGAGTTTAACGTTTCTTTTCATAGAGCAGTTAGTAAACACTCTGTTTATAAATTCTGCAAGTGGATATTCAGACCTCTTTGAGGTCTTCGTTGGAAACGGGATTTCTTCATATTATGCTAGACAGAAGAATTCTCAGTAACTTCCTTGTGTTGTGTGTATTCAACTGACAGAGTTGAACTTTCATTTAGAGAGAGCAGATTTGAAACACTGTTTTTGTGCAATTTGCAAGTGGAGATTTCAAGCGCTTTGGGGCCAAAGGCAGAAAAGGAAATATCTTCGTATAAAAACTAGACAGAATCATTCTCAGAAACTGCTGCGTGATGTGTGCGTTCAACTCTCAGAGTTTAACTTTTCTTTTCATTCAGCGGTTTGGAAACACTCTGTTTATAAAGTCTGCACGTGGATATTTTGACCACTTAGAGGCCTTCCTTGGAAACGGGTTTTTTTCATGTAAGGCTAGACAGAAGAATTCCCAGTAACTTCCTTGTGTTGTGTGCATTCAACTCACAGAGTTGAACGTTCCCTTAGACAGAGCAGATTTGAAACACTCTATTTGTGCAATTTGCAAGTGTAGATTTCAAGCGCTTTAAGGTCAACGGCAGAAAAGGAAATATCTTCGTTTCAAAACTAGACAGAATGATTCTCAGAAACTCCTTTGTGATGTGTGCGTTCAACTCACAGAGTTTAACCTTTCTGTTCATAGAGCAGTTAGGAAACACTCTGTTTGTAAAGTCTGCAAGTGGATATTCAGACCTCCTTGAGGCCTTCGTTGGAAACGGGATTTCTTCATATTGTGCTAGACAGAAGAATTCTCAGAATCGTCCTTGTGTTGTGTGTATTCAACTCACAGAGTTGAACGATGGTTTACACAGAGCAGATTTGAAACACTCTTTTTGTGGAATTTGCAAGTGGAGATTTCAGCCGCTTTGAGGTCAATGGTAGAAAAGGAAATATCTTCGTATAAAAACTAGACAGAGTGATTCTCAGAAACTCCTTTGTGATGTCTGCGTTCAACTCACAGAGTTTAACCTTTCTTTTCATAGAGCAGTTAGGAAACACTCTGTTTGTAAAGTCTGCAAGTGGATATTCAGACCTCTTTGAGGCCTTCGTTGAAAACGGGATTTCTTCATATTCTGCTAGACAGAAGAATTCTCAGTAACTTCCTTGTGTTGTGTGTATTCAACTCACAGAGTTGAACGATCCTTTACACAGAGCAGACTTGAAACACTCTTTTTGTGGAATTTGCAAGTGGAGATTTCAAGCGCTTTGGGGCCAAAGGCAGAAAAGGACATATCTTCGTATAAAAACTAGACAGAATCATTCTCAGAAACTGCTGCGTGATGTGTGCGTTCAACTCTCAGAGTTTAACTTTTCTTTTCATTCAGCGGTTTGGAAACACTCTGTTTGTAAAGTCTGCACGTGGATATTTTGACCACTTAGAGGTCTTCGTTGGAAACGGGTTTTTTTCATGTAAGGCTAGACAGAAGAATTCTCAGTAACTTCCTTGTGTTGTGTGTATTCAACTCAGAGAGTTGAACGATCCTTTACACAGAGCAGACTTGAAACACTCTTTTTGTGGAATTTGCAAGTGGAGATTTCAGCCGCTTTGAGGTCAATGGTAGAATAGGAAATATTTTCCTATAGAAACTAGACAGAATGATTCTGAGAAACTCCTTTGTGATGTGTGCGTTCAACTCACAGAGTTTAACCTTTCTTTTCATAGAACAGTTAGGAAACACTCTGTTTGTAAAGTCTGCAAGTGGATATTCAGACCTCCTTGAGGCCTTCGTTGGAAACGGGATTTCTTCATATTATGCTAGACAGAAGAATTCTCAGTAACTTCCTTGTGTTGTGTGTATTCAACTCACAGAGTTGAACGATCCTTTACACAGAGTAGACTTGAAACACTCTTTTTGTGGAATTTGCAAGTGGAGATTTCAGCCGCTTTGAGGTCAATGGTAGAATAGGAAATATCTTCCTATAGAAAGTAGACAGAATGATTCTCAGAAACTCCTTTGTGATGTGTGCGTTCAACTCACAGAGTTTAACCTTTCTTTTCATAGAGCAGTTAGGAAACACTCTGTTTGTAAAGTCTGCAAGTGGATATTCAGACCTCCTTGAGGCCTTCGTTGGAAGCGGGATTTCTTCATGTTCTGCTAGACAGAAGAATTCTCAGTAACTTCCCTGTGTTGTGTGTATTCAACTGACAGAGTCGAACTTTCATTTAGAGAGAGCAGATTTGTAACACTGTTTTTGTGGAATTTGCAAGTGGAGATTTCAAGCGCTTTGGGGCCAAAGGCAGAAAAGGAAATATCTTCGTATAAAAACTAGACAGAATCATTCTCAGAAACTGCTCTGCGATGTGTGCGTTCAACTCTCAGAGTTTAACTTTTCTTTTCATTCAGCAGTTTGGAAACACTCTGTTTGTAAAGTCTGCACGTGGATATTTTGACCACTTAGAGGCCTTCGTTGGAAACGGGTTTTTTCCTGTAAGGCTAGACAGAAGAATTCACAGTAACTTCCTTGTGTTGTGTACATTCAACTCACAGAGTTGAACGTTCCCTTAGACAGAGCAGATTTGAAACACTCTTTTTGTGGAATTTGCAAGTGGAGATGTCAAGCGCTTTGAGGCCAAAGGCAGAAAAGGAAATATCTTCGTTTCAAAACTAGACAGAATGATTCTCAGAAACTCCTTTGTGATGTGTGCGTTCAACTCACAGAGTTTAACCTTTCTTTTCATAGAGCAGTTAGGAAACACTCTGTTTGTAATGTCTGCAAGTGGATATTCAGACATCCTTGAGGCTTTCGTTGGAAACGGGATTTCTTCATATTCTGCAAGAAAGAAGAATTCTCAGTAACTTCCTTGTGTTGTGTGTATTCAACTCACAGAGTTGAATGATCCTTTACACAGAACAGTCTTGAAACACTCTTTTTGTGGAATTTGCAAGTGGAGATTTCAGCCTCTTTGAGGTCTATGGTAGAATAGGAAATATCTTCCTATAGAAACTAGACAGAATGATTCTCAGAAACTCCTTTGTGATGTGTGCGTTCAACTCACAGAGTTTAACCTTTCTTTTCATAGAGCAGTTAGGAAACACTCTGTTTGTAATGTCTGCAAGTGGATATTCAGACCTCTTTGAGGCCTTCGTTGGAAACGGGTTTTTTTCATATAAGGCTAGACAGAAGAATTCCCAGTAACTTCCTTGTGTTGTGTGTGTTCAACTCACAGAGTTGAACTTTCATTTACACAGCGCAGATTTGAAACACTCTTTTTGTGGAATTTGCAAGTGGAGATTTCAAGCGCTTTGAGGCCAAAGGCAGAAAAGGAAATATCTTCGTTTCAAAACTAGACAGAATCATTCTCAGAAACTGCTCTGCGATGTGTGCATTCAACTCTCAGAGTTTAATTTTTCTTTTCATTCAGCAGTTTGGAAACACTCTCTTTGTAAAGTCTGCACGTGGATATTTTGACCACTTAGAGGCCTTCGTTGGAAACGGGTTTTATTCTTGTAAGGCTAGACAGAAGAATTCCCAGTAACTTCCTTGTGTTGTGTACATTCAACTCACAGAGTTGAACGTTCCCTTAGACAGAGCAGATTTGAAACACTCTTTTTGTGCAATTGGCAAGTGGAGATTTCAAGCGCTTTAAGGTCAATGGCAGAAAAGGAAATATCTTCGTTTCAAAACTAGACAGAATCATTCCCACAAACTGCGTTGTGATGTGTTCGTTCAACTCACAGAGTTTAACCTTCCTTTTCATAGAGCAGTTAGGAAACAGTCTGTTTGTAAATTCTGTAAGTGGATATTCTGACATCTTGTGGCCTTCGTTGGAAACGGGATTTCTTCATATTCTGCTAGACAGAAGAATTCTCAGTAACTGCCTTGTGTTGTGTGTATTCAAGTCACAGAGTTGAACGATCCTTTACACAGAGCAGACTTGAAACACTCTTTTTGTGGAATTTGCAAGTGGAGATTTCAGCCGCTTTGAGGTCAATGGTAGAATAGGAAATATCTTCCTATAGAAACTAGACAGAATGATTCTCAGAAACTCCTTTGTGATGTGTGCGTTCAACTCACACAGTTTAACCTTTCTTTTCATAGAGCAGTTGGGAAACACTCTGTTTGTAAAGTCTGCAAGTGGATATTCAGACCTCCTTGAGGCCTTCGTTGGAAACGGGATTTCTTCATATTATGCTAGGCAGAAGAATTCCCAGTAACTTCCTTGTGTTGTGTGTGTTCAACTCACAGAGTTGAACTTTTATTTACACAGAGCAGATTTGAAACTCTCTTTTTGTGGAATTTGCAATTGGAGATTTCAAGCGCTTTGAGGCCAAAGGCAGAAAAGGAAATATCTTCGTATAAAAACTAGACAGAATCACTCTCAGAAACTGCTCTGCGATGTGTGCGTTCAACTCTCAGAGTTTAACTTTTCTTTTCATTCAGCAGTTTGGAAACACTCTGTTTGTAAAGTCTGCACGTGGATATTTTGACCACTCAGAGGCCTTCGTTGGAAACGGTTTTTTTTCCTGTAAGGCTAGACAGAAGAATTCCCAGTAACTTCCTTGTGTTGTGTGCATTCAACTCACAGAGTTGAACGTTCCCTTAGACAGAGCAGATTTGAAACACTCTATTTGTGCAATTTGCAAATGTAGATTTCAAGCGCTTTAAGGTCAATGGCAGAAAAGGAAATATCTTCGTTTCAAAACTAGACAGAATCATTCCCACAAACTGCGTTGTCATGAGTTCGTTCAACTCACAGAGTTTAACCTTTCTTTTCATAGAGCAGTTAGGAAACAGTCTGTTTGTAAATTCTGTAAGTGGATATTCTGACATCTTGTGGCCTTCGTTGGAAACGGGATTTCTTCATATTCTGCTAGACAGAAGAATTCTCAGTAACTTCCTTGTGTTGTGTGTATTCAACTCACAGAGTTGAACGATCCTTTACACAGAGCAGACTTGAAACACTCTTTTTGTGGAATTTGCAAGTGGAGATTTCAGCCGCTTTGAGGTCAATGGTAGAAAAGGAAATATCTTCGTATGAAGACTAGACAGAATGATTCTCAGAAACTCCTTTGTGATGTGTGTGTTCAACTCACAGAGTTTAACCTTTCTTTTCATAGAGCAGTTAGTAAATACTCTGTTTATACAGTCTGCAAGTGGATATTCAGACCCCTTTGAGGCCTTCGTTGGAAACGGGATTTCTTCATATTATGCTAGACAGAAGAATTCCCAGTAACTTCCTTGTGTTGTGTGTGTTCAACTCACAGAGTTGAACTTTCATTTACACAGAGCAGATTTGAAACACTCTTTTTGTGGAATTTGCAAGTGGAGATTTCAAGCGCTGTGAGGCCAAAGGCAGAAAAGGAAATATCTTCGTATAAAAACTAGACAGAATCATTCTCAGAAACTGCTGCGTGATGTGTGCGTTCAACTCTCAGAGTTTAACTTTTCTTTTCATTCAGCGGTTTGGAAACACTCTGTTTGTAAAGTCTGCACGTGGATATTTTGACCACTTAGAGGCCTTCGTTGGAAACGGGTTTTTTTTCATGTAAGGCTACACAGAAGAATTCCCAGTAACTTCCTTGTGTTGTGTGCATTCAACTCACAGAGTTGAACGTTCCCTTAGACAGAGCAGATTTGAAACACTCTATTTGTGCAATTTGCAAGTGTAGATTTCAAGCGCTTTAAGGTCAATGGCAGAAAAGGAAATATCTTCGTTTCAAAACTAGACAGAATGATTCTCATAAACTCCTTTGTGATGTGTGCGTTCAACTCACCGAGTTTAACCTTTCTTTTCATAGAGCAGTTAGGAAACACTCTGTTTGTAAAGTCTGCAAGTGGATATTCAGACCTCCTTGGGGCCTTCGTTGGAAACGGGATTTCTTCATATTCTGCTAGACATAAGAATTCTCAGTAACTTCCTTGTGCTGTGTGTATTCAACTCACAGAGTTGAACGATCCTTTACACAGAGCATACTTGTAACACTCTTCTTGTGGAATTTGCAAGTGGAGATTTCAGCCGCTTTGAGGTCAATGGTAGAATAGGAAATATCTTCGTATAAAAACTAGACAGAATGATTCTCAGAAACTCCTTTGTGATGTGTGCGTTCAACTCACAGAGTTTAACCTTTCTTTTCATAGAGCAGTTAGGAAACACTCTGTTTGTAAAGTCTGCAAGTGGATATTCAGACCTCTTTGAGGCCTTCGTTGGAAACGGGTTTTTTACATATAAGGCTAAACAGAAGAATTCCCAGTAACTTCCTTGTGTTGTGTGTGTTCAACTCACAGAGTTGAACTTTCATTTACACAGAGCAGATTTGAAACACTCATTTTGTGGAATTTGCAAGTGGAGATTTCAAGCGCTTTGAGGCCAAAGGCAGAAAAGGAAATATCTTCGTTTCAAAACTAGACAGAATCATTCTCAGAAACTGCTCTGCGATGTGTGCGTTCAACTCTCAGAGTTTAACTTTTCTTTTCATTCAGCAGTTTGGAAACACTCTGTTTGTAAAGTCTGCACGTGGATAATTTGACCACTTAGAGGCCTTCGTTGGAAACGGGTTTTTTTCATGTAAGGCTAGACAGAAGAATTCCCAGTAACTTCCTTGTGTTGTGTGCATTCAACTCACAGAGTTGAACGTTCCTTTAGACAGAGCAGATTTGAAACACTCTATTTGTGCAATTTGCAAGTGTAGATTTCAAGCGCTTTAAGGTCAACGGCAGAAAAGGAAATATCTTCGTTTCAAAACTAGACAGAATCATTCCCACAAACTGCGTTGTGATGTGTTCGTTCAACTCACAGAGTTTAACCTTTCTTTTCATACAGCAGTTAGGAAACACTCTGTTTGTAAACTCTGCAAGTGGATATTCAGACCTCTTTGAGGCCTTCGATGGAAACGGGATTTCTCCATACTATGCTAGACAGAAGAATTCTCAGTAACTTCCTTGTGTTGTGTGTATTCAACTCACAGAGTTGAACGATCCTTTACACAGAGCAGACTTGAAACACTCTTTTTGTGGAATTTGCAAGAGGAGATTTCAGCCGCTTTGAGGTCAATAGTAGAAAAGGAAATATCTTCGTAGAAAAACTAGACAGAATGATTCTCAGAAACTCCTTTGTGATGTGTGCGTTCAACTCACAGAGTTTAACCTTTCTTTTCATAGAGCTGTTAGGAAACACTCTGTTTGTAAAGTCTGCAAGTGGATATTCAGAACTCTTTGAGGCCTTCGTTGGAAACGGGATTTCTTCTTATTCTGCTAGAGAGAAGAATTCCCAGTAACTTCCTTGTGTTGTGTGTGTTCAACTCACAGAGTTGAACTTTCATTTACACAGAGCAGATTTGAAACACTCTTTTTGTGGAATTTGCAAGTGGAGATTTCAAGCGCTTTGAGACCAAAGGCAGAAAAGGAAATATCTTCGTATAAAAACTAGACAGAATCATTCTAAGAAACTGCTCTGCGATGTGTGCGTTCAACTCTCAGAGTTTAACTTTTCTTTTCATTCAGCAGTTTGGAAACACTCTGTTTGTAAAGTCTGCACGTGGATAACTTGACCACTTAGAGGCCTTCGTTGGAAACGGGTTTTTTTCATGTAAGGCTAGACAGAAGAATTCCCAGTAACTTCCTTGTGTTGTGTGCATTCAACTCACAGAGTTGAACGTTCCCTTAGACAGAGCAGATTTGAAACACTCTATTTGTGCAATTTACAAGTGTAGTTTTCAAGCTCTTTAAGGTCAACGGCAGAAAAGGAAATATCTTCGTTTCAAAACTAGACAGAATCATTCCCACAAACTGCGTTGTGATGTGTTCGTTCAACTCAGAGAGTTTAACCTTTCTGTACATAGAGCAGTTAGGAAACACTCTGTTTGTAAAGTCTGTAAGTGGATATTCTGACATCTTGTGGCCTTCGTTGGAAACGGGATTTCTTCATATTCTGCTAGACAGAAGAATTCTCAGTAACTTCCTTGTGTTGTGTGTATTCAACTCACAGAGTCGAACGATCCTTTACACAGAGCGGACTTGAAACACTCGTTTTGTGGAATTTGCAAGTGGAGATTTCAGCCGATTTGAGGTCAATGGTAGAAAAGGAAATATCTTCGTATAAAAACTAGACAGAGTGATTCTCAGAAACTCCTTTGTGATGTCTGCGTTCAACTCACAGAGTTTAACCTTTCTTTTCATAGAGCAGTTAGGAAACACTCTGTTTGTAAAGTCTGCAAGTGGATATTCAGACCTCCTTGAGGCCTTCATTGGAAACGGGATTTCTTCATATTCTGCTATACAAAAGAATTCTCAGAAACTTCCTTGTGTTGTGTGTATTCAACTCACAGAGTTGAACGATCGTTTACACAGAGCAGACTTGAGACACTCTTTTTGTGGAATTTGTAAGTGGAGATTTCAGCCGCTTTGAGGTCAATGGTAGAAAAGGAAATATCTTCATATAAAAAGTAGACAGAATGATTCTCAGAATCTCCTTTGTGATGTGTGCGTTCAACTCACAGAGTTTAACCTTTCTTTTCATAGAGCAGTTAGGAAACACTCTGTTTGTAAAGTCTGCAAGTGGATATTCAGACCTCTTTGAGGCCTTCGTTCGAAACGGGTTTTCTTCATATTATGCTAGACAGAAGAATTCCCAGTAACTTCCTTGTGTTGTGTGCATTCAACTCACAGAGTTGAACGTTCCCTTAGACAGAGCAGATTTGAAACACTCTATTTGTGCAATTTGCAAGTGTAGATTTCAAGCGCTTTAAGGTCAACGGCAGAAAAGGAAATATCTTCGTTTCAAAACTAGACAGAATGATTCTCAGAAACTTCATTGTGACGTGTTCGTTCAACTCACAGAGTTTAACCTTTCTTTTCATAGAGCAGTTAGGAAACACTCTGTTTGTAAAGTCTGCAAGTGGATATTCAGACCTCTTTGAGGCCTTCGTTGGAAACGGGATTTCTTCATACTGTGCTAGACAGAAGAATTCTCAGTAACTTCCTTGTGTTGTGTGTATTCAACTCACAGAGTTGAACGATCCTTTACACAGAGCGGACATGAAACACACTTTTTGTGGAATTTGCAAGTGGAGATTTCAGCCGCGTTGAGGTCAATGGTAGAAAAGGAAATATCTTCGTATAAAAACTAGACAGAATGATTCTCAGAAACTCCTTTGTGATGTGTGTGTCCAACTCACAGAGTTTAACCTTTCTTTTCATAGAGCAGTTAGGAAACACTCTGTTTGTAAAGTCTGCAAGAGGATATTCAGACCTCTTTGAGGCCTTCGTTGGAAACGGGTTTTTTTCATATAAGGCTAGACAGAAGAATTCCCAGTAACTTCCTTGTGTTGTGTGTGTTCAACTCACAGAGTTGAACTTTCATTTACACAGAGCAGATTTGAAACCCTCTTTTTGTGGAATTTGCAAATGGAGATTTCTGCCGCGTTGAGGTCAATGGTAGAAAAGGAAATATCTTCGTTTCAAAACTAGACAGAATCATTCTCAGAAACTGCTCTGCGATGTGTGCGTTCAACTCTTAGAGTTTAACTTTTCTTTTCAGTCAGCAGTTTGGAAACACTCTGTTTGTAAAGTCTGCACGTGGATATTTTGACCACTTAGAGGCCTTCGTTGGAAACGGGTTTTTTTCCTGTAACGCTAGACAGAAGAATTCCCAGTAACTTCCTTGTGTTGTGTGCATTCAACTCACAGAGTTGAACGTTCCCTTAGACAGAGCAGATTTGAAACACTCTATTTGTGCAATTTGCAAGTGTAGATTTCAAGCGCTTTAAGGTCAATGGCAGAAAAGGAAATTTCTTCGTTTCAAAACTAGACAGAATGATTCTCAGAAACTCCTTTGTGATGAGTGTGTTCAACTCACAGAGTTTAACCTTTCTTTTCATAGAGCAGTTAGGAAACACTCTGTTTGTAAACTCTGCAAGTGGATATTCAGACCTCTTTGAGGCCTTCGTTGGAAACGGGATTTCTTCATACTGTGCTAGACAGAAGAATTCTCAGTAACTTCCTTGTGTTGTGTGTATTCAACTCACAGAGTTGAACGATCCTTTACACAGAGCGGACTTGAAACACTCTTTTTGTGGAATTTGCAAGTGGAGATTTCAGCCGCGTTGAGGTCAATGGTAGAAAAGGAAATATCTTCGTATAAAAACTAGACAGAATGATTCTCAGAAACTCCTTTGTGATGTGTGCCGTTCAACTCACAGAGTTTAACCTTTCTTTACATAGAGCAGTTAGGAAACACTCTGTTTGTAAAGTCTGCAAGTGGATATTCAGACCTCTTTGAGGCCTTCGTTGGAAACGGGTTTTTTTCATATAAGGCTAGACAGAAGAATTCTCAGTAACTTCCTTGTGTTGTGTGTATTCAACTGACAGAGTTGAACTTTGATTTAGAGAGAGCAGATTTGAAACACTGTTTTTGTGGAATTTGCAGGTGGAGATTTCAAGCGATTTGGGGCCAAATGCAGAAAAGGAAATATCTTCGTATAAAAACTAGACAGAATCATTCTCAGAAACTGCTGCTTGATGTGTGCGTTCAACTCACAGAGTTTAACTTTTCTTTTCATTCAGCGGTTTGGAAACACTCTGTTTGTAAAGTCTGCACGTGGATATTTTGACCACTTAGAGGCCTTCGTTGGAAACGGGATTTTTTCATGTAAGGCTAGACAGAAGAATTCCCAGTAACTTCCTTGTGTTGTGTGCATTCCACTCACAGAGTTGAACGTTCCCTTAGACAGAGCAGATTTGAAACACTCTATTTGTGCAATTTGCAAATGTAGATTTCAAGCGCTTTAAGGTCAATGGCAGGAAAGGAAATATCTTCGTTTCAAAACTAGACAGAATGATTCTCAGAAACTTCTTTGTGATGTGTGCGTTCAACTCACAGAGTTTAACCTTTCTTTTCATAGAGCAGTTAGGAAACAGTCTGTTTGTCAATTCTGTAAGTGGATATTCTGACATCTTGTGGCCTTCGTTGGAAACGGGATTTCTTCATACTATGCTAGACAGAAGAATTCTCAGTAACTTCCTTGTGTTGTGTGTATTCAACTCACAGAGTTGCACGATCCTTTACACAGAGCAGACTTGAAACACTCTTTTTGTGGAATTTGCAAGTGGAGATTTCAGCCGCTTTGAGGTCAATGGTAGAATAGGAAATATCTTCCTATAGAAACTAGACAGAATGATTCTCAGAAACTCCTTTGCGATGTGTGCGTTCAACTCACAGAGTTTAACCTTTCTTTTCATAGAGCAGTTAGGAAACACTCTGTTTGTAAAGTCTGCAAGGGGATATTCAGACCTCTTTGAAGCCTTCGTTGGAAACGGGATTTCTTCATGTTATGCTAGACAGAAGAATTCCCAGTAACTTCCTTGTGTTGTGTGTGTTCAACTCACAGAGTTGAACTTTCATTTACACAGAGCAGATTTGAAACACTCTTTTTGTGGAATTTGCAAATGGAGATTTCAAGCGCTTTGAGGCCAAAGGCAGAAAAGGAAATGTCTTCGTTTCAAAACTAGACAGAATCATTCTCAGAAACTGCTGCGTGATGTGCGCGTTCAACTCTCAGAATTTAACTTTTCTTTTCATTCAGCGGTTTGGAAACACTCTGTTTGTAAAGTCTGCACGTGGATATTTTGACCACTTAGAGGCCTTCGTTGGAAACGGGTTTTTTGCATGTAAGGCTAGACAGAAGAATTCTCAGTAACTTCCCTTGTGTTGTGTGCATTCAACTCACAGAGTTGAACGTTCCCTTAGACAGAGCAGATTTGAAACAGCCTATTTTTGCAATTTGCAAGTGTAGATTTCAAGCGCTTTAAGGTCAACGGCTGAAAAGGAAATATCTTCCTTTCAAAACTAGACAGAACGATTCTCAGAAACTCCTTTGTGATGTGTGCGTTCAACTCATAGAGTTTAACCTTTCTTTTCATAGAGCAGTTAGGAAACACTCTGTTTGTAAAGTCTGCAAGTGGATATTCAGACCTCTTTGAGGCCTTCGTTGGAAACGGGATTTCTTCATATTCTGCTAGACAGAAGAATTCTCAGTAACTTCCTTGTGTTGTGTGTATTCAACTCACAGAGTTGAACGATCCTTTACACAGAGCAGACTTGAAACACTCTTTTTGTGGAAATTGCAATTGGAGGTTTCAGCCGCTTTGAGGTCAATGGTAGAAAAGGAAATATCTTCGTATAAAAACTAGACAGAATGATTCTCAGAAACTCCTTTGTGATGTGTGCGTTCAACTCACAGAGTTTAACCTTTCTGTTCATAGAGCAGTTAGGAAACACTCTGTTTGTAAAGTCTGGAAGTGGATATTCAGACCTCCTTGAGGCCTTCGTTGGAAACGGTATTTCTTCATATTCTGCTAGACAGAAGAATTCTCAGTAACTTCCTTGTGTTGTGTGTATTCAACTGACAGAGTTGAACTTTCATTTAGACAGAGCAGATTTGAAACACTCTTTTTGTGGAATTTGCAAAGGTAGATTTCATGCGCTTTGAGGCCAAAGGCAGAAAAGGAAATATCTTCGTATAAAAACTAGACAGAATCATTCTCAGAAACTGCTCTGCGATGTGTGCGTTCAACTCTCAGAGTTTAACTTTTCTTTTCATTCAGCAGTTTGGAAACACTCTGTTTGTAAAGTCTGCAAGTGGATGTTTTGACCACTTAGAGGCCTTCGTTGGAAACGGGTTTTTTTCATGTAAGGCTAGACAGAAGAATTCCCAGTAACTTCCTTGTGTTGTGTGCATTCAACTCACAGATTTGAACGTTCCCTTAGACAGAGCAGATTTGAAACACTCTTTTTGTGCAATTGGCAAGTGGAGATTTCAAGCGCTTTAAGGTCAATGGAAGAAAAGGAAATATCTTCGTTTCAAAACTAGACAGAATCATTCCCACAAACTGCGTTGTGATGTGTTCGTTCAACTCACAGAGTTTAACCTTTCTTTTCATAGAGCAGTTAGGAAACAGTCTGTTTGTAAATTCTGTAAGTGGATATTCTGACATCTTGTGGCCTTCGTTGGAAACGGGATTTCTTCATATTCTGCTAGACAGAAGAATTCTCAGAAACTTCCTTGTGTTGTGTGTTTTCAACTCACAGAGTTGAACGATGCTTTACACAGAGTAGACTTGAAACACTCTTTTTGTGTAATTTGCAAGTGGAGATTTCAGCCGCTTTGAGGTCAATGGTAGAAAAGGAAATATCTTAATATAGAAACTAGATAGAATGATTCTCAGAAACTCCTTTGTGATGTGTGCGTTCAACTCACAGAGTTTGACCTTTCTTTTCATAGAGCAGTTAGGAAACACTCTGTTTGTAAAGTCTGCAACTGGATATTCAGACCTCTTTGAGGCCTTCGTTGGAAACGGGTTTTTTTCATATAAGGCTAGACAGAAGAATTCCCAGTAACTTCCTTGTGTTGTGTGTGTTCAACTCACAGAGTTGAACTTTCATGTACACAGAGCAGATTTGAAACACTCTTTTTGTGGAATTTGCAAGTGGAGATTTCAAGCGCTTTGAGGCCAAAGGCAGAAAAGGAAATAACTCCGTTTCAAAACTAGACAGAATCATTCTCAGAAACTGCTCTGCGATGTGTGCGTTCAACTCTTAGAGTTTAACTTTTCTTTTCATTCAGCAGTTTGGAAACACTCTGTTTGTAAAGTCTGCACGTGGATAATTTGACCACTTAGAGGCCTTCGTTGGAAACGGGTTTTTTTCATGTAAGGCTAGACAGAAGAATTCCCAGTAACTTCCTTGTGTTGTGTACATTCAACTCACAGAGTTGAACGTTCCCTTAGACAGAGCAGATTTGAAACACTCTTTTTGTGCAATTGGCAAATGGAGATTTCAAGCGCTTTAAGGTCAATGGCAGAAAAGGAAATATCTTCGTTTCAAAACCAGACAGAATGATTCTCAGAAACTCCTTAGTGATGTGTGTGTCCAACTCACAGGGTTTAAACTTTCTTTTCATAGAGCAGTTAGCAAACACTCTGTTTGTAAAGTCTGCAAGAGGATATTCAGACCTCTTTGAGGCCTTCGTTGGAAACGGGTTTTTTTCATATAAGGCTAGACAGAAGAATTCCCAGTAACTTCCTTGTGTTGTGTGTGTTCAACTCACAGAGTTGAACTTTCATTTACACAGAGCAGATTTGAAACACTCTTTTTGTGGAATTTGCAAATGGAGATTTCAGCCGCGTTGAGGTCAACGGTAGAAAAGGAAATATCTTCGTTTCAAAACTAGACAGAATCATTCTCAGAAACTGCTCTGCGATGTGTGCGTTCAACTCTCAGAGTTTAACTTTTCTTTTCATTCAGCAGTGTGGAAACACTGTGTTTGTAAAGTCTGCACGTGGATATTTTGACCACTTACAGGCCTTCGTTGGAAACGGGTTTTTTTCCTGTAAGGCTAGACAGAAGAATTCCCAGTAACTTCCTTGTGTTGTGTGCATTCAACTCACAGAGTTGAACGTTCCCTTAGTCAGAGCAGATTTGAAACACTCTATTTGTGCAATTTGCAAGTGTAGATTTCAAGCGCTTTAAGGTCAATGGCAGAAAAGGAAATATCTTCGTTTCAAAACTAGACAGAATGATTCTCAGAAACTCCTTTGTGATGTGTGCGTTCAACTCACAGAGTTTAACCTTTCTTTTCATAGAGCAGTTAGGAAACACTCTGGTTGTAAAGTCTGCAAGTGGATATTCAGACCTGCTTGAGGCCTTCGTTGGAAACGGGATTTCTTCATATTATGCTAGACAGAAGAATTCTCAGTAACTTCCTTGTGTTGTGTGTACTCAACTCACAGAGTTCAACGATCCTTTACACAGAGCAGACTTCAAACACTCTTTTTGTGGAATTTGCAAGTGGAGATTTCAGCCGCTTTGAGGTCAATGGTAGAATAGGAAATATCTTCCTATAGAAACTAGACAGAATGATTCTCAGAAACTCCTTTGTGACGTGTGTGCCCAACTCACAGAGTTTAACCTTTCTTTTCATAGAGCTGTTAGGAAACACTCTGTTTGTAAAGTCTGCAAGAGGATATTCAGACCTCTTTGAGGCCTTCGTTGGAAACGGGTTTTTTTCATATAAGGCTAGACAGAAGAATTCCCAGTAACTTCCTTGTGTTGTGTGTGTTCAACTCACAGAGTTGAACTTTCATTTAAACAGAGCAGATTTGAAACACTCTTTTTGTGGAATTTGCAAATGGAGATTTCAGCCGCGTTGAGGTCAATGGTAGAAAAGGAAATATCTTCGTTTCAAAACTAGACAGAATCATTCTCAGAAACTGCTCTGCGATGTGTGCGTTCAACTCTCAGAGTTTAACTTTTCTTTTCATTCAGCAGTGTGGAAACACTCTGTTTGTAAAGTCTGCACGTGGATATTTTGACCACTTAGAGGCCTTCGTTGGAAACGGGTTTTTTTCCTGTAAGGCTAGACAGAAGAATTCCCAGTAACTTCTTTGTGTTGTGTGCATTCAACTCACAGAGTTGAACGTTCCCTTAGAGAGAGCAGATTTGAAACACTCTATTTGTGCAATTTGCAAGTGTAGATTTCAAGCGCTTTAAGGTCAATGACAGAAAAGGAAATATCTTCGTTTCAAAACTAGACAGAATCATTCCCACAAACTGCGTTGTGATGTGTTCGTTCAACTCACAGAGTTTAACCTTTCTTTTCATAGAGCAGTTAGGAAACACTCTGTTGGTAAATTCTGTAAGTGGATATTCTGACATCTTGTGGCCTTCGTTGGAAACAGGATTTCTTCATATTCTGCTACACAGAAGAATTCTCAGTAACTTCCTTGTGTTGTGTGTATTCAACTCACAGAGTTGAACGATCCTTTACACAGAGCGGACTTGAAACACACTTTTTGTGGAATTTGCAAGTGGAGATTTCAGCCGCTTTGAGGTCCATGGTAGAAAAGGAAATATCTTCGTATAAAAACTAGACAGAGTGATTCTCAGAAACTCCTTTGTGATGTCTGCGTTCAACTCACAGAGTTTAACGTTTCTTTTCATAGAGCAGTTAGGAAACACTCTGTTTGTAAAGTCTGCAAGTGGATATTCAGACCTCCTTGAGGCCTTCGTTGGAAACGGGATTTCTTCATATTCTGCTATACAGAAGAATTCTCAGTAACTTCCTTGTGTTGTGTGTATTCAACTGACAGAGTTGAACTTTCATTTAGAGAGAGCAGATTTGAAACACTGTTTTGGTGGAATTTGCAAGTGGAGATTTCAAGCGATTTGGGGCCAAAGGCAGAAAAGGAAATATCTTCGTATAAAAACTAGACAGAAATCATTCTCAGAAACTGCTCTGCGATGTGTGCGTTCAACTCTCAGGAGTTTAACTTTTCTTTTCATTCAGCAGTTTGGAAACACTCTGTTTGTAAAGTCTGCACGTGGATATTTTGACCACTTAGAGGCCTTCGTTGGAAACGGGTTTTTTTCCTGTAAGGCTAGACAGAAGAATTCTCAGTAACTTTCCTTGTGTTGTGTGTATTCAACTGACAGAGTTGAACTTTCATTTAGAGAGAGCTGATTTGAAACACTGTTTTTGTGGAATTTGCAAGTGGAGATTTCAAGCGCTTTGGGGCCAAAGGCAGAAAAGGAAATATCTTCGTATAAAAACTAGACAGAATCATTCTCAGAAACTGCTCTGCGATGTGTGCGTTCAACTCTCAGTGTTTAACTTTTCTTTTCATTCAGCAGTTTGGAAACACTCTGTTTGTAAAGTCTGCACGTGGATAATTTGACCACTTAGAGGTCTTCGTTGGAAACGGGTTTTTTTCATGTAAGGCTAGACAGAAGAATTCTCAGAATCTTCCTTGTGTTGTGTGTATTCAACTCACAGAGTTGAACGATGGTGTACACAGAGCAGATTTGAAACACTCTTTTTGTGGAATTTGCAAGTGGAGATTTCAGCCGCTTTGAGGTAAATGGTAGAAAAAGAAATATCTTCGTATAAAAACTAGACAGAATGATTCTCAGAAACTTCTTTGTGATGTGTGCGTTCAACTCACAGAGTTTAACCTTTCTTTTCATAGAGCAGTTAGGAAACACTCTGTTTGTAAACTCTGCAAGTGGATATTCAGACCTCTTTGAGGCCTTCGTTGGAAACGGGTTTTTTTCATGTAAGGCTAGACAGAAGAATTCTCAGTAACTTCCTTGTGTTGTGTGTATTCAACTTACAGAGTTGAACTTTCATTTACACAGAGCAGATTTGAAACACTCTTTTTGTGGAATTTGCAAATGGAGATTTCAAGCGCTTTGAAGCCAAAGGCAGAAAAGGAAATATCTTCCTATAAAAACTAGACAGAATGATTCTCAGAAACTCCTTTGTGATGTGTGCGTTCAACTCACAGAGTTTAACCTTTCTTTTCATAGAGCAGTTAGGAAACACTCTGCTTGTAAAGTCTGCAAGTGGATATTCAGCCCTCTTTGAGGCCTTTGTTGGAAACGGGTTTTTTTCATATAAGGCTAGACAGAAGAATTCCCAGTAACTTCCTTGTGTTGTGTACATTCAACTCACAGAGTTGAACGTTCCCTTAGACAGAGCAGATTTGAAACACTCTTTTTGTGCAATTGGCAAGTGGAGATTTCAAGCGCTTTAAGGTCAATGGCAGAAAAGGAAATATCTTCGTTTCAAAACTAGACAGAATGATTCTCAGAAACTCCTTTGTGATGTGTGCGTTCAACTCACAGAGTTTAACCTTTCTTTTCATAGAGCAGTTAGGAAACACTCTGTTTGTACTGTCTGCAAGTGGATATTCAGACATCCTTGAGGCTTTCGTTGGAAACGGGATTTCTTCATATTCTGCTAGAAAGAAGAATTCTCAGTAACTTCCTTGTGTTGTGTGTATTCAACTCACAGAGTTGAACGATCCTTTACACAGAGCAGACTTGAAACACTCTTTTTGTGGAATTTGCAAGTGGAGATTTCAGCCGCTGTGAGGTCAATGGTAGAATAGGAAATATCTTCCTATAGAAACTAGACAGAATGATACTCAGAAACTCCTTTGTGATGTGTGTGTTCAACTCACAGAGTTTAACCTTTCTTTTCATAGAGCAGTTAGTAAACACTCTGTTTATAAAGTCTGCAAGTGGATATTCAGACCCCTTTGAGGCCTTCGTTGGAAACGGGATTTCTTCATATTATGCTAGAAAGAAGAATTCTCAGTAACTTCCTTGTGTTGTGTGTATTCAACTGACAGAGTTGAACTTTCATTTAGAGAGAGCAGATTTGAAACACTGTTTTTGTGGAATTTGCAAGTGGAGATTTCAAGAGCTTTGGGTCCAAAGGCAGAAAAGGAAATATCTTCGTACAAAAACTAGACAGAATCATTCTCAGAAACTGCTGCGTGATGTGTGGGTTCAACTCTCAGAGTTTAACTTTTCTTTTCATTCAGCGGTTTGGAAACACTCTGTTTGTAAAGTCTGCACGTGGATATTTTGACCACTTAGAGGCCTTCGTTGGAAAAGGGTTTTTTTCATGTAAGGCTAGACAGAAGAATTCCCAGTAACTTCCTTGTGTTGTGTGCATTCAACTCACAGAGTTGAACGTTCCCTTAGACAGAGCAGATTTGAAACACTCTATTTGTGCAATTTGCAAGTGTAGATTTCAAGCGCTTTAAGGTCAACGGCAGAGAAGGAAATATCTTCGTTTCAAAACTAGACAGAACGATTCTCAGAAACTCCTTTGTGATGTGTGCTTTCAACTCACAGAGTTTAACCTTTCTTTTCATAGAGCAGTTAGGAAACACTCTGTTTGTAAAGTCTGCAAGTGGATATTCAGACCTCCTTGAGGCCTTCGTTGGAAACGGGATTTCTTCATATTCTGCTAGACAGAAGAATTCTCAGTAACTTCCTTGTGTTGTGTGTATTCAACTCACAGAGTTGAATGATCCTTTACACAGAGCAGACTTGAAACACTCTTTTTGTGGAATTTGCAAGTGGAGATTTCAGCCGCTTTGAGGTCAATGGTAGAAAAGTAAATATCTTCGTATAAAGACTAGACAGAAATGATTCTCAGAAACTTCTTTGTGATGTGTGCGTTCAACTCACAGAAGTTTAACCTTTCTTTTCATAGAGCAGTTGGGAAACACTCTGTTTTTAAAGTCTGCAAGTGGATATTCAGACCTCTTTGAGGCCTTCGTTGGAAACGGGTTTTTTTCATGTAAGGCTAGACAGAAGAATTCTCAGTAACTTCCTTGTATTGTGTGTATTCAACTCACAGAGTTGAACGATCCTTTACACAGAACAGACTTGAAACACTCTTTTTGTGGAATTTGCAAGTGGAGATTTCAGCCGCTTTGAGGTCAATGGTAGAATAGGAAATATCTTCCTATAGAAACTAGACAGAATGATTCTCAGAAACTCCTTTGTGATGTGTGCATTCAACTCACAGAGTTTAACCTTTCTTTTCATTGAGCAGTTAGGAAACACTCTGTTTGTAAAGTCTGCAAGTTGATATTCAGACCTCTTTGAGGCCTTCGTTGGAAACGGGATTTCTTCATATTATGCTAGACAGAAGAATTCCCAGTAACTTCCTTGTGTTGTGCACATTCAACTCACAGAGTTGAACGTTCCCTTAGACAGAGCAGATTTGAAACACTCTTTTTGTGCAATTGGCAAGTGGTGATTTCAGCCTCTTTGAGGTCAATGGTAGAAAAGGAAATATCTTCGTATAAAAACTAGACAGAATGATTCTCAGAAACTTCTTTGTGATGTGTGCGTTCAACTCACAGAGTTTAACCTTTCTTTTCATAGAGCAGTTAGGAAACACTCTGTTTGTAAACTCTGCAAGTGGATATTCAGACCTGTTTGAGGCCTTCTTTGGAAACGGGATTTCTTCATACTATGCTAGACAGAAGAATTCTCAGTAACTTCCTTGTGTTGTGTGTATTCAACTCACAGAGTTGAACAATCCTTTACACAGAGCAGACTTGTAACACTCTTTTTGTGGAATTTGCAAGTGGAGATTTCAGCCGCTTTGAAGTCAAAGGTAGAAAAGGAAATATCTTCCTATAAAAACTAGACAGAATGATTCTCAGAAACTCCTTTGAGATGTGTGCGCTCAACTCACAGAGTTTAACCTTTCTTTTCATAGAGCAGTTAGGAAACACTCTGTTTGTAAAGTCTGAAGGTGGATATTCAGACCTCTTTGAGGCCTTCGTTGGAAATGGGTTTTTTCATATAAGGCTAGACAGAAGAATTCCCAGTAACTTCCTTGTGTTGTGTGTGTTCAACTCACAGAGTTGAACTTTCATGTACACAGAGCAGATTTGAAACACTCTTTTTGTGGAATTTGCAAATGGAGATTTCAAGCGCTTTGAGGCCAAAGGCAGAAAAAGAAATATCTTCGTATAAAAACTAGACAGAAATCATTCTCAGAAACTGCTCTGCGATGTGTGCGTTCAACTCTCAGGAGTTTAACTTTTCTTTTCATTCAGCAGTTTGGAAACACTCTGTTTGTAAAGTCTGCACGTGGATATTTTGACCACTTAGAGGCCTTCGTTGGAAACGGGTTTTTTTCCTGTAAGGCTAGACAGAAGAATTCCCAGTAACTTCCTTGTGTTGTGTGCATTCAACTCACAGAGTTGAACGTTCCCTTAGACAGAGCAGATTTGAAACACTCTATTTGTGCAATTTGCAAGTGTAGATTTCAAGCGCTTTAAGGTCAACGGCAGAAAAGGAAATATCTTCGTTTCAAAACTAGACAGAATGATTCTCAGAAACTCCTTTGTGATGTGTGCGTTCAACTCACAGAGTTCAACCTTTCTTTTCATAGAGCAGTTGGGAAACACTCTGTTTGTAAAGTCTGCAAGTGGATATTCAGTCTTCTTTGAGGCCTTCGTTGGAAGCGGGATTTCTTCATATTCTGCTAGACAGAAGAATTCTCAGTAACTGCCTTGTGTTGTGTGTATTCAACTCACAGAGTTGAACGATCCTTTACACAGAGCAGACTTGAAACACTCTTTTTGTGGAATTTGCAAGTGGAGATTTCAGCCGCTTTGAGGTCAATGGTAGAATAGGAAATATCTTCCTATAGAAACTAGACAGAATGATTCTTAGAAACTCCTTTGTGATGTGTGCGTTCAACTCACAGAGTTTAACCTTTCTGTTCATAGAGCTGTTAGGAAACACTCTGTTTGTAAAGTCTGCAAGTGGATATTCAGACCTCCTTTAGGCCTTCGTTGGAAACGGGATTTCTTCATATTCTGCTAGACAGAAGAATTCCCAGTAACTTCCTTGTGTTGTGTGTGTTCAACTCACAGAGTTGAACTTTGATTTACACAGAGCAGATTTGAAACACTCTTTTTGTGGAATTTGCAAGTGGAGATTTCAAGCGCTTTGAGGCCAAAGGCAGAAAAGGGAATATCTTCGTATAAAAACTAGACAGAACGATTCTCAGAAACTTCTTTGTGATGTGTGCGTTCAACTCACAGAGTTAAAACTTTCTTTTCATAGAGCAGTTAGGAAACACTCTGTTTGTAAAGACTGCACGTGGATATTCAGACCTCTTTGAGGCCTTCGTTGGAAACGGGTTTTTTTCCTGTAAGCCTAGACAGAAGAATTCCCAGTAACTTCCTTGTGTTGTGTACATTCAACTCACAGAGTTGAACGTTCCCTTAGACAGAGCAGATTTCAAACACTCTTTTTGTGCAATTGGCAAGTGGAGATTTCAAGCGCTTTAAGGTCAATGGCAGAAAAGGAAATATCTTCGTTTCAAAACTAGACAGAATTATTCCCACAAACTGCGTTGTGATGTGTTCGTTCAACTCACAGAGTTTAACCTTTCTTTTCATAGAGCAGTTAGGAAACACTCTGTTTGTAAATTCTGTAAGTGGATATTCTGACATCTTGTGGCCTTCGTTGGAAACGGGATTTCTTCATATTCTGCTAGACAGAAGAATTCTCAGAATCTTCCTTGTGTTGTGTGTATTCAACTCACAGAGTTGAACGATCCTTTAAACAGAGCGGACTTGAAACACTCTTTTTGTGGAATTTGCAAGTGGAGATTTCAGCCGCTTTGAGGTCAATGGCAGAAAAGGAAATATCTTCGAATAAAAACTAGACAGAATGATTCTCAGAAACTCCTTTGTGATGTGTGCGTTCAACTCACAGAGTTTAACTTTTCTTTTCATAGAGCAGTTAGGAAACACTCTGTTTGTAAAGTCTGCAAGTGGATATTCAGACCTCTTGAGGCCTTCGTTGGAAACGGGATTTCTTCATATTATGCTAGACAGAATAATTCTCAGTAACTTCCTTGTGTTCTCTGTATTCAACTCACAGAGTTGAACGATCCTTTACAGAGAGCAGACTTGAAACACTCTTTTTGTGGAATTTGCAAGTGGAGATTTCAGCCGCTTTGAGGTCAATGGTAGAAAAGGCAATATCTTCGTATAAAGACTAGACAGAATGATTCTCATAAACTCCTTTGTGATGTGTGCGTTCAACTCACAGAGTTTAACTTTTCTTTTCATAGAGCAGTTAGGAAACACTCTGTTTGTAAAGTCTGCAAGTGGATATTCAGACCTCTTTGAGGCCTTCGTTGGAAATGGGATTTCTTCATATTATGCTAGACAGAAGAATTCCCAGTAACTTCCTTGTGTTGTGTGCATTCAACTCACAGAGTTGAACGTTCCCTTAGACAGAGCAGATTTGAAACACTCTATTTGTGCAATTTGCAAGTGTAGATTTCAAGCGCTTTAAGGTCAATGGCAGAAAAGGAAATATCTTCGTTTCAAAACTAGACAGAATCATTCCCACAAACTGCGTTGTGATGTGTTTCTTCAACTCACAGAGTTTAACCTTTCTGTTCATAGAGCAGTTAGGAAACGCTCTGTTTGTAAAGTCTGTAAGTGGATATTCTGACATCTTGTGGCCTTCGTTGGAAACGGGATTTCTTCCTATTCTGCTAGACAGAAGAAATCTCAGTAACTTCCTTGTGTTGTGTGTATTCAACTCACAGAGTTGAACGATCCTTTACACAGAGCAGATTTGAAACAATGTTTTTGTGGAATTTGCAAGTGGAGATTTCAGCCGCTTTGAGGTCAATGGCAGAAAAGGAAATATCTTCTTATAGAAACTAGACAGAATGATTCTCAGAAACTCCTTTGTGATGTGTGTGTTCAACTCACAGAGTTTAACCTTTCTTTTCATAGAGCAGTTAGTAAACACTCTGTTTATAAAGTCTGCAAGTGGATATTCAGACCCCTTGAGGCCTTCGTTGGAAACGGGATTTCTTCATATTATGCTAGACAGAAGAATTCTCAGTAACTTCCTTGTGTTGTGTGTATTCAACTGACAGAGTTGAACTTTCATTTAGAGAGAGCAGATTTGAAACACTGTTTTTGTGGAATTTGCAAGTGGAGATTTCAAGCGCTTTGGGGCCAAAGGCAGAAAAGGAAATATCTTCGTTTAAAAACTAGACAGAATCATTCTCAGAAACTGCTGCGTGATGTGTGCGTTCAACTCTCAGAGTTTAACTTTTCTTTTCATTCAGCGGTTTGGAAACACTCTGTTTGTAAAGTCTGCACGTGGAAATTTTGACCACTTAGAGGCCTTCGTTGGAAACGGGTTTTTTTCATGTAAGGCAAGACAGAAGAATTCCCAGGAACTTCCTTGTGTTGTGTACATTCAACTCACAGAGTTGAACGTTCCCTTAGACAGAGCAGATTTGAAACACCCTTTTTGTGCAATTGGCAAGTGGTGATTTCAGCCGCTTTGAGGTCAATGGTAGAAAAGGAAATATCTTCGTATAAAAACTAGACAGAATCATTCCCACAAACTGCGTTGTGATGTGTTCGTTCAACTCACAGAGTTTAACCTTTCTGTTCACAGAGCAGTTAGGAAACACTCTGTTTGTAAAGTCTGTAAGTGGATATTCTGACATCTTGTGGCCTTCGTTGGAAACGGGATTTCTTCATATTCTGCTAGACAGAGAAGATTCTCAGAAACTTCCTTGTGTTGTGTGTTTTCAACTCACAGAGTTGAACGATGCTTTACACAGAGTAGACTTGAAACACTCTTTTTGTGTAATTTGCAAGTGGAGATTTCAGCCGCTTTGAAGTCAATGGTAGAAAAGGAAATATCTTCGTATAAAAACTAGACAGATGATTCTCAGAAACTCCTTTGTGATGTGTGCGTTCAACTCACAGAGTTTAACCTTTCTTTTCATAGAGCAGTTAGGAAACACTCTGTTTGTAAAGTCTGCAAGTGGATATTCAGACCTCCTTGAGGCCTTCGTTGGAAACGGGATTTCTTCATATTCTGCTAGACAGAAGAATTCTCAGTAACTTCCTTGTGTTGTGTGTGTTCAACTCACAGAGTTGAACTTTCATTTACACAGAGCAGATTTGAAACACTCTTTTTGTGGAATTTGCAAATGGAGATTTCAAGCGCTTTGAGGCCAAAGGCAGAAAAGGAAATCTCTTCGTATAAAAACTAGACAGAATCATTCTCAGAAACTGCTGCGTGATGTGTGCGTTCAACTCTCAGAGTTTAACTTTTGTTTTCATTCAGCGGTTTGGAAACACTCTGTTTGTAAAGTCTGCACGTGGATATTTTGACCACTTAGAGGCCTTCGTTGGAAACGGGTTTTTTTCATGTAAGGCTAGACAGAAGAATTCCCAGTAACTTCCTTGTGTTGTGTGCATTCAACTCACAGAGTTGAACGTTCCCTTAGACAGAGCAGATTTGAAACACTCTATTTGTGCAATTTGCAAGTGTAGATTTCAAGCGCTTTAAGGTCAATGGCAGAAAAGGAAATATCTTCGTTTCAAAACTAGACAGAATCATTCCCACAAACTGCGTTGTGATGTGTTCGTTCAACTCACAGAGTTTAACCTTTCTTTTCATAGACCAGTTAGGAAACAGTCTGTTTGTCAATTCTGTAAGTGGATATTCTGACATCTTGTGGCCTTCGTTGGAAACGGGATTTCTTCATATTCTGCTAGACAGAAGAATTCTCAGAATCTTCCTTGTGTTGTGTGTATTCAACTCACACAGTTGAACGATTGTTTACACAGAGCAGATTTGAAACACTCTTTTTGTGGAATTTGCAAGTGGAGATTTCAGCCGCATTGAGGTCAATGGTAGAAAAGGAAATATCTTCGTATAAAAACTAGACAGAATGATTCTCAGAAACTCCTTTGTGATGTGTGCGTTCAACTCATAGAGTTTAACCTTTCTTTTCATAGAGCAGTTAGGAAACACTCTGTTTGTAAAGTCTGCAAGTGGATATTCAGACCTCTTTGAGGCCTTCGTTGGAAACGGGATTTCTTCATATTCTGTTAGACAGAAGAATTCTCAGTAACTTCCTTGTGTTGTGTGTATTCAACTCACAGAGTTGAACGATCCTTTACACAGAGCAGACTTGAAACACTCTTTTTGTGGAATTTGCAAGTGGAGATTTCAGCCGCTTTGAGGTCAATAGTAGAAAAGGAAAACTATCTTCATATAAAGACTAGACAGAATCATTCTCAGAAACTGCTCTGTGATGTGTGCGTTCAGCTCTCAGAGTTTAACTTTTCTTTTCATTCAGCAGTTTGGAAACACTCTGTTTGTAAAGTCTGCACGTGGATATTTTGACCACTTAGAGGCCTTCGTTGGAAACGGGTTTTTTTCCTGTAAGGCTAGACAGAAGAATTCTCAGTAACTTCCTTGTGTTGTGTGTATTCAACTCACAGAGTTGAATGATCCTTTACACAGAGCAGACTTGAAACACTCTTTTTGTGGAATTTGCAAGTGGAGATTTCAGCCGCTTTAAGTTCAATGGTAGAATAGGAAATATCTTCCTATAGAAACTAGACAGAATGATTCTCAGAAACTCCTTTGTGATGTGTGCGTTCAACTCACAGAGTTCAACCTTTCTTTTCATAGAGCAGTTGGGAAACACTCTGTTTGTAAAGTCTGCAAGTGGATATTCAGACTTCTTTGAGACCTTCGTTGGAAGCGGGATTTTTACATATTCTGCTACACAGAAGAATTCTCAGTAACTTCCTTGTTTTGTGTGTATTCAACTCACAGAGTTGAACGATCCTTTACACAGAGCAGACTTGAAACACTCTTTTTGTGGAATTTGCAAGTGGAGATTTCAGCCGCTTTGAGGTCAATGGTAGAATAAGAAATATCTTCCTATAGAAACTAGACAGAGTGATTCTCAGAAACTCCTTTGTGATGTCTGCGTTTAACTCACAGAGTTTAACCTTTCTTTTCATAGAGCAGTTAGGAAACACTCTGTTTGTAAAGTGTGCAAGTGGATATTCAGACCTCCTTGAGGCCTTCGTTGGAAACGGGATTTCTTCATATTATGCTAGACAGAAGAATTCCCAGTAACTTCGTTGTGTTGTGTACATTCAACTCACAGAGTTGAACGTTCCCTTAGAGAGAGCAGATTTGAAATACTCTTTTTGTGCAATTGGCAAGTGGAGATTTCAAGCGCTTTAAGGTCAATGGCAGAAAAGGAAATATCTTCGTTTCAAAACTAGACAGAATCATTCTCAGAAACTGCTGCGTGATGTGTGCGTTCAACTCTCAGAGTTTAACTTTTCTTTTCATTCAGCGGTTTGGAAACACTCTGTTTGTAAAGTCTGCACGTGGATATTTTGACCACTTAGAGGCCTTCGTTGGAAACGGGTTTTTTTCATGTAAGGCTAGACAGAAGAATTCCCAGTAACTTCCTTGTGTTGTGTGCATTCAACTCACAGAGTTGAACGTTCCCTTAGACAGAGCAGATTTGAAACACTCCATTTGTGCAATTTGCAAGTGTAGATTTCAAGCGCTTTAAGGTCAATGGCAGAAAAGGAAATATCTTCGTTTCAATACTAGACAGAATGATTCTCAGAAACTCCTTTGTGATGTGTGCATTCAACTCACAGAGTTTAACCTTTCTTTTCACAGAGCAGTTAGGAAACACACTGTTTGTAAAGTCTGCAAGTGGATATTCAGACCTCCTTGAGGCCTTCGTTGGAAACGGGATTTCATCATATTATGCTAGACAGAAGAATTCTCAGTAACTTCCTTGTGTTGTGTGTATTCAACTCACAGAGTTGAACGATCCTTTACACAGAGCAGACTTGAAACACTCTTTTTGTGGAATTTGCAAGTGGAGATTTCAGCCGCTTTGAGGTCAATGGTAGAATAGGAAATATCTTTCTATAGAAACTAGACAGAATGATTCTCAGAAAATCCTTTGTGATGTGTGCGTTCAACTCACAGAGTTTAACCTTTCTTTTCATAGAGCAGTTAGGAAACACTCTGTTTGTAAAGTCTGCAAGTGGATATTCAGACCCCCTTGAGGCCTTCGTTGGAAACGGGATTTCTACATATTATGCTAGACAGAAGAATTCTCAGTAACTTCCTTGTGTTGTGTGTATTCAACTCACAGAGTTGAACGATCCTTTACACAGAGCAGACTTGAAACACTCTTTTTGTGGAATTTGCAAGTGGAGATTTCAGCCGCTTTGAGGTCAATGGTAGAATAGGAAATATCTTCCTATAGAATCTAGACACAACGATTCTCAGAAACTCCTTTGTGATGTGTGCGTTCAACTCACAGAGTTTAACCTTTCTTTTCATAGAGCAGTTAGGAAACACTCTGTTTGTAAAGTCTGCAAGTGGATATTCAGACCTCTTTGAGGCCTTCGTTGGAAACGGGTTTTTTTCATATAAGGCTAGACAGAAGAATTCCCAGTAACTTCCTTGTGTTGTGTGCATTCAACTCACAGAGTTGAACGTTCCCTTAGACAGAGCAGATTTGAAACACTCTATTTGTGCAATTTGCAAGTGTAGATTTCAAGCGCTTTAAGGTCAATGGCAGAAAAGGAAATATCTTCGTTTCAAAACTAGACAGAATCATTCCCACAAACTGCGTTGTGATGTGCTCGTTCAACTCACAGAGTTTAACATTTCTGTTCATAGAGCAGTTAGGAAACACTCTGTTTGTAAAGTCTGTAAGTGGATATTCAGACATCTTGTGGCCTTCGTTGGAAACGGGATTTCTTCCTATTCTGCTAGACAGAAGAATTCTCAGTAACTTCCTTGTGTTGTGTGTATTCAACTCACAGAGTTGAACGATCCTTTACAGAGAGCAGACTTGAAACACTCTTTTTGTGGAATTTGCAAGTGGAGATTTCAGCCGCTTTGAGGTCAATGGTAGAATAGGAAATATCTTCCTATAGAAACTAGACAGAATGATTCTCAGAAACTTCTTTGTGATGTGTGCGTTGAACTCACAGAGTTTAACCTTTCTTTTCATAGAGCAGTTAGGAAACACTCTGTTTGTAAACTCTGCAAGTGGATATTCAGACCTCTTTGAGGCCTTCGTTGGAAACGGGATTTCTTCATATTATGCCTGAGAGAAGAATTCCCAGTAACTTCCTTGTGTTGTGTGTGTTCAACTCACAGAGTTGAACTTTCATTTACACAGAGCAGATTTGAAACACTCTTTTTGTGGAATTTGCAAATGGAGGTTTCAAGCCCTTTGAGGCCAAAGGCAGAAAAGGAAATATCTTCGTATAAAAACTAGACAGAATCATTCTCAGAGACTGCTCTGTGATGTGTGCGTTCAACTCTCAGAGTTTAACTTTTCTTTTCATTCAGCAGTTTGGAAACACTCTGTTTGTAAAGTCTGCACGTGGATAATTTGACCACTTAGAGACCTTCGTTGGAAACGGGTTTTTTTCATGTAAGGCTAGACAGAAGAGTTCTCAGTAACTTCCTTGTGTTGTGTGTATTCAACTCACACAGTTGAACGATCCTTTACAGAGAGCAGACTTGTAACACTCTTTTTGTGGAATTTGCAAGTGGAGATTTCAGCCGCTTTGAAGTCAAAGTAGAAAAGGAAATATCTTCCTATAGAAACTAGACAGAATCATTCCCACAAACTGCGTTGTGATGTGTTCGTTCAACTCACAGAGTTTAACCTTTCTTTTCATAGAGCAGTTAGGAAACAGTCTGTTTGTAAATTCTGTAAGTGGATACTCTGACATCATGTGGCCTTCGTTGGAAACGGGATTTCTTCATATTCTGCTAGACAGAAGAATTCTCAGAATCTTCCTTGTGTTGTGTGTATTCAACTCACAGAGTTGAACGATGGTTTACACAGAGCAGATTTGAAACACTCTTTTTGTGGAATTTGCAAGTGGAGATTTCAGCCGCTTTGAGGTCAATGGTAGAAAAGGAAATATCTTCGGTATAAAAACTAGACAGAATGATTCTCAGAAACTCCTTTGTGATGTGTGCGTTCAACTCACAGAGATTAACTTTTCTTTTCATAGAGCAGTTAGGAAACACTCTGTTTGTAAAGTCTGCAAGTGGATATTCAGACCTCTTTGTGGCCTTCGTTGGAAACGGGATTTCTTCATATTATGCTACACAGAAGAATTCAAGTAACTTCCTTGTGTTGTGTGTGTTCAACTCACAGAGTTGAACTTTGATTTACACAGAGCAGATTTGAAACACTCTTTTTGTGGAATTTGCAAGTGGAGATTTCAAGCGCTTTGAGGCCAAAGGCAGAAAAGGAAATACCTTCGTATAAAAACTAGACAGAATCATTCTCAGAAACTGCTGCGTGATGTGTGCGTTCAACTCTCAGAGTTTAACTTTTCTTTTCATTCAGCGGTTTGGAAACACTCTGTTTGTAAAGTCTGCACGTGGATATTTTCACCACTTAGAGGCCTTCGTTGGAAACGGGTTTTTTCATGTAAGGCTAGACAGAAGAATTCCCAGTAACTTCCTTGTGTTGTGTGCATTCAACTCACAGAGTTGAACGTTCCCTTAGACAGAGCAGATTTGAAACACTCTATTTGTGCAATTTGCAAGTGTAGATTTCAAGCGCTTTAAGGTCAACGGCAGAAAAGGAAATATCTTCGTTTCAAAACTAGACAGAATCATTCCCACAAACTGCGTTGTGATGTGTTCGTTCATCTCACAGAGTTTAACCTTTCTTTTCGTAGAGCAGTTAGGAAACAGTCTGTTTGTAAATTCTGTAAGTGGATATTCTGACATCTTGTGGCCTTCGTTGGAAACGGGATTTCTTCATATTCTGCTAGACAGAAGAATTCTCAGTAACTTTCCTTGTGTTGTGTGTATTCAACTCACAGAGTTGAACGATCCTTTACACAGAGCAGACTTGAAACACTCTTTTTGTGGAATTTGCAAGTGGAGATTTCAGCCGCTTTGAGGTCAATGGTAGAAAAGGAAATATCTTCGTATAAAGACTAGACAGAATGATTCTCATAAACTCCTTTGTGATGTGTATGTTCAACTCACAGAGTTTAACTTTTCTATTCATAGAGTAGTTAGGAAACACTCTGTTTGTAAAGTCTGCAAGTGGATATTTTGACCTCTTTGAGGCCTTCGTTGGAAACGGGTTTTTTTCATGTAAGGCTAGACAGAAGAATTCCCAGTAACTTCCTTGTGTTGTGTGTGTTCAACTCACAGAGTTGAACTTTCATTTACACAGAGCAGATTTGAAACACTCTTTTTGTGGAATTTGCAAGTGGAGATTTCAAGCGCTTTGAGGCCAAAGGCAGAAAAGGAAATATCTTCGTATAAAAACTTGACAGAATCATTCTCAGAAACTGCTGCGTGATGTGTGCGTTCCACTCTCAGAGTTTAACTTTTCTTTTCATTCAGCGGTTTGGAAACACTCTGTTTGTAAAGTCTGCACGTGGATATTTTGACCACTTAGAGGCCTTCGTTGGAAACGGGTTTTTTTTCATGTAAGGCTAGACAGAAGAATTCCCAGTAACTTCCTTGTGTTGTGTGCATTCAACTCACAGAGTTGAACGTTCCCTTAGACAGAGCAGATTTGAAACACTCTATTTGTGCAATTTGCAAGTGTAGATTTCAAGCGCTTTAAGGTCAACGGCAGAAGAGGAAATATCTTCGTTTCAAAACTAGACAGAATCGTTCTCAGAAACTGCTCTGCGATGTGTGCGTTCAACTCTCAGAGTTTAACTTTTCTTTTCATTCAGCAGTTTGGAAACACTCTGTTTGTATAGTCTGCACGTGGATAATTTGACCACTTAGAGGCCTTCGTTGGAAACGGGTTTTTTTCATGTAAGGCTAGACAGAAGAATTCTCAGTAACTTCCTTGTGTTGTGTGTATTCAACTCACACAGTTGAACGATCCTTTACACATAGCAGACTTGTAACACTCTTTTTGTGGAATTTGCAAGTGGAGATTCCAGCCGCTTTGAAGTCAAATGTAGAAAAGGAAATATCTTCCTATAAAAACTAGACAGAATGATTCTCAGAAACTCCTTTGTGATGTGTGCGTTCAACTCACAGAGTTTAACCTTTCTTTTCATAGAGCAGTTAGGAAACACGCTGTTTGTAAAGTCTGCAAGTGGATATTCAGACCTGTTTGAGGCCTTCGTTGGAAACGGGTTTTTTTCATATAAGGCTAGACAGAAGAATTCTCAGTAACTTCCTTGTGTGGTGTGTATTCAACTGACAGAGTTGAACTTTCATTTAGAGAGAGCAGATTTGAAACACTGTTTTTGTGGAATTTGCAAGTGGAGATTTCAAGCGCTTTGGGGCCAAAGGCAGAAAAGGAAATATCTTCGTATAAAAACTAGACAGAAACATTCTCAGAAACTGATGCGTGATGTGTGCGTTCAACTCTCAGAGTTTAACTTTTCTTTTCATTCAGCGGTTTGGAAACACTCTGTTTGTAAAGTCTGCACGTGGAAATTTTGACCACTTAGAGGCCTTCGTTGGAAACGGGTTTTTTTCATGTAAGGCTAGACAGAAGAATTCCCAGTAACTTCCTTGTGTTGTGTACATTCAACTCACAGAGTTGAACGTTCCCTTAGACAGAGCAGATTTGAAACACTCTTTTTGTGCAATTGGCAAGTGGTGATTTCAGCCGCTTTGAGGTCAATGGTAGAAAAGGAAATATCTTCGTATAAAAACTAGACAGAACGATTCACAGAAACTCCTTTGTGATGTGTGCGTTCAACTCACAGAGTTTAACCTTTCTTTTCATAGAGCAGTTAGGAAACACTCTGTTTGTAAAGTCTGCAAGTGGATATTCAGACCTCTTTGAGGCCTTCGTTGGAAACGGGATTTCTTCATATTCTGCTAGACAGAAGAATTCTCAGTAACTTCCTTGTGTTGTGTGTATTCAACTCACAGAGTTGAACGATCCTTTACACAGAGCAGACTTGAAACACTCTTTTTGGGGAATTTGCAAGTGGAGATTTCAGCCGCTTTGAGGTCAATGGTAGAAAAGGAAACTATCTTCATATAAAGACTAGACAGAATGATTCTCAGAAACTCCTTTGTGATGTGTGCGTTCAACTCACAGAGTTTAACCTTTCTGTTCATAGAGCAGTTAGGAAACACTCTGTTTGTAAAGTCTGCAAGTGGATATTCAGACCTCCTTGAGGCCTTCGTTGGAAACGGGATTTCTTCATATTCTGCTAGACAGAAGAATTCCCAGTAACTTCCTTGTGTTGTGTGTGTTCAACTCACAGAGTTGAACTTTCATTTACACAGAGCAGATTTGAAACACTCTTTTTGTGGAATTTGCAAGTGGAGATTTCAAGCGCTTTGAGGCCAAAGGCAGAAAAGGAAATATCTTCGTTCCAAAACTAGACAGAATCATTCTCAGAAACTGCTCTGCGATGTGTGCCTTCAACTCTCAGAGTTTAACTTTTGTTTTCATTCAGCAGTTTGGAAACACTCTGTTTGTAAAGTCTGCACGTGGATATTTTGACCACTTAGAGGCCTTCGTTGGAAATGGGTTTTTTTCCTGTAAGGCTAGACAGAAGAATTCCCAGTAACTTCCTTGTGTTGTGTACATTCAACTCACAGAGTTGAACGTTCCCTTAGACAGAGCAGATTTGAAACACTCTTTTTGTGCAATTGGCAAATGGAGATTTCAAGCGCTTTAAGGTCAATGGCAGAAAAGGAAATATCTTCGTTTCAAAACTAGACAGAATCATTCCCACAGACTGCGTTGTGATGTGTTCGTTCAACTCACAGAGTTTAACCTTTCTTTTCATAGAGCAGTTAGGAAACAGTCTGTTTGTCAATTCTGTAAGTGGATATTCTGACATCTTGTGGCCTTCGTTGGAAACGGGATTTCTTCATATTCTGCTAGACAGAACAATTCTCAGTAACTTCCTTGTGTTGTGTGTATTCAACTCACAGAGTTGAACGATCCTTTACACAGAGCGGACTTGAAACACTCTTTTTGTGGAATTTGCAATTGGAGATTTCAGCCGCGTTGAGGTCAATGGTAGAAAAGGAAATATCTTCGTATAAAAACTAGACAGAATGATTCTCAGAAACTCCTTTGTGATGTGTGTGTTCAACTCACAGAGTTTAACCTTTCTTTTCATAGAGCAGTTAGGAAACACTCTGTTTGTAAAGTTTGCAAGTGGATATTCAGACCTCTTTGAGGCCTTCTTTGGAAACGGGTTTTTTTCATGTAAGGCTAGACAGAAGAATTCTCATTAACTTCCTTGTGTTGTGTTTATTCAACTCACAGAGTTGAATGATCCTTTACACAGAGCAGACTTGAAACACTCTTTTTGTGGAATTTGCAAGTGGAGATTTCAGCCGCTTTGAGGTCAATAGTAGAAAAGGAAATATCTTCGTAGAAAAACTAGACAGAATCATTCTCAGAAACCGCTCTGTGATGTGTGCGTTCAACTCTCAGAGTTTAACCTTTCTTTTCATAGAGCAGTTAGGAAACACTCTGTTTGTAAAGTCTGCACGTGGATATTTTGACCACTTAGAGGCCTTCGTTGGAAACGGGTTTTTTTCATGTAAGGCTAGACAGAAGAATTCCCAGTAACTTCCTTGTGTTGTGTACATTCAACTCACAGAGTTGAACGTTCCCTTAGACAGAGCAGACTTGTAACACTCTTTTTGTGGAATTTGCAAGTGGAGATTTCAGCCGCTTTGAAGTCAAAGGTAGAAAAGGAAATATCTTCATATAAAAACTAGACAGAATCATTCCCACAAACTGCGTTGTGATGTGTTCGTTCAACTCACAGAGTTTAACCTTTCTGTTCATAGAGCAGTTAGGAAACACTCTGTTTGTAAAGTCTGCAAGTGGATATTCAGACCTCCTAGAGGCCTTCGTTGGAAACGGGATTTCTCCATATTCTGCTAGACAGAAGAATTCTCAGTAACTTCCTTGTGTTGTGTGTATTCAACTCACAGAGTTGAACGATCCTTTACACAGAGCGGACTTGAAACACTCTTTTTGTGTAATTTGCAAGTGGAGATTTCAGCCGCGTTGAGGTCAATGGTAGAAAAGAAAATATCTTCGTATAAAAACTAGACAGAATGATTCTCAGAAACTCCTTTGTGATGTGTGCGTTCAACTCACAGAGTTTAACCTTTCTTTTCATAGAGCAGTTAGGAAACACCTCTGTTTGTAAAGTCTGCAAGTGGATATTCAGACCTCCTTGAGGCCTTCGTTGGAAACGGGATTTTTTCATATTATGCTAGACAGAAGAATTCCCTGTAACTTCCTTGTGTTGTGTGTGTTCGACTCACAGAGTTGAACTTTCATTTACACAGAGCAGATTTGAAACACTCTTTTTGTGGAATTTGCAAGTGGAGATTTCAAGCGCTTTGAGGCCAAAGGCAGAAAAGGAAATATCTTCGTTTCAAAACTAGACAGAATCATTCTCAGAAACTGCTCTGCGATGTGTGCGTTCAACTCTCAGAGTTTAACTTTTCTTTTCATTCAGCAGTTTGGAAACACTCTGTTTGTAAAGTCTGCACGTGGATATTTTCACCACTTAGAGGCCTTCGTTGGAAACGGGTTTTTTTCCTGTAAGGCTAGACAGAAGAATTCCCAGTAACTTCATTGTGTTGTGTACATTCAACTCACAGAGTTGAACGTTCCCTTAGACAGAGCAGATTTGAAACACTCTTTTTGTGCAATTGGCAAGTGGAGATTTCAAGCGCTTTAAGGTCAATGGCAGAAAAGGAAATATGCTTCGTTTCAAAACTAGACAGAATCATTCCCACAAACTGCGTTGTGATGTGTTCGTTCAACTCACAGAGTTTAACCTTTCTTTTCATAGAGCAGTTAGGAAACAGTCTGTTTGAAAATTCTGTAAGTGGATATTCTGACATCTTGTGGCCTTCGTTGGAAACGGGAATTCTTCATATTCTGCTAGACAGAAGAATTCTCAGTAACTTCCTTGTGTTGTGTGTATTCAACTCACGGAGTTGAACTATCCTTTACACAGAGCAGACTTGAAACACTCTTTTTGTGGAATTTGCAAGTGGAGATTTCAGCCGCTTTGTGGTCTATAGTAGAAAAGGAAATATCTTCGTAGAAAAACTAGACAGAATGATTCTCAGAAACTCCTTTGTGATGTGTGTGTTCAACTCACAGAGTTTAACCTTTCTTTTCATAGAGCAGTTAGTAAACACTCTGTTTATAAAGTCTGCAAGTGGATATTGAGACCCCTTTGAGGCCTTCGTTGGAAACGGGATTTCTTCATATTATGCTAGACAGAAGAATTCTCAGTAACTTCCCTTGTGTTGTGTGTATTCAACTGACAGAGTTGAACTTTCATTTAGAGAGAGCAGATTTGAAACACTGTTTTTGTGGAATTTGCAAGTGGAGATTTCAAGCGCTTTGGGGCCAAAGGCAGAAAAGGAAATATCTTCGTATAAAAACTAGGCAGAATCATTCTCAGAAACTGCTCTGCGATGTGTGCGTTCAACTCTCAGAGTTTAACTTTTCTTTTCATTCAGCAGTTTGGAAACACTCTGTTTGTAAAGTCTGCACGTGGATATTTTGGCCACTTAGAGGCCTTCGTTGGAAACGGGTTTTTTTCCTGTAAGGCTAGACAGAAGAATTCCCAGTAACTTCCTTCCGTTGTGTACATTCAACTCACAGAGTTGAACGTTCCCTTAGACAGAGCAGATTTGAAACACTCTTTTTGTGCAATTGGCAAGTGGAGATTTCAAGCGCTTTGAGGTCAATGGCAGAAAAGGAAATATCTTCGTTTCAAAACTAGACAGAATCATTCCCACAAACTGCGTTGTGATGTGTTCGTTCAACTCACAGACTTTAACCTTTCTTTTCATAGAGCAGTTAGGAAACAGTCTGTTTGTAAATAATGTAAGTGGATATTCTGACATCTTGTGGCCTTCGTTGGAAACGGGATTTCTTCATATTCTGCTAGACAGAAGAATTCTCAGTAACTTCCTTGTGTTGTGTGTATTCAACTCACAGAGTTGAACGATCCTTTACAGAGAGCAGACTTGAAACACTCTTTTTGTGGAATTTGCAAGTGGAGATTTCAGCCGCTTTGAGGTCAATGGTAGAAAAGGAAATATCTTCGTATAAAGACTAGACAGAATGATTCTCAGAAACTCCTTTGTGATGTGTGTGTTCAACTCACAGAGTTTAACGTTTCTTTTCATAGAGCAGTTAGTAAACACTCTGTTTATAAAGTCTGCAAGTGGATATTCAGACCTCTTTGAGGTCTTCGTTGGAAACGGGATTTCTTCATATTATGCTAGACAGAAGAATTCCCAGTAACTTCCTTGTGTTGTGTGTGTTCAACTCACAGAGTTGAACTTTCATTTACACATAGCAGATTTGAAACACTCTTTTTGTGGAATTTGCAAGTGGAGATATCAAACGCTTTGAGGCCAAAGGCAGAAAAGGAAATATCTTCGCATAAAAACTAGACAGAATCATTCTCAGAAACTGCTCTGCGATGTGTGCGTTCAACTCTCAGAGTTTAACTTTTCTTTTCATTCAGCAGTTTGGAAACACTCTGTTTGTAAAGTCTGCACGTGGATAATTTGACCACTTAGAGGCCTTCGTTGGAAACGGGTTTTTTTCATGTAAGGCTAGACAGAAGAATTCTCAGTAACTTCCTTGTGTTGTGTGTATTCAACTCACAGAGTTGAACGATCCTTTACACACAGCAGACTTGTAACACTCTTTTTGTGGAATTCGCAAGTGGAGATTTCAGCCGCTTTGAAGTCAAAGGTAGAAAAGGAAATATCTTCCTATAAAAACTAGACAGAATCATTCCCACAAACTGCCTTGTGATGTGTTCGTTCAACTCACAGAGTTTAACCTTTCTGTTCATAGAGCAGTTAGGAAACACTCTGTTTGTAAAGTCTGTAAGTGGATATTCTGACATCTTGTGGCCTTCGTTGGAAACGGGATTTCTTCATATTCTGCTAGACAGAAGAATTCTCAGTAACTTCTTTGTGTTGTGTGTATTCAACTCACAGAGTTGAGCGATCCTTTACACAGAGCAGACTTGAAACACTCGTTTTGTGGAATTTGCAAGTGGAGATTTCAGCCGCTTTAAGGTCAATGGTAGAAAAGGAAATATCTTCGTATAAAAACTAGACAGAATGATTCTCAGAAAATCATTTGTGATGTGTGCGTTCAACTCACAGAGTTTAACTTTTCTTCTCATAGAGCAGTTAGGAAACACTGTTTGTAAAGTCTGCAAGTGGATATTCAGACCTCTTTGAGGCCTTCGTTGGAAACGGGATTTCTTCATATTCTGCTAGACAGAAGAATTCTCAGTAACTTCCTTGTGTTGTGTGTATTCAACTCACAGAGTTGAACGATCCTTTACACAGAGCAGACTTGAAACACTCTTTTTGTGGAATTTGCAAGAGGAGATTTCAGCCGCTTTGAGGTCAATGGTAGAATAGGAAATATCTTCATATAGAAACTAGACAGAATCATTCTCAGAAACTGCTGTGTGATGTGTGCGTTCAACTCTCAGAGTTTAACTTTTCTTTTCATTCAGCGGTTTGGAAACACTCTGTTTGTAAAGTCTGCACGTGGATATTTTGACCACTTAGAGGCCTTCGTTGGAAACGGGATTTTTTCATGTAAGGCTAGACAGAAGATTTCCCAGTAACTTCCTTGTGTTGTGTACATTCAACTCACAGAGTTGAACGTTCCCTTAGACAGAGCAGATTTGAAACACTCTTTTTGTGCAATTGGCAAGTGGAGATTTCAAGCACTTTAAGGTCAATGGCAGAAAAGGAAATATCTTCGTTTCAAAACTAGACAGAATCATTCCCACAAACTGCGTTGTGATGTGTTCGTTCAACTCACAGAGTTTAACCTTTCTGTTCATAGAGCAGTTAGGAAACACTCTGTTTGTAAAGTCTGTAAGTGGATATTCTGACATCTTGTGGCCTTCGTTGGAAACGGGATTTCTTCATATTCTGCTAGACAGAAGAATTCTCAGTAACTTCCTTGTGTTGTGTGTATTCAACTCACAGAGTTGAACGATCCTTTACACAGAGCAGACTTGAAACACTCTTTTTGTGGAATTTGCAAGTGGAGATTTAAGCCGCTTTGAGGTCAATAGTAGAAAGGAAATATCTTCGTAGAAAAACTAGACAGAACGATTCTCAGAAACTCCTTTGTGATGTGTGCGTTCAACTCACAGAGTTTAACCTTTCTTTTCATAGAGCAGTTAGGAAACACTCTGTTTGTAAAGTCTGCAAGTGGATATTCAGACCTCTTTGAGGCCTTCGTTGGAAACGGGATTTCTTCATATTCTGCTAGACAGAAGAATTCTCAGTAACTTCCTTGTGTTGTGTGTATTCAACTCACAGAGTTGAACGATCCTTTACACAGAGCAGACTTGAAACACTCTTTTTGTGGAATTTGCAAGTGGAGATTTCAGCCGCTTTGAGGTCAATAGTAGAAAAGGAAATATCTTCGTAGAAAAAGTAGACAGAATCATTCTCAGAAAATCCTCTGTGATGTGTGCGTTCAACTCTCAGAGTTTAACTTTTCTTTTCATTCAGCAGTTTGGAAACACTCTGTTTGTAAAGTCTGCACGTGGATATTTTGACCACTTAGAGGCCTTCGTTGGAAACGGGTTTTTTTCATGTAAGGGTAGACAGAAGAATTCCCAGTAACTTCCTTGTGTTGTGTGCATTCAACTCACAGAGTTGAACTTTCCTTTAGACAGAGCAGATTTGAAACACTCTATTTGTGCAATTTGCAAGTGTAGATTTCAAGCGCTTTAAGGTCAATGGCAGAAAAGGAAATATCTTCGTTTCAAAACTAGACAGAATGATACTCAGAAACTCCTTTGTGATGTGGGCGTTCAACTCACAGAGTTTAACCTTTCTTTTCATAGGAGCAGTTAGGAAACACTCTGTTTGTAAAGTCTGCAAGTGGATATTCAGACCTCTTTGAGGCCTTCGTTGGAAACGGGATTTCTTCATATTATGCTAGACAGAAGATTTCTCAGTAACTTTCCTTGTGTTGTGTGTATTCAACTCACAGAGTTGAACGATCCTTTACACAGAGCAGACTTGAAACACTCTTTTTGTGGAATTTGCAAGTGGAGATTTCAGCCGCTTTGAGTTCAATGGTAGAATAGGAAATATCTTCCAATAGAAACTAGACAGAATGATTCTCAGAAACTCCTTTGTGATGTGTGCGTTCAACTCACAGAGTTTAACCTTTCTTTTCATAGAGCAGTTAGGAAACACTCTGTTTGTAAAGTCTGCAAGTGGATATACAGACCTCTTTGAGGCCTTCGTTGGAAACGGGATTTCTTCATATTCTGCTAGAGAGAAGAATTCCCAGTAACTTCCTTGTGTTGTGTGTGTTCAACTCACAGAGTTGAACTTTCATTTACACAGAGCAGATTTGAAACACTCTTTTTGTGGAATTTGCAAGTGGAGATTTCAAGCGCTTTGAGGCCAAAGGCAGAAAAGGAAATATCTTCGGTATAAAAACTAGACAGAATCATTCTCAGAAACTGCTGCGTGATGTGTGCGTTCAACTGTCAGAGTTTAACTTTTCTTTTCATTCAGCGGTTTGGAAACACTCTGTTTGTAAAGTCTGCACGTGGATATTTTGACCACTTAGAGGCCTTCGTTGGAAACGGGTTTTTTTCATGTAAGGCTAGACAGAAGAATTCTCAGTAGCTTCCTTGTGTTGTGTGCATTCAACTCACAGAGTTGAACGTTCCCTTAGACAGAGCAGATTTGAAACAGCCTATTTGTGCAATTTGCAAGTGTAGATTTCAAGCGCTTTAAGGTCAACGGCAGAAAAGGAAATATCTTCCTTTCAAAACTAGACAGAATCATTCCCACAAACTGGGTTGTGATGTGTTCGTTCAACTCACAGAGTTTAACCTTTCTGTTCATAGAGCAGTTAGGAAACACTCTGTTTGTAAAGTCTGTAAGTGGATATTCTGACATCTTGTGGCCTTCGTTGGAAACGGGATTTCTTCATATTCTGCTAGACAGAAGAATTCTCAGTAACTTCCTTGTGTTGTGTGTATTCAACTCACAGAGTTGAACGATCCTTTACACAGAGCAGTCTTGAAACACTCTTTTTGTGTAATTTGCAAGTGGAGATTTCAGCCGCTTTGAGGTCAATAGTAGAAAAGGAAATATCTTCGTAGAAAAACTAGACAGAATGATTCTCAGAAACTCCTTTGTGATGTGTGCGTTCAACTCAGAGTTTAACCTTTCTTTTCATAGAGCAGTTAGGAAACACTCTGTTTGTAAAGTCTGCAAGTGGATATTCAGACCTCTTTGAGGCCTTCGTTGGAAACGGGTTTTTTTCATATAAGGCTAGACAGAAGAATTCCCAGTAACTTCCTTGTGTTGTGTGTGTTCAACTCACAGAGTTGAACTTTCATTTACACAGAGCAGATTTGAAACACTCTTTTTGTGGAATTTGCAAGTGGAGATTTCAAGCGCTTTGAGGCCAAAGGCAGAAAAGGAAATATCTTCGTTTCAAAACTAGAGAGAATCATTCTCAGAAACTGCTCTGCGATGTGTGCGTTCAACTCTCAGAGTTTAACTTTGCTTTTCATTCAGCAGTTTGGAAACACTCTGTTAGTAAAGTCTGCACGTGGATAATTTGACCACTTAGAGGCCTTCGTTGGAAACGGGTTTTTTTCATGTAAGGCTAGACAGAAGAATTCCCAGTAACTTCCTTGTGTTGTGTACATTCAACTCACAGAGTTGAACGTTCCCTTAGACAGAGCAGATTTGAAACACTCTTTTTGTGCAATTGGCAAATGGAGATTTCAAGCGCTTTAAGGTCAATGGCAGAAAAGGAAATATCTTCGTTTCAAAACTAGACAGAATCATTCCCACAAACTGCGTTGTGATGTGTTCGTTCATCTCACAGAGTTTAACCTTTCTTTTCGTAGAGCAGTTAGGAAACAGTCTGTTTGTAAATTCTGTAAGTGGATATCCTGACATCTTGTGGCCTTCGTTGGAAACGGGATTTCTTCATATTCTGCTAGACAGAAGAATTCTCAGAATCTTCCTTGTGTTGTGTGTATTCAACTCACACAGTTGAACGATTGTTTACACAGAGCAGATTTGAAACACTCTTTTTGTGGAATTTGCAAGTGGAGATTTCAGCCGCTTTGAGGTCAATGGTAGAAAAGGAAATATCTTCGTATAAAAACTAGACAGAATGATTCTCAGAAACTCCTTTGTGATGTGTGTGTTCAACTCACAGATTTTAACCTTTCTTTTCCTAGAGCAGTTAGTAAACACTCTGTTTATAAAGTCTGCAAGTGGATATTCAGACCCCTTTGAGGCCTTCGTTGGAAACGGGATTTCTTCATATTATGCTAGACAGAGAATTCCCAGTAACTTCCTTGTGTTGTGTGTGTTCAACTCACAGAGTTGAACTTTCATTTACACAGAACAGATTTGAAACACTCTTTTTGTGGAATTTGCAAGTGGAGATTTCAAGCGCTTTGAGGCCAAAGGCAGAAAAGGAAATATCTTCGTTTCAAAACTAGACAGAATCATTCTCAGAAACTGCTCTGCGATGTGTGCGTTCAACTCTCAAAGTTTAACTTTTCTTTTCATTCAGCAGTTTGGAAACACTCTGTTTGTAAAGTCTGCACGTGGATAACTTGACCACTTAGAGGCCTTCGTTGGAAACGGGTTTTTTTCATTTAAGGCTAGACAGAAGAATTCCCAGTAACTTCCTTGTGTTGTGTACATTCAACTCACAGAGTTGAACGTTCCCTTAGACAGAGCAGATTTGAAACACTCTTTTTGTGCAATTGGCAAGTGGAGATTTCAAGCGCTTTAAGGTCAATGGCAGAAAAGGAAATATCTTCGTTTCAAAACTAGACGGAATCATTCCCACAAACTGCGTTGTGATGTGTTCGTTCATCTCACAGAGTTTAACCTTTCTTTTCATAGAGCAGTTAGGAAACACTCTGTTTGTAAATTCTGTAAGTGGATATTCTGACATCTTGTGGCCTTCGTTGGAAACGGGATTTCTTCATATTCTGCTAGACAGAGAAGATTCTCAGTAACTTCCTTGTGTTGTGTGTATTCAACTCACAGAGTTGAACGATCCTTTACACAGAGCAGACTTGAAACATTCTTTTTGTCGAATTTGCAAGTGGAGATTTCAGCCGCTTTGAGGTCAATGGTAGAATAGGAAATATCTTCCTATAGAAACTAGACAGACGATTCTCAGAAACTCCTTTGTGATGTGTGCGTTCAACTCACAGAGTTTAACCTTTCTTTTCATAGAGCAGTTAGGAAACACTCTGTTTGTAAAGTCTGCAAGTGGATATTCAGACCTCTTTGAGGCCTTCGTTGGAAACGGGATTTCTTCCTATTCTGCTAGACAGAAGAATTCTCAGTAACTTCCTTGTGTTGTGTGTATTCAACTCACAGAGTTGAAGGATCCTTTACACTGAGCAGACTTGAAACACTCTTTTTGTGGAATTTGCAAGTGGAGATTTCAGCCGCTTTGAGGTCAATGGTAGAAAAGGAAACTATCTTCATATAAAGACTAGACAGAATCATTCTCAGAAACTGCTCTGCGATGTGTGCGTTCAACTCTCAGAGTTTAACTTTTCTTTTCATTCAGCAGTTTGGAAACACTCTGTTTGTAAAGTCTGCACGTGGATATTTTGACCACTCAGAGGCCTTCGTTGGAAACGGGTTTTTTTCCTGTAAGGCTAGACAGAAGAATTCCCAGTAACTTCCTTGTGTTGTGTGCATTCAACTCACAGAGTTGAACGTTCCCTTAGACAGAGCAGATTTGAAACACTCTATTTGTGCAATTTGCAAGTGTAGTTTTCAAGCTCTTTAAGGTCAACGGCAGAAAAGGAAATATCTTCGTTTCAAAACTAGACAGAATCATTCCCACAAACTGCGTTGTGATGTGTTCGTTCAACTCACAGAGTTTAACCTTTCTGTTCATAGAGCAGTTAGGAAACACTCTGTTTGTAAAGTCTGTAAGTGGATATTCTGACATATTGTGGCCTTCGTTGGAAACGGGATTTCTTCATATTCTGGGCCTAGACAGAAGAATTGTCAGTAACTTCCTTGTGTTGTGTGTATTCAACTCACAGAGTTGAACGATCCTTTACACAGAGCAGACTTGAAACACTCTTTTTGTGGAATTTGCAAGTGTAGTTTTCAGCCGCTTTGAGGTCAATGGTAGAATAGGAAATATCTTCCTATAGAAACTAGACAGAATGATTCTCAGAAACTCCTTTGTGATGTGTGCGTTCAACTCACAGAGTTTAACCTTTCTTTTCATAGAGCAGTTAGGAAACACTCTGCTTGTAAAGTCTGCAAGTGGATATTCAGCCCTCTTTGAGGCCTTCGTTGGAAACGGGTTTTTTTCATATAAGGCTAGACAGAAGAATTCCCAGTAACTTCCCTTGTGTTGTGTGTATTCAACTCACAGAGTTGAACTTTCATTTACACAGAGCAGATTTGAAACACTCTTTTTGTGGAATTTGCAAGTGGAGATTTCAAGCGCTTTAAGGCCAAAGGCAGAAAAGGAAATATCTTCGTATAAAAACTAGACAGAATCATTCTCAGAAACTGCTCTGCGATGTGTGCGTTCAACTCTCAGAGTTTAACTTTTCTTTTCATTCAGAAGTTTGGAAACACTCTGTTTGTAAAGTCTGCACGTGGATAACTTGACCACTTAGAGGCCTTCGTTGGAAACGGGTTTTTTTCATGTAAGGCTAGACAGAAGAATTCCCAGTAACTTGCCTTGTGTTGTGTACATTCAACTCACAGAGTTGAACGTTCCCTTAGACAGAGCAGATTTGAAACACTCTTTTTGTGCAATTGGCAAATGGAGATTTCAAGCGCTTTAAGGTCAATGGCAGAAAAGGAAATTGTTCGTTTCAAAACTAGACAGAATGATTCTCAGAAACTTCTTTGTGATGTGTGCGTTCAACTCACAGAGTTTAACCTTTCTTTTCATAGAGCAGTTAGGAAACACTCTGTTTGTAAACTCTGCAAGTGGATATTAAGACCTCTTTGAGGTCTTCGTTGGAAACGGGATTTCTTCATACTGTGCTAGACAGAAGAATTCTCAGTAACTTCCTTGTGTTGTGTGTATTCAACTCACAGAGTTGAACGATCCTTTACACAGAGCGGACTTGAAACACTCTTTTTGTGGAATTTGCAAGTGGAGATTTCAGCCGCGTTGAGGTCAATGGTAGAAAAGGAAATCTCTTCGTATAAAAACTAGACAGAATGATTCTCAGAAACTCCTTTGTGATGTGTGCGTTCAACTCACAGAGTTTAACCTTTCTGTTCATAGAGCAGTTAGGAAACACTCTGTTTGTAAAGTCTGCAAGTGGATATTCAGACCTCCTTGAGGCCTTCGTTGGAAACGGGATTTCTTCATCTTCTGCTAGACAGAAGAATTCTCAGTAACTTCCCTTGTGTTGTGTGTATTCAACTGACAGAGTTGAACTTTCATTTAGAGAGAGCAGATTTCAAACACTGTTTTTGTGGAATTTGCAAGTGGAGATTTCAAGCGCTTTGGGGTCAAAGGCAGAAAAGGAAATATCTTCGTATAAAAACTAGACAGAATCATTCTCAGAAACTGCTCTGTGATATGTCCGTTCAACTCTCAGAGTTTAACTTTTCTTTTCATTCAGCAGTTTGGAAACACTCTGTTTGTAAAGTCTGCACGTGGATAATTTGACCACTTAGAGGCCTTCGTTGGAAATGGGTTTTTTTCATGTAAGGCTAGACAGAAGAATTCCCAGTAACTTCCTTGTGTTGTGTACATTCAACTCACAGAGTTGAACGTTCCCTTAGACAGAGCAGATTTGAAACACTCTTTTTGTGCAATTGGCAAGTGGAGATTTCAAGCGCTTTAAGGTCAATGGCAGAAAAGGAAATATCTTCGTTTCAAAACTAGACAGAATGATTCTCAGAAAGTCCTTTGTGATGTGTGCGTTCAACTCACAGAGTTTACCCTTTCTGTTCATAGAGCAGTTAGGAAACACTCTGTTTGTAAATTCTGCAAGTGGATATTCAGACCTACTTGAGGTCTTCGGTGGAAACGGGACTTCTTCATATTCTGTTAGACAGAAGAATTCTCAGTAACTTCCTTGTGTTGTGTGTATTCAACTCACAGAGTTGAACGATCCTTTACACAGAGCAGACTTGAAACACTCTTTTTGTGGAATTTGCAAGTGGAGATTTCATCCGCTTTGAGGTCAATGGTAGAAAAGGAGACTATCTTCATATAAAGACTAGACAGAATGATTCTCAGAAACTCCTTTGTGATGTGTGCGTTCAACTCACAGAGTTGAACCTTTCTTTTCATAGAGCAGTTGGGAAACACTCTGTTTGTAAAGTCTGCAAGTGGATATTCAGACTTCTTTGAGGCCTTCGTTGGAAGCGGGATTTCTTCATATTCTGCTAGACAGAAGAATTCTCAGAAACTTCCTTGTGTTGTGTGTATTCAACTGACAGAGTTGAACTTTCATTTAGAGAGAGCAGATTTGCAACACTGTTTTTGTGGAATTTGCAAGTGGAGATTTCAAGCGCTTTGGGGCCAAAGGCAGAAAAGGAAATATCTTCGGATAAAAACTAGACAGAGAATCATTCTCAGAAACTGCTCTGCGATGTGTGCGTTCAACTCTCAGAGTTTAACTTTTCTTTTCATTCAGCAGTTTGGAAACACTCTGTTTGTAAAGTCTGCACGTGGATATTTTGACCACTTAGAGGCCTTCGTTGGAAACGGGTTTTTTTCCTGTAAGGCTAGACAGTAGAATTCCCAGTAACTTCCTTGTGTTGTGTACATTCAACTCACAGAGTTGAACGTTCCCTTAGACAGAGCAGATTTGAAACACACTTTTTGTGCAATTGGCAAGTGGAGATTTCAAGCGCTTTAAGGTCAATGGCAGAAAAGGAAATATCTTCGTTTCAAAACTAGACAGAATCATTCCCACAAACTGCGTTGTGATGTGTTCGTTCATCTCACAGAGTTTAACCTTTCTTTTCATAGTGCAGTTAGGAAACACTCTGTTTGTAAATTCTGTAAGTGGATATTCTGACATCTTGTGGCCTTCGTTGGAAACGGGAATTCTTCATATTCTGCTAGACAGAATAATTCTCAGTAACTTCCTTGTGTTGTGTGTATTCAACTCAGAGAGTTGAACGATCCTTTACAGAGAGCTGACTTGAAACACTCTTTTTGTGGAATTTGCAAGTGGTGATCTCAGCCGCTTTGAGGTCAATGGTAGAATAGGAAATATCTTCCTATAGAAAGTAGACAGAATGATTCTCAGAAACTCCTTTGTGATGTGTGCGTTCAACTCACAGAGTTTAACCTTTCTTTTCATAGAGCAGTTAGGAAACACTCTGTTTGTAAAGTCTGCAAGTGGATATTCAGACCTCCTTGAGGCCTTCGTTGGAAACGGGTTTTTTTCATATAAGGCTAGACAGAAGAATTCCCAGTAACTTCCTTGTGTTGTGTGTGTTCAACTCACAGAGTTGAACTTTCATTTACACAGAGCAGATTTGAAACACTCTTTTTGTGGAATTTGCAAGTGGAGATTTCAAGCGCTTTGAGGCCAAAGGCAGAAAAGGAAATATCTTCGTTTCAAAGCTAGACAGAATCATTCTCAGAAACTGCTGCATGATGTGTGCGTTCAACTGTCAGAGTTTAACTTTTCTTTTCATTCAGCGGTTTGGAAACACTCTGTTTGTAAAGTCTGCACGTGGATATTTTGACCACTTAGAAGCCTTCGTTGGAAAAGGGTTTTTTTCATGTAAGGCTAGACAGAAGAATTCCCAGTAACTTCCTTGTGTTGTGTGCATTCAACTCACAGAGTTGAACGTTCCCTTAGACAGAGCAGATTTGAAACACTCTATTTGTGCAATTTGCAAGTGTAGATTTCAAGCGCTTTAAGGTCAATGGCAGAAAAGGAAATATCTTCGTTTCAAAACTAGACAGAATCATTCCCACAAACTGCGTTGTGATGTGTTCGTTCAACTCACAGAGTTTAACCTTTCTGTTCATAGAGCAGTTAGGAAACACTCTGTTTGTAAAGTCTGAAAGTGGATATTCTGACATCTTGTGGCCTTCGTTGGGAACGGGATTTCTTCATATTCTGCTAGACAGAAGAATTCTCAGAATCTTCCTTGTGTTGTGTGTATTCAACTCACAGAGTTGAACGATGGTTTACACAGAGCAGATTTGAAACACTCTTTTTGTGGAATTTGCAAGTGGAGATTTCAGCCGCTTTGAGGTCAATGGTAGAAAATGAAATATCTTCGTATAAAAACTAGACAGAATGATTCTGAGAAACTCCTTTGTGATGTGTGCGTTCAACTCACACAGTTTAACCTTTCTTTTCATAGAGCAGTTAGGAAACACTCTGTTTGTAAAGTCTGCAAGTGGATATTCAGACCTCCTTGAGGCCTTCGTTGGAAACGGGATTTCTTCATATTATGCTAGACAGAAGAATTCTCAGTAACTTCCTTGTGTTGTGTGTATTCAACTGACAGAGTTGAACTATCATTTAGAGAGAGCAGATTTGAAACACTGTTTTTGTGGAATTTGCAAGTGGAGATTTCAAGCGCTTTGGTGCCAAAGGCAGAAAAGGAAATATCTTCGTATAAAAACTAGACAGAATCATTCTCAGAAACTGCTCTCCGATGTGTGCGTTCAACTCTCAGAGTTTAACTTTTCTTTTCATTCAGCAGTTTGGAAACACTCTGTTTGTAAAGTCTGCACGTGGATAATTTGACCACTTAGAGGCCTTCGTTGGAAACGGGTTTTTTTTCATGTAAGGCTAGACAGAAGAATTCCCAGTAACTTCCTTGTGTTGTGTGCATTCAACTCACAGAGTTGAACGTTCCCTTAGACAGAGCAGATTTGAAACACTCTATTTGTGCAATTGGCAAGTGTAGATTTCAAGCGCTTTAAGGTCAATGGCAGAAAAGGAAATATCTTCGTTTCAAAACTAGACAGAATCATTCCCACAAACTGCGTTGTGATGTGTTCGTTCAACTCACAGAGTTTAACCTTTCTGTTCATAGAGCAGTTAGGAAACACTCTGTTTGTAAAGTCTGTAAGTGGATATTCTGACATCTTGTGGCCTTCGTTGGAAACGGGATTTCTTCATATTCTGCTAGACAGAAGAATTCTCAGAAACTTCCTTGTGTTGTGTGTATTGAACTCACAGAGTTGAACGATCGTTTACACAGAGCAGACTTGAGACACTCTGTTTGTGTAATTTGTAAGTGGAGATTTCAGCCGCTATGAGGTCAATGGTAGAAAAGGAAATATCTTCATATAAAAACTAGACAGAATGATTCTCAGAAACTCCTTTGTGATGTGTGCGTTCAACTCACAGAGTTTAACCTTTCTTTTCATAGAGCAGTTAGTAAACACTCTGTTTGTAAAGTCTGCAAGTGGATATTCAGACCCCTTTGAGGCCTTCTTTGGAAACGGGATTTCTTCATATTCTGCTAGACAGAAGAATTCTCAGTAACTTCCTTGTGTTGTGTGCATTCAACTGACAGAGTTGAACTTTCATTTAGAGAGAGCAGATTTGAAACACTGTTTTTGTGGAATTTGCAAGTGGAGATTTCAAGCGCTTTGGGGCCAAAGGCAGAAAAGGAAATATCTTCGTATAAAAACTAGACAGAATGATTCTCAGAAACTCCTTTGTGATGTGTGCGTTCAACTCACAGAGTTTAACCTTTCTTTTCATAGAGCAGTTAGGAAACACTCTCCTTGTAAAGTCTGCAAGTGGATATTTTGACCACTTAGAGGCCTTCGTTGGAAACGGGTTTTTTTCATATAAGGCTAGACAGAAGAATTCCCAGTAACTTCCTTGTGTTGTGTACATTCAACTCACAGAGTTGAACGTTCCCTTAGACAGAGCAGATTTGAAACACTATTTTTGTGCAATTGGCAAGTGGAGATTTCAAGCGCTTTGAGGTCAATGGCAGAAAAGGAAATATCTTCGTTTCAAAACTAGACAGAATCATTCCCACAAAACTGCGTTGTGATGTGTTCGTTCAACTCACAGAGTTTAACCTTTCTGTTCATAGAGCAGTTAGGAAACACTCTGTTTGTAAAGTCTGTAAGTGGATATTCTGACATCTTGTGGCCTTCGTTGGAAACGGGATTTCTTCATATTCTGCTAGACAGAAGAATTCTCAGTAACTTCCTTGTGTTGTGTGTATTCAACTCACAGAGTTGAATGATCCTTTACACAGAACAGTCTTGAAACACTCTTTTTGTGGAATTTGCAAGTGGAGATTTCATCCGCTTTGAGGTCAATGGTAGAATAGGGAATATCTTCCTATAGAAACTAGACAGAATGATTCTCAGAAACTCCTTTGTGATGTGTGCGTTCAACTCACAGAGTTTAACCTTTCTTTTCATAGAGCAGTTAGGAAACACTCTGTTTGTAAAGTCTGCAAGTGGATATTCAGACATCTTTGAGGCTTTCGTTGGAAACGGGATTTCTTCATATTCTGCTAGGCAGAAGAATTCTCAGAAACTTCGATGTGTTGTGTGTTTTCAACTCACAGAGTTCAACGATCATTTACACAGAGTAGACTTGAAACACTCTTTTTGTGGAATTGGCAGGGTGGAGATTTCAGCCGCTTTGAGGTCAAAGGTAGAAAAGGAAATATCTTCGTATAAAAACTAGACAGAATGATTCTAAGAAACTCCTTTGTGATGTGTGCGTTCAACTCACAGAGTTTAACCTTTCTTTTCATAGAGCAGTTGGGAAACACTCTGTTTGTAAAGTCTGCAAGTGGATATTCAGACATCCTTGAGGCTTTCGTTGGAAACGGGATTTCTTCATATTCTGCTAGAAAGAAGAATTCTCAGTAACTTCCTTGTGTTGTGTGTATGCAACTCACAGAGTTGAATGATCCTTTACACAGAGCAGACTTGAAACACTCTTTTTGTGGAATTTGCAAGTGGAGATTTCAGCCGCTTTGAGGTCAATGGTAGAAAAGTAAATATCTTCGTATAAAGACTAGACAGAATGATTCTCAGAAACTCCTTTGTGATGTGTGCGTTCAACTCACAGAGTTTAACCTTTCTGTTCATAGAGCAGTTAGGAAACACTCTGTTTGTATAGTCTGCAAGTGGATATTCAGACCTCCTTGAGGCCTTCGTTGGAAACGGGATTTCTTCAATATTCTGCTAGACAGAAGAATTCTCAGTAACTTCCTTGTGTTGTGTGTATTCAACTCACAGAGTTGAACGATCCTTTACACAGAGCAGACTTGAAACACTCTTTTTGTGGAATTTGCAAGTGGAGATTTCAGCCGCTTTCAGGTCAATAGTAGAAAAGGAAATATCTTCGTAGAAAAACTAGACAGAATGATTCTCAGAAACTCCTTTGTGATGTGTGCGTTCAACTCACAGAGTTTAACTTTTCTTTTCATAGAGCCGTTAGGAAACACTCTGTTTGTAAAGTCTGCAAGTGGATATTCAGACCTCTTTGAGGCCTTCGTTGGAAACGGGATTTCTTCATATTATGCTAGACAGAAGAATTCTCAGTAACTTCCTTGTGTTGTGTGTATTGAACTCACAGAGTTGAACGATCCTTTACACAGAGCAGACTTGAAACATTCTTTTTGTGGAATTTGCAAGTGGAGATTTCAGCCGCTTTGAGGTCAATGGTAGAATAGGAAATATCTTCCTATAGAAACTAGACAGAATCATTCTCAGAAACTGCTGCGTGATGTGTGCGTTCAACTCTCAGAGTTTAACTTTTCTTTTCATTCAGCGGTTTGGAAACACTCTCGTTTGTAAAGCCTGCACGTGGATATTTTGACCACTTAGAGGCCTTCGTTGGAAACGGGTTTTTTTCATGTAAGGCTAGACAGAAGAATTCTCAGTAACTTCCTTGTGTTGTGTGTATTCAACTCACAGAGTTGAACGATCCTTTACACAGAGCAGACTTGAAACACTCTTTTTGTGGAATTTGCAACTGTAGATTTCAAGCGCTTTAAGGTCAATGGCAGAAAAGGAAATATCTTCGTTTCAAAACTAGACAGAATGATTCTCAGAAACTCCTTTGTGATGTGTGCGTTCAACTCACAGAGTTTAACCTTTCTGTTCATACAGCAGTTAGGAAACACTCTGTTTGTAAAGTCTGCAAGTGGATATTCAGACCTCCTTGAGGCCTTCGTTGGAAACGGGATTTCTTCATATTCTGCTAGACAGAAGAATTCTCAGAAACTTCCTTGTGTTGTGTGTTTTCAACTCACAGAGTTGAACGATCCTTTACACAGAGCAGACTTGAAACACTCCTTTTGTGGAATTTGCAAGTGGAGATTTCAGCCGCTTTGAGTTCAATGGTAGAATAGGAAATATCTTCCTATAGAAACTAGACAGAATGATTCTCAGAAACTCCTTTGTGATGTGTGCGTTCAACTCACAGAGTTTAACCTTTCTTTTCATAGAGCAGTTAGGAAACACTCTGTTTGTAAAGTCTGCAAGTGGATATTCAGACATCCTTGAGGCTTTCGTTGGAAACGGGATTTCTTCATATTCTGCTAGAAAGAAGAATTCTCAGTAACTTCCTTGTGTTGTGTGTATTCAACTCACAGAGTTGAACGATCCTTTACACAGAGCAGACTTGAAACACTCTTTTTGTGGAATTTGCAAGTGGAGATTTCAGCCTCTTTGAGGTCAATGGTAGAATAGGAAATATCTTCCTATAGAAAGTAGACAGAATCATTCTCAGAAACTGCTGCGTGATGTGTGCGTTCAACTCTCAGAGTTTAACTTTTCTTTTCATTCAGCGGTTTGGAAACACTCTGTTTGTAAAGTCTGCACGTGGAAATTTTGACCACTTAGAGGCCTTCGTTGGAAACGGGTTTTTTTCATGTAAGGCTAGACAGAAGAATTCCCAGTAACTTCCTTGTGTTGTGTACATTCAACTCACAGAGTTGAACGTTCCCTTAGACAGAGCAGATTTGAAACACTCTTTTTGTGCAATTGGCAAGTGGAGATTTCAAGCACTTTAAGGTCAATGGCAGAAAAGGAAATATCTTCGTTTCAAAACTAGACAGAATCATTCCCACAAACTGCGTTGTGATGTGTTCGTTCAACTCACAGAGTTTAAACTTTCTTTTCATAGAGCAGTTAGGAAACAGTCTGTTTGTAAATTCTGTAAGTGGATATTCTGACATCTTGTGGCCTTCGTTGGAAACGGGATTTCTTCATATTTTGCTAGACAGAAGAATTCTCAGTAACTTCCTTGTGTTGTGTGTATTCAACTCACAGAGTTGAATGATCCTTTACACAGAGCAGACTTGAAACACTCTTTTTGTGGAATTTGCAAGTGGAGATTTCAGCCGCTTTGAGGTCAATGGTAGAAAAGGAAACTATCTTCATATAAAGACTAGACAGAATGATTCTCAGAAACTCCTTTGTGATGTGTGCGTTCAACTCACAGAGTTTAACCTTTCTTTTCATAGAGCAGTTAGGAAACACTCTCTAAAGTCTGCAAGTGGATATTCAGACCTCCTTGAGGTCTTCGTTGGAAACGGGATTTCTTCATATTCTGCCAGACAGAAGAATTCTCAGTAACTTCCTTGTGTTGTGTTTATTCAACTCACAGAGTTGAATGATCCTTTACAGAGAGCAGACTTGAAACACTCTTTTTGTGGAATTTGCAAGTGGAGATTTCAGCCGCTTTGAGGTCAATGGTAGAAAAGTAAATATCTTCCTATAAAGACTAGACAGAATGATTCTCAGAAACTCCTTTGTGATGTGGGCGTTCAACTCACAGTGTTTAACCTTTCTTTTCATAGAGCAGTTGGGAAACACTCTGTTTGTAAAGTCTGCATGTGGATATTTGGACTTCTTTGAGGCTTTCGTTGGAAACGGGTTTTTTTCATGTAAGGCTAGACAGAAGAATTCCCAGTAACTTTCCTTGTGTTGTGTACGTTCAACTCACAGAGTTGAACGTTCCCTTAGACAGAGCAGATTTGAAACACTCTTTTTGTGCAATTGGCAAGTGGAGATTTCAAGCGCTTTAAGTTCAATGGCAGAAAAGGAAATATCTTCGTTTCAAAACTAGACAGAATCATTCCCACAAACTGCGTTGTGATGTGTTCGTTCATCTCACAGAGTTTAACCTTTCTTTTCATAGAGCAGTTAGGAAACAGTCTGTTTGTCAATTCTGTAAGTGGATATTCTGACATCTTGTGGCCTTCGTTGGAAACGGGATTTCTTCATATTCTGCTAGACAGAAGAATTCTCAGTAACTTACCTTGTGTTGTGTGTATTGAACTCGCAGAGTTGAACGATCCTTTACACAGAGCAGACTTGAAACACTCTTTTTGTGGAATTTGCAAGTGGAGATTTCAGCCGCTTTGAGGTCAATAGTAGAAAAGGAAATATCTTCGTAGAAAAACTAGACAGAATGATTCTCAGAAACTCCTTTGTGATGTGTGTGTTCAACTCACGAAGTTTAACCTTTCTTTTCATAGAGCAGTTAGTAAATACTCTGTTTATAAAGTCTGCAAGTGGATATTCAGACCCCTTTGAGGCCTTCGTTGGAAACGGGATTTCTTCATATTATGCTAGACAGAAGAATTCCCAGTAACTTCCTTGTGTTGTGTGTGTTCAACTCACAGAGTTGAACTTTCATTTACACAGAGCAGATTTGAAACCCTCTTTTTGTGGAATTTGCAAGTGGAGATTTCAAGGGCTTTGAGGCCAAAGGCAGAAAAGGAAATGTCTTCGTTTCAAAACTAGACAGAATCATTCTCAGAAACTGCTGCGTGATGTGTGCGTTCAACTCTCAGAGTTTAACTTTTCTTTTCATTCAGCGGTTTGGAAACACTCTGTTTGTAAAGTCTGCACGTGGATATTTTGACCACTTAGAGGCCTTCGTTGGAAACGGAATTTTTTCATGTAAGGCTAGACAGAAGAATTCCCAGTAACTTCCTTGTGTTGTGTACATTCAACTCACAGAGTTGAACGTTCCTTTAGACAGAGCAGATTTGAAACACTCTTTTTGTGCAATTGGCAAGTGGAGATTTCAAGCGCTTTAAGGTCAATGGCAGAAAAGGAAATATCTTCGTTTCAAAACTAGACAGAATCATTCCCACAAACTGCGTTGTGATGTGTTCGTTCAACTCACAGAGTTTAACCTTTCTTTTCATAGAGCAGTTAGGAAACAGTCTGTTTGTAAATTCTGTAAGTGGATATTCTGACATCTTGTGGCATTCGTTGGAAACGGGATTTCTTCATATTCTGCTAGACAGAAGAATTCTCAGTAACTTCCTTGTGTTGTGTGTATTCAACTCACAGAGTTGCACGATCCTTTACACAGAGCAGACTTGAAACACTCTTTTTGTGGAATTTGCAAGTGGAGATTTCAGCCGCTTTGAGGTCAATAGTAGAAAAGGAAATATCTTCGTAGAAAAACTACACAGAATGATTCTCAGAAAATCTTTTGTGATGTGTGCGTTCAACTCACAGAGTTTAACTTTTCTTCTCATAGAGCAGTTAGGAAACACTCTGTTTGTAAAGTCTGCAAGTGGATATTAAGACCTCTTTGAGGCCTTCGTTGGAAACGGGATTTCTTCATATTATGCTAGACAGAAGAATTCTCAGTAACTTCCTTGTGTTGTGTGTATTCAACTGACAGAGTTGAACTTTCATTTAGAGAGAGCAGATTTGAAACACTGTTTTTGTGGAATTTGCAAGTGGAGATTTCAAGCGCTTTCGGGCCAAAGGCAGAAAACGAAATATCTTCGTATAAAAACTAGACAGAATCATTCTTAGAAACTGCTGCGTGATGTGTGCGTTCAACTCTCAGAGTTTAACTTTTCTTTTCATTCAGCGGTTTGGAAACACTCTGTTTGTAATGTCTGCACGTGGATATTTTGACCACTTAGAGGCCTTCGTTGGAAACGGGTTTTTTGCATGTAAGGCTAGACAGAAGAATTCTCAGTAACTTCCTTGTGTTGTGTGCATTCAACTCACAGAGTTGAACGTTCCCTTAGACAGAGCAGATTTGAAACAGCCTATTTTTGCAATTTGCAAGTGTAGATTTCAAGCGCTTTAAGGTCAACGGCTGAAAAGGAAATATCTTCCTTTCAAAACTAGACAGAATGATTCTCAGAAACTCCTTTGTGATGTGTGCGTTCAACTCACACAGTTTAACCTTTCTTTTCATAGAGCAGTTAGGAAACACTCTGTTTGTAAAGTCTGCAAGTGGATATTCAGACCTCCTTGAGGCCTTCATTGGAAACGGGATTTCTTCATATTATGCTAGACAGAAGAATTCTCAGTAACTTCCTTGTGTTGTGTGTATTCAACTCACAGAGTTGAACGATCCTTTACACAGAGCAGACTTGAAACACTCCTTTTGTGGAATTTGCAAGTGGAGATTTCAGCCGCTTTGAGGTCAATGGTAGAATAGGAAATATCTTCCTATAGAAAGTAGACAGAATGATTCTCAGAAACTCCTTTGTGATGTGTGCGTTCAACTCACAGAGTTTAACCTTTCTTTTCATAGAGCAGTTAGGAAACACTCTGTTTGTAAAGTCTGCAAGTGGATATTCAGACCTCTTTGAGGCCTTCGTTGGAAACTGGGTTTTTTTCATATAAGGCTAGACAGAAGAATTCCCAGTAACTTCCTTGTGTTGTGTGTGTTCAACTCACAGAGTTGAACTTTCATTTACACAGAGCAGATTTGAAACACTCTTTTTGTGGAATTTGCAAGTGGATATTTCAAGCGCTTTGAGGCCAAAGGCAGAAAAGGAAATATCTTCGTTTCAAAACTAGACAGAATCATTCTCAGAAACTGCTGCGTGATGTGTGCGTTCAACTCTCAGAGTTTAACTTTTCTTTTCATTCAGCGGTTTGGAAACACTCTGTTTGTAAAGTCTGCACGTGGAAATTTTGACCACTTAGAGGCCTTCGTTGGAAACGGGTTTTTTTCATGTAAGGATAGACAGAAGAATTCCCAGTAACTTCCTTGTGTTGTGTGCATTCAACTCACAGAGTTGAACGTTCCCTTAGACAGAGCAGATTTGAAACACTCTATTTGTGCAATTTGCAAGTGTAGATTTCAAGCGCTTTAAGGTCAACGGCAGAAAAGGAAATATCTTCGTTTCAAAACTAGACAGAATGATTCTCAGAAACTCCTTTGTGATGTGTGCGTTCAACTCACAGAGTTTAACTTTTCTTTTCATAGAGCAGTTAGGAAACACTCTGTTTGTAAAGTCTGCAAGTGGATATTCAGACCTCTTTGAACTCTTCGTTGGAAAAGGGATTTCTTCATATTATGCTAGACAGAATACTTCTCAGTAACTTCCTTGTGTTGTGTGTATTCAACTCACAGAGTTGAACGATCCTTTACAGAGAGCCGACTTGAAACACTCTTTTTGTGGAATTTGCAAGTGGAGATTTCAGCCGCTTTGAGGTCAATGGTAGAAAAGGAAATATTTTCGTATAAAGACTAGACAGAATGATTCTCAGAAAATCCTTTGTGATGTGTGCGTTCAACTCACAGAGCTTAACCTTTCTTTTCATAGAGCAGTTAGGAAACACTCTGTTTGTAAAGTCTGCAAGTGGATATTCAGACACCTTTGAGGCCTTCGTTGGAAACGGGATTTCTTCATGTTCTGCTAGACACAAGAATTCTCAGTAACTTCCTTGTGTTGTGTGTATTCAACTGACAGAGTTGAACGATCCTTTACACAGAGCAGACTTGAAACACTCTTTTTGTGGAATTTGCAAGTGGAGATTTCAAGCGCTTCGGGGCCAAAGGCAGAAAAGGAAATATCTTCGTATAAAAACTAGACAGAATCATTCTCAGAAACTGCTGCGTGATGTGTGCGTTCAACTCTCAGAGTTTAACTTTTCTTTTCATTCAGCGGTTTGGAAACACTCTGTTTGTAAAGTCTGCACGTGGAAATTTTGACCACTTAGAGGCCTTCGTTGGAAACGGGATTTTTTCATGTAAGGCTAGACAGAAGAATTCCCAGTAACTTCCTTGTGTTGTGTACATTCAACTCACAGAGTTGAACGTTCCCTTAGACAGAGCAGATTTGAAACACTCTTTTTGTGCAATTGGCAAATGGAGATTTCAAGCGCTTTAAGGTCAATGGCAGAAAAGGAAATATCTTCGTTTCAAAACTAGACAGAATCATTCCCACAAACTGCGTTGTGATGTGTTCGTTCAACTCACAGAGTTTAACCTTTCTGTTCATAGAGCAGTTAGGAAACACTCTGTTTGTAAAGTCTGAAAGTGGATATTCTGACATCTTGTGGCCTTCGTTGGAAACGGGATTTCTTCATATTCTGCTAGACAGAAGAATTCTCAGTAACTTCCTTGTGTTGTGTGTATTCAACTCACAGAGTTGAACGATCCTTTACACAGAGCAGACTTGAAACACTCTTTTTGTGGAATTTGCATGTGGAGATTTCAGCCGCTTTGAGTTCAATGGTAGAATAGAAAATATCTTCCTATAGAAACTAGACAGAATGATTCTCATAAACTCCTTTGTGATGTGTGCGTTCAACTCACAGAGTTTAACCTTTCTTTTCATAGAGCAGTTAGGAAACACTCTGTTTGAAAAGTCTGCAAGTGGATATTCAGACCTCCTTGAGGCCTTCGTTGGAAACGGGATTTCTTCATATTCTGCTAGACAGAAGAATTCTCAGTAACTTCCTTGTGTTGTGTTTATTCAACTCACAGAGTTGAATGATCCTTTACACAGAGCAGACTTGAAACACTCTTTTTGTGGAATTTGCAAGTGGCGATTTCAGCCGCTTTGAGGTCAATGATAGAAAAGTAAATATCTTCGTATAAAGACTAGACAGAATCATTCTCAGAAACTGCTCTGCGATGTGTGCGTTCAACTCTCAGAGTTTAACTTTTCTTTTCATTCAGCAGTTTGGAAACACTCTGTTTGTAAAGTCTGCACGTGGATATTTTGACCACTTAGAGGCCTTCGTTGGAAACGGGTTTTTTTCCTGTAAGGCTAAAAAGAAGAATTCACAGTAACTTCCTTGTGTTGTGTACATTCAACTCACAGAGTTGAACGTTCCCTTAGACAGAGCAGATTTGAAACACTCTTTTTGTGCAATTGGCAAGTGGAGATTTCAAGCGCTTTAAGGTCAATGGCAGAAAAGGAAATATCTTCCTTTCAAAACTAGACAGAATCATTCCCACAAACTGCGTTGTGATGTGTTCGTTCATCTCACAGAGTTTAACCTTTCTTTTCGTAGAGCAGTTAGGAAACAGTCTGTTTGTAAATTCTGTAAGTGGATATTCTGACATCTTGTGGCCTTCGTTGGAAACGGGATTTCTTCATATTCTGCTAGACAGAAGAATTCTCAGTAACTTCCTTGTGTTGTGTGTATTCAACTCACAGAGTTGAACGATCCTTTACAGAGAGCAGACTTTAAGCACTCTTTTTGTGGAATTTGCAAGTGGAGATTTCAGCCGCTTTGAGGTCAATGGTAGAAAAGGAAATATCTTCGTATAAAGACTAGACAGAATGATTCTCAGAAACTCCTTTGAGATGTGTGTGTTCAACTCACAGAGTTTAACCTTTCTTTTCATAGAGCAGTTAGGAATCACTCTGTTTGTAAAGTCTGCAAGAGGATATTCAGACCTCTTTGAGGCCTTTGTTGGAAACGGGTTTTTTTCATATAAGGCTAGACAGAAGAATTCTCAGAAACTTCCTTGTGTTGTGTGTATTCAACTCACAGAGTTGAACGATGCTTTACACAGAGTAGACTTGAAACACTCTTTTTCTGGAATTTGCAAGTGGAGATTTCAGGCGCTTTGAGGTCAATGGTAGAAAAGGAAATATCTTCGTATAAAAACTAGACAGAATCATTCTCAGAAACTGCTCTGCGATGTGTGCGTTCAACTCTCAGAGTTTAACATTTCTTTTCATTCAGCAGTTTGGAAACACTCTGTTTGTAAAGTCTGCACGTGGATAACTTGACCACTTAGAGGCCTTCGTTGGAAACGGGTTTTTTTCATGTAAGGCTAGACAGAAGAATTCCCAGTAACTTCCTTGTGTTGTGTGCATTCAACTCACAGAGTTGAACGTTCCCTTAGACAGAGCAGGATTTGAAACACTCTATTTGTGCAATTTGCAAGTGTAGATTTCAAGCGCTTTAAGGTCAATGGCAGAAAAGGAAATATCTTCGTTTCAAAACTAGACAGAATCATTCCCACAAACTGCGTTGTGATGTGTTCGTTCAACTCACAGACTTTAACCTTTCTGTTCATAGAGCAGTTAGGAAACACTCTGTTTGTAAAGTCTGCAAGTGGATATTCAGACCTCCTTGAGGCCTTCGTTGGAAACGGGATTTCTTCATATTCTGCTAGACAGAAGAATTCTCAGAAACTTCCTTGTGTTGTGTGTTTTCAACTCACAGAGTTGAACGATCCTTTACACAGAGCAGACTTGAAACACTCTTTTTGTGGAATTTGCAAGTGGAGATTTCAGCCGCTTTGAGGTCAATGGTAAAATAGGAAATATCTTCCTATAGAAACTAGACAGAATGATTCTCAGAAACTTCTTTGTGATGTGTGCGTTCAACTCACAGAGTTTAACCTTTCTGTTCATAGAGCAGTTAGGAAACACTCTGTTTGTAAACTCTGCAAGTGGATATTCAGACCTCTTTGAGGCCTTCGTTGGAAACGGGATTTCTCCATACTGTGCTAGACAGAAGAATTCCCAGTAACTTCCTTGTGTTGTGTGTGTTCGACTCACAGAGTTGAACTTTCATTTACACAGAGCAGATTTGAAACACTCTTTTTGTGGAATTTGCAAATGGAGATTTCAAGCGCTTTGAGTCCAAAGGCAGAAAAGGAAATATCTTCGTATAAAAACTAGACAGAATCATTCTCAGAAACTGCTCTGCGATGTGTGCGTTCAACTCTCAGAGTTTAACTTTTCTTTTCATTCAGCAGTTTGGAAACACTCTGTTTGTAAAGTCTGCACGTGGATATTTTGACCACTTAGAGGCCTTCGTTGGAAACGGGTTTTTTTCCTGTAAGGCTAGACAGAAGAATTCCCAGTAACTTCCTTGTGTTGTGTACATTCAACTCACAGAGTTGAACGTTCCCTTAGACAGAGCAGATTTGAAACACTCTTTTTGTGCAATTGGCAAGTGGAGATTTCAAGCGCTTTAAGGTCAATGGCAGAAAAGGAAATATCTTCGTTTCAAAACTAGACAGAATCATTCCCACAAACTGCGTTGTGATGTGTTCGTTCAACTCACAGAGTTTAACCTTTCTTTTCATAGAGCAGTTAGGAAACAGTCTGTTTGTCAATTCTGTAAGTGGATATTCTGACATCTTGTGGCCTTCGATGGAAACGGGTTTTCTTCATATTCTGCTAGACAGAAGAATTCTCAGAAACTTCCTTGTGTTGTGTGTATTCAACTCACAGAGTTGAACGATCGTTTACACAGAGCAGACTTGAGACACTCTTTTTGTGGAATTTGTAAGTGGAGATTTCAGCCGCTTTGAGGTCAATGGTAGAAAAGGAAATATCTTCATATAAAAACTAGACAGAATGATTCTCAGAAACTCCTTTGTGATGTGTGTGTTCAACTCACAGAGTTTAACCTTTCTTTCCGTAGAGCAGTTAGGAAACACTCTGTTTGTAAAGTCTGCAAGTGGATATTCAGACCTCCTTGAGGCCTTCGTTGGAAATGGGATTTCTTCATATTCTGCTAGACAGAAGAATTCCCAGTAACTTCCTTGTGTTGTGTGTGTTCAACTCACAGAGTTGAACTTTCATTTACACAGAGCAGATTTGAAACACTCTTTTTGTGGAATTTGCAAGTGGAGATTTCAAGCGCTTTGAGGCGAAAGGCAGAAAAGGAAATATCTTCGTATAAAAACTAGACAGAATCATTCTCAGAAACTGCTGCGTGACGTGTGCCTTCAACTCTCAGAGTTTAACTTTTCTTTTCATTCAGCGGTTTGGAAACACTCTGTTTGTAAAGTCTGCACGTGGATATTTTGACCACTTAGAGGCCTTCGTTGGAAACGGGATTTTTTCATGTAAGGCTAGACAGAAGAATTCCCAGTAACTTCCTTGTGTTGTGTGCATTCAACTCACAGAGTTGAACGTTCCCTTAGACAGAGCAGATTTGAAACACTCTATTTGTGCAATTTGCAAGTGTAGATTTCAAGCGCTTTAAGGTCAATGGCAGAAAAGGAAATATCTTCGTTTCAAAACTAGACAGAATCATTCCCAGAAACTGCGTTGTGATGTGTTCGTTCAACTCACAGAGTTTAACCTTTCTGTTCATAGAGCAGTTAGGAAACACTCTGTTTGTAAAGTCTGTAAGTGGATATTCTGACGTCTTGTGGCCTTCGTTGGAAACGGGATTTCTTCATATTCTGCTAGACAGAAGAATTCTCAGTAACTTCCTTGTGTTGTGTGTATTCAACTCACAGAGTTGAACGATCATTTACACAAAGCAGACTTGAAACACTCTTTATGTGGAATTTGCAAGTGGAGATTTCAGCCGCTTTGAGGTTAATGGTAGAAAATGAAATGTCTTCGTATAGAAACTAGACAGAATGATTCTCAGAAACTCCTTTGTGATGTGTGCGTTCAACTCACAGAGTTTAACCTTTCTTTTCATAGAGCAGTTAGGAAACACTCTGTTTGTAAAGTCTGCAAGTGGATATTCAGACCTCCTTGAGGCCTTCGTTGGAAACGGGATTTCTTCCTATTATGCTAGACAGAAGAATTCCCAGTAACTTCCTTGTGTTGTGTGTGTTCAACTCATAGAGTTGAACTTTCATTTACACAGAGCAGATTTGAAACACTCTTTTTGTGGAATTTGCAAGTGGAGATTTCAAGCGCTTTGAGGCCAAAGGCAGAAAAGGAAATATCTTCGTATAAAAACTAGACAGAATCATTCTCAGAAACTGCTGCGTGATGTGTGCGTTCAACTCTCGGAGTTTAACTTTTCTTTTCATTCAGCGGTTTGGAAACACTCTGTTTGTAAAGTCTGCACGTGGATATTTTGACCACTTAGAGGCCTTCGTTGGAAACGGGTTTTTTTCATGTAAGGCTAGACAGAAGAATTCCCAGTAACTTCCTTGTGTTGTGTGCATTCAACTCACAGAGTTGAACGTTCCCTTAGACAGAGCAGATTTGAAACACTCTATTTGTGCAATTTGCAAGTGTAGATTTCAAGCGCTTTAAGGTCAATGGCAGAAAAGGAAATATCTTCGTTTCAAAACTAGACAGAATGATTCTCAGAAACTCCTTTGTGATGTGTGCGTTCAACTCACAGAGTTTAACTTTTCTTTTCATAGAGCAGTTAGGAAACTCTCTGTAAAGTCTGCAAGTGCATATTCAGACCTCTTTGAGGCCTTCGTTGGAAACGGGATTTCTTCATATTATGCTAGACAGAATAATTCTCAGTAACTTCCTTATGTTGTGTGTATTCAACTCACAGAGTTGAACGATCCTTTACAGAGAGCAGACTTGAAACACTCTTTTTGTGGAATTCGCAAGTGGAGATTTCAGCCGCTTTGAGGTCAATGGTAGAAAAGGATATATCTTCGTATAAAGACTAGACAGAATGATTCTCAGAAACTCCTTTGTGATGTGTGCGTTCAACTCACAGAGTTTAACCTTTCTTTTCATAGAGCAGTTAGGAAACACTCTGTTTGTAAAGTCTGCAAGTTGATATTCAGACCTCTTTGAGGCCTTCGTTGGAAAGGGGATTTCTTCATATTCTGCTAGAGAGAAGAATTCTCAGTAACTTCCCTTGTGTTGTGTGTATTCAACTCACAGAGTTGAACGATCCTTTACACAGAGAAGACTTGAAACACTCTTTTTGTGGAATTTGCAAGTGGAGATTTCAGCCGCTTTCAGGTCAATAGTAGAAAAGGAAATATCTTCGTAGAAAAACTAGACAGAATCATTCTCAGAAACTGCTCTGCGATGTGTGCGTTCAACTCTCAGAGTTTAACTTTTCGTTTCATTCAGCAGTTTGGAAACACTCTGTTTGTAAAGTCTGCACGTGGATATTTTGACCACTTAGAGGCCTTCGTTGGAAACGGGTTTTTCTCCTGTAAGGCTAGACAGAAGAATTCCCAGTAACTTCCTTGTGTTGTGTACATTCAACTCACAGAGTTGAACGTTCCCTTAGACAGAGCAGATTTGAAACACTCTTTTTGTGCATTTGGCAAGTGGAGATTTCAAGCGCTTTGAGGTCAATGGCAGAAAAGGAAATATCTTCGTTTCAAAACTAGACAGAATCATTCCCACAAACTGCGTTGTGATGTGTTCGTTCATCTCACAGAGTTTAACCTTTCTTTTCATAGAGCAGTTAGGAAACACTCTGTTTGTAAATTCTGTAAGTGGATATTCTGACATCTTGTGGCCTTCGTTGGAAACGGGATTTCTTCATATTCTGCTAGACAGAAGAATTCTCAGTAACTTCCTTGTGTTGTGTGTATTCAACTCACAGAGTTGAACGATCCTTTACACAGAGCAGACTTGAAACACTCTTTTTCTGGAATTTGCAAGTGGAGATTTCAGCCGCTTTGAGGTCAATGGTAGAATAGGAAATATCTTCTTATAGAAACTAGACAGAATGATTCTCAGAAACTTCATTGTGATGTGTGCGTTCAACTCACAGAGTTTAACCTTTCTTTTCATAGAGCAGTTAGGAAACACTCTGTTTGTAAACTCTGCAAGTGGATATTCAGACCTCTTTGAGGCCTTCGTTGGAAAGGGGATTTCTCCATACTGTGCTAGACAGAAGAATTCCCAGTAACTTCCTTGTGTTGTGTGTGTTCAACTCACAGAGTTGAACTTTGATTTACACAGAGCAGATTTGAAACACTCTTTTTGTGGAATTTGCAAGTGGAGATTTCAAGCGCTTTGAGGCCAAAGGCAGAAAAGGAAATATCTTCGTATAAAAACTAGACAGAATCATTCTCAGAAGCTGCTCTGCAATGTGTGCGTTCAACTCTCAGAGTTTAACTTTTCTTTTCATTCAGCAGTTTGGAAACACTCTGTTTGTAAAGTCTGCACGTGGATATTTTGACCACTTAGAGGCCTTCGTTGGAAACGGGTTTTTTTCCTGTAAGGCTAGACAGAAGAATTCCCAGTAACTTCCTTGTGTTGTGTACATTGAACTCACAGAGTTGAACGTTCCCTTAGACAGAGCAGATTTGAAACACTCTTTTTGTGCAATTGGCAAGTGGAGATTTCAAGGGCTTTAAGGTCAATGGCAGAAAAGGAAATATCTTCGTTTCAAAACTAGACAGAATCATTCCCACAAACTGCGTTGTGATGTGTTCGTTCAACTCACAGAGTTTAACCTTTCTTTTCATAGAGCAGTTAGGAAACAGTCTGTTTGTAAATTCTGTAAGTGGATATTCTGACATCTTGTGGCCTTCGTTGGAAACGGGATTTCTTCATATTCTGCTAGACAGAAGAATTCTCAGTAACTTCCTTGTGGAGTTGTGTGTATTCAACTCACAGAGTTGAACGATCCTTTACACAGAGCAGACTTGAAACATTCTTTTTCTGGAATTTGCAAGTGGAGATTTCAGCCGCTTTGAGGTCAATGGTAGAATAGGAAATATCTTCCTATAGAAACTAGACAGAATGATTCTCATAAACTCCTTTGTGATGTGTGCGTTCAACTCACAGAGTTTAACCTTTCTTTTCATAGAGCAGTTAGGAAACACTCTGTTTGTAAAGTCTGCAAGTGGATATTCAGACCTCCTTGAGGCCTTCGTTGGAAACGGGATTTCTTCATATTCTGCTAGACAGAAGAATTCTCAGTAACTTCCTTGTGTTGTGTTTATTCAACTCACAGAGTTGAATGATCGTTTACACAGAGCAGACTTGAAACACTCTTTTTGTGGAATTTGCAAGTGGAGATTTCAGCCGCTTTGAGGTCAATGGTAGAAAAGTAAATATCTTCGTATAAAGACTAGACAGAATGATTCTCAGAAACTCCTTAGTGATGTGTGCGTTCAACTCACAGAGTTTAACCTTTCTGTTCATAGAGCAGTTAGGAAACACTCTGTTTGTAAAGTCTGCAAGTGGATATTCAGACCCCTTTGAGGCCTTCGTTGGAAACGGGATTTCTTCATATTATGCTAGACAGAAGAATTCCCAGTAACTTCCTTGTGTTGTGTACATTCAACTCACAGAGTTGAACGTTCCCTTAGACAGAGCAGATTTGAAACACTCTTTTTGTGCAATTGGCAAGTGGAGATTTCAAGCGCTTTAAGGTCAATGGCAGAAAAGGAAATATCTTCGTTTCAAAACTAGACAGAATCATTCCCACAAACTGCGTTGTGATGTGTTCGTTCAACTCACAGAGTTTAACCTTTCTTTTCATAGAGCAGTTAGGAAACACTCTGTTTGTAAATGTCTGCAAGTGGATATTCAGACCTCCTTGAGGCCTTCATTGGAAACGGGATTTCTTCATATTCTGCTAGACAGAAGAATTCTCAGTAACTTCCTTGTGTTGTGTGTATTCAACTCACAGAGTTGAACGATCCTTTACACAGAGCAGACTTGAAACACTCTTTTTGTGGAATTTGCAAGTGGAGATTTCAGCCGCTTTGAGTTCAATGGTAGAATAGGAAATATTTTCCTATAGAAACTAGACAGAATGATTCTCAGAAATTCCTTTGTGATGTGTGCGTTCAACTCACAGAGTTTAACCTTTCTTTTCATAGAGCAGTTAGGAAACACTCTGTTTGTAAAGTCTGCAAGTGGATATTCAGACCTCCTTGAGGCCTTCGTTGGAAACGGGATTTCTTCATATTATGCTAGACAGAAGAATTCCCAGTAACTTCCTTGTGTTGTGTGTGTTCAACTCACAGAGTTGAACGTTCATTAACACAGAGCAGATTTGAAACACTCTTTTTGTGGAATTTGCAAATGGAGATTTCAAGCGCTTTGGGGCCAAAGGCAGAAAAGGTAATATCTTCGTTTCAAAACTAGACAGAATCATTCTCAGAAACTGCTCTGCGATGTGTGCGTTCAACTCTCAGAGTTTAACTTTTCTTTTCATTCAGCAGTTTGGAAACACTCTGTTTGTAAAGTCTGCACGTGGATAATTTGACCACTTAGAGGCCTTCGTTGGAAACGGGTTTTTTTCATGTAAGGCTAGACAGAAGAATTCTCAGTAACTTCCTTGTGTTGTGTGTATTCAACTCACACAGCTGAACGATCCTTTACACAGAGCAGACTTGTAACACTCTTTTTGTGGAATTTGCAAGTGGAGATTTCAGCCGCTTTGAAGTCAAAGGTAGAAAAGGAAATATCTTCCTATAAAAACTAGACAGAATCATTCCCACAAACTGCGTTGTGATGTGTTCGTTCAACTCACAGAGTTTAACCTTTCTGTTCATAGAGCAGTTAGGAAACTCTCTGTTTCTAAAGTCTGTAAGTGGATATTCTGACATCTTGTGGCCTTCGTTGGAAACGCGATTTCTTCATATTCTGCTAGACAGAAGAATTCTCAGAAACTTCCTTCTGTTGTGTGTTTTCAACTCACAGAGTTGAACGATGCTTTACACAGAGTAGACTTGAAACACTCTTTTTGTGTAATTTGCAAGTGGAGATTTCAGCCGCTTTGAGGTCAATGGTAGAAAAGGAAATATCTTCGTATAAAAACAAGACAGAACGATTCTCAGAAACTCCTTTGTGATGTCTGCGTTCAACTCACAGAGTTTAACCTTTCTTTTCATAGAGCAGTTAGGAAACACTCTGTTTGTAAAGTCTGCAAGTGGATATTCAGACCTCTTTGAGGCCTTCGTTGGAAACGGGTTTTTTTCATGTAAGGCTAGACAGAAGAATTCCCAGTAACTTCCTTGTGTTGTGTGTGTTCAACTCACAGAGTTGAACTTTCATTTACACAGACCAGATTTGAAACACTCTTTTTGTGGAATTTGCAAGTGGAGATTTCAAGCGCTTTGAGGCCAAAGGCAGAAAAGGAAATATCTTCGTATAAAAACTAGACAGAATCATTCTCAGAAACTGCTCTGCGATGTGTGCGTTCAACTCTCAGAGTTTAACTTTTCTTTTCATTCAGCAGTTTGGAAACACTCTGTTTGTAAAGTCTGCACGTGGATATTTTGACCACTTAGAGGCCTTCGTTGGAAACGGGTTTTTTTCCTGTAAGGCTAGACAGAAGAATTCCCAGTAACTTTCCTTGTGTTGTGTACATTCAACTCACAGAGTTGAACGTTCCCTTAGACAGAGCAGATTTGAAACACTCTTTTTGTGCAATTCGCAAATGGAGATTTCAAGCGCTTTAAGTTCAATGGCAGAAAAGGAAATATCTTCGTTTCAAAACTAGACAGAATCATTCCCACAAACTGCGTATTGATGTGTTCGTTCAACTCACAGAGTTTAACCTTTCTTTTCATAGAGCAGTTAGGAAACACTCTGTTTGTAAATTCTGTAAGTGGATATTCTGAAATCTTGCGGCCTTCGTTGGAAACGGGCTTTCTTCATATTCTGCTAGACAGAATAATTCTCAGTAACTTCCTTGTGTTGTGTGTATTCAACTCACAGAGTTGAAGGATCCTTTACAGAGAGCAGGCTTGAAACACTCTTTTTGTCGAATTTGCAAGTGGAGATTTCAGCCGCTTTGAGGTCAATGGTAGAATAGGAAATATCTTCTTATAGAAACTAGACAGAATGATTCTCAGAAACTCCCTTGTGATGTGTGCGTTCAACTCACAGAGTTTAACCTTTCTTTTCATAGAGCAGTTAGGAAACACTCTGTTTGTAAACTCTGCAAGTGGATATTCAGACCTCTTTGAGGCCTTCGTTGGAAACGGGATTTCTTCATATTATGCTAGACAGAAGAATTCCCAGTAACTTCCTTGTGTTGTGTGTGTTCAACTCACAGAGTTGAACTTTCATTTACACAGAGCAGATTTGAAACACTCTTTTTGTGGAATTTGCAAGTGGAGATTTCAAGCGCTTTGAGGCCAAAGGCAGAAAAGGAAATATCTTCGTATGAAAACTAGACAGAATCATTCTCAGAAACTGCTCTGCGATGTGTGCGTTCAACTCTCAGAGTTTAACTTTTCTTTTCATTCAGCAGTTTGGAAACACTCTGTTTGTAAAGTCTGCGCGTGGATAATTTGACCACTTAGAGGCCTTCGTTGGAAACGGGTTTTTTTCATATAAGGCTAGACAGAAGAATTCCCAGTAACTTCCTTGTGTTGTGTGCATTCAACTCACAGAGTTGAACGTTCCCTTAGACAGAGCAGATTTGAAACACTCTATTTGTGCAATTTGCAAGTGTAGTTTTCAAGCTCTTTAAGGTCAACGGCAGAAAAGGAAATATCTTGGTTTCAAAACTAGACAGAATCATTCCCACAAACTGCGTTGTGCTGTGTTCGTTCAACTCACAGAGTTTAACCTTTCTGTTCATAGAGCAGTTAGGAAACACTCTGTTTGTAAAGTCTGTAAGTGGATATTCAGACATCTTGTGGCCTTCGTTGGAAACGGGATTTCTTCATATTCTGCTAGACAGAGGAATTCCCAGTAACTTCCTTGTGTTGTGTGCATTCAACTCACAGAGTTGAATGATTCTTTACACAGAGCAGATTTGAGACACTCTTTTGGTGGAATTTGTAAGTGGAGAATTCAGCCGCTTTGAGGTCAATGGTAGAAAAGGAAATATCTTCGTATAAAAACTAGACAGAATGATTCTCAGAAACTCCTTTGTGATGTGTGCGTTCAACTCACAGAGTTTAACTTTTCTTTTCATAGAGCAGTTAGGAAACACTCTGTTTGTAAAGTCTGCAAGTGGATATTCAGACCTCTTTGAGGCCTTCGTTGGAAACGGGATTTCTTCCTATTCTGCTAGACAGAAGAATTCTCAGTAACTTCCTTGTGTTGTGTGTATTCAACTCACAGAGTTGAACGATCCTTTACACAGAGCAGACTTGAAACACTCTTTTTGTGGAATTTGCAAGTGGAGATTTCAGCCGCTTTCAGGTCAATGGTAGAATAGGAAATATCTTCATATAGAAACTAGACAGAATGATTCTCAGAAACTCCTTTGTGATGTGTGCGTTCCACTCACACAGTTTAACCTTTCTTTTCATAGAGCAGTTAGGAAACACTCTGTTTGTAAAGTCTGCAAGTGGATATTCAGACCTCCTTGAGGCATTCGTTGGAAACGGGATTTCTTCATATTATGCTAGACAGAAGAATTCCCAGTAACTTCCTTGTGTTGTGTACATTCAACTCACAGAGTTGAACGATCCCTTAGACAGAGCAGATTTGAAACACTCTTTTTGTGGAATTTGCAAATGGAGATTTCAAGCGCTTTGAGGCCAAAGGCAGAAAAGGAAATATCTTCGTATAAAAACTAGACAGAAATGATTCTCAGAAACTCCTTTGTGATGTGTGCGTTCAACTCACAGAGTTTAACCTTTCTTTTCATAGAGCAGTTAGGAAACACTCTGTTTGTAAAGTCTGCAAGTGGATATTCAGACCTCTTTGAGGCCTTCGTTGGAAACGGGTTTTCTTCATATTCTGCTAGACAGAAGAATTCTCAGTAACTTCCTTGTGTTGTGTGTATTCAACTCACAGAGTTGAACGATCCTTTACACAGAGCAGTCTTGAAACACTCTTTTTGTGGAATTTGCAAGTGGAGATTTCAGCCGCTTTGAGGTCAATAGTAGAAAAGGAAATATCTTCGTAGAAAAACTAGGCAGAATGATTCTCAGAAACTCCTTTGTGATGTGTGCGTTCAACTCATAGAGTTTAACCTTTCTTTTCATAGAGCAGTTAGGAAACACTCTGTTTGTAAAGTCTGCAAGTGGATATTCAGACCTCTTTGAGGCCTTCGTTGGAAACGGGATTTCTTCATATTCTGCTAGACAGAATAATTCTCAGTAACTTCCTTGTGTTGTGTGTATTCAACTCACAGAGTTGAACGATCCTTTACAGAGAGCAGACTTGAAACACTCTTTTTGTGGAATTTGCAAGTGGAGATTTCAGCCGCTTTGAGGTCAATAGTAGAAAAGGAAATATCTTCGTAGAAAAACTAGACAGAGTGATTCTCAGAAACTCCTTTGTGATGTCTGCGTTCAACTCACAGAGTTTAACCTTTCTTTTCATAGAGCAGTTAGGAAACACTCTGTTTGAAAAGTCTGCAAGTGGATATTCAGACCTCCTTGAGGCCTTCGTTGGAAGCGGGATTTCTTCATATTCTGCTATACAGAAGAATTCTCAGAAACTTCCTTGTGTTGTGTGTATTCAACTCACAGAGTTGAACGATCGTTTACACAGAGCAGACTTGAGACACTCTTTTTTGGAATTTGTAAGTGGAGATTTCAGCCGCTTTGAGGTCAATGGTAGAAAAGGAAATATCTTCACATAAAAACTAGACAGAATGATTCTCAGAAACTCCTTTGTGCTGTGTGCGTTCAACTCACAGAGTTTAACCTTTCTTTTCATAGAGCAGTTAGGAAACACTCTGTTTGTTAAGTCTGCAGGTGGATATTCAGACCTCTTTGAGGCCTTCGTTGGAAACGGGATTTCTTCATATTATGCTAGACAGAAGAATTCTCAGTAACTTCCTTGTGTTGTGTGTATTCAACTCACAGAGTTGAACGATCCTTTACACAGAGCAGACTTGAAACTCTCTTTTTGTGGAATTTGCAAGTGGAGATTTCAGCCGCTTTGAGGTCAATAGTAGAAAAGGAAATATCTTTCGTAGAAAAACTAGACAGAATGATTCTCAGAAACTCCTTTGGGATGTGTGTGCCCAACTCACAGAGTTTAACCTTTCTTTTCATAGAGCTGTTAGGAAACACTCTGTTTGTAAAGTCTGCAAGAGGATATTCAGACCTCTTTGAGGCCTTCGTTGGAAACGGGTTTTTTTCATATAAGGCTAGACAGAAGAATTCCCAGTAACTTCCTTGTGTTGTGTGTGTTCAACTCACAGAGTTGAACTTTGATTTACACAGAGCAGATTTGAAACACTCTTTTTGTGGAATTTTCAAGTGGAGATTTCAAGCGCTTTGAGGCCAAAGGCAGAAAAGGAAATATCTTCGTATAAAAACTAGACAGAATCATTCTCAGAAACTGCTGCGTGATGTGTGCCTTCAACTCTCAGAGTTTAACTTTTCTTTTCATTCAGCGGTTTGGAAACACTCTGTTTGTAAAGTCTGCACGTGGAAATTTTGACCACTTAGAGGCCTTCGTTGGAAACGGGTTTTTTTCATGTAAGGCTAGACAGAAGAATTCTCAGTAACTTCCTTGTGTTGTGTGTATTCAACTCACAGAGTTGAACGATCCTTTACACAGAGCAGACTTGAAACACACTTTTTGTGGAATTTGCAAGTGGAGATTTCAGCCGCTTTGAGGTCAATGGTAGAATAGGAAATATCTTCTTATAGAAACTAGACAGAATGATCTCAGAAACTCCTTTGTGATGTGTGCCTTCAACTCACAGAGTTTAACCTTTCTTTTCATAGAGCAGTTAGGAAACACTCTGTTTGTAAAGTCTGCAAGTGGATATTCAGACCTCTTTGAGGCCTTCGTTGGAAACGGGATTTCTTCATATTCTGCTAGACAGAAGAATTCTCAGTAACTTCCTTGTGTTGTGTGTATTCAACTCACAGAGTTGAACGATCCTTTACACAGAGCAGACTTGAAACACTCTTTTTGTGGAATTTGCAAGTGGAGATTTCAGCCGCTTTGAGGTCAGTAGTAGAAAAGGAAATATCTTCGTAGAAAAACTAGACAGAATGATTCTCAGAAACTCCTTTGTGATGTGGGCGTTGAACTCACAGAGTTTAACCTTTCTTTTCATAGAGCAGTTAGGAAACACTCTGTTTGTAAAGTCTGCAAGTGGATATTCAGACCTCTTTGAGGCTTTCGTTGGAAACGGGATTTCCTCATATTCTGCTAGACAGAAGAATTCCCAGTAACTTCCTTGTGTTGTGTGTGTTCAACTCACAGAGTTGAACTTTCATTTACACAGAGCAGATTTGAAACACTCTTTTTGTGGAATTTGCAAATGGAGATTTCAAGCGCTTTGAGGCCAAAGGCAGAAAAGGAAATATTCTTTGTATAAAAACTAGACAGAACCATTCTCAGAAACTGCTCTGCGATGTGTGCGTTCAACTCTCAGAGTTTAACTTTTCTTTTCATTCAGCAGTTTGGAAACACTCTGTTTGTAAAGTCTGCACGTGGATAATTTGACCACTTAGAGGCCTTCGTTGGAAACGGGTTTTTTTCATGTAAGGCTAGACAGAAGAATTCCCAGTAACTTCCTTGTGTTGTGTGCATTCAACTCACAGAGTTGAACGTTCCCTTAGACAGTGCAGATTTGAAACACTCTATTTGTGCAATTTGCAAGTGTAGATTTCAAGCGCTTTAAGGTCAATGGCAGAAAAGGAAATATCTTCGTTTCAAAACTAGACAGAATGATTCTCAGAAACTCCTTTGTGATGTGTGCGTTCAACTCACAGAGTTCAACCTTTCTTTTCATAGAGCAGTTAGGAAACACTCTGTTTGTAATGTCTGCAAGTGGATCTTCAGACCTCTTTGAGGCCTTCGTTGGAAACGGGTTTTCTTCATATTATGCTAGACAGAAGAATTCTCAGTAACTTCCTTGTGTTGTGTGTATTCAACTCACAGAGTTGAACGATCCTTTACACAGAGCAGACTTGAAACACTCTTTTTGTGGAATTTGCAAGTGGAGATTTCAGCCGCTTTGAGGTCAATGGTAGAATAGGAAATATCTTCCTATAAAAACTAGACAGAATGATTCTCAGAAAATCTTTTGTGATGTGTGCGTTCAACTCACAGAGTTTAACTTTTCTTCTCATAGAGCAGTTAGGAAACACTCTGTTTGTAAAGTCTGCAAGTGGATATTCAGACCTCTTTGAGGTCTTCGTTGGAAACGGGATTTCTTCATATTATGCTAGACAGAAGAATTCTCAGTAACTTCCTTGTGTTGTGTGTATTCAACTGACAGAGTTGAACTTTTATTTAGAGAGAGCAGATTTGAAACTCTGTTTTTGTGGAATTTGCAAGTGGAGATTTCAAGCGCTTTGGGGCCAAAGGCAGAAAAGGAAATATCTTCGTATAAAAACTAGACAGAATCATTCTCAGAAACTGCTGGGTGATGTGTGCGTTCAACTCTCAGAGTTTAACTTTTCTTTTCATTCAGCGGTTTGGAAACACTCTGTTTGTAAAGTCTGCACGTGGATATTTTGACCACTTAGAGGCCTTCGTTGGAAACGGGTTTTTTGCATGTAAGGCTAGACAGAAGAATTCCCAGTAACTTCCTTGTGTTGTGTACATTCAACTCACAGAGTTGAACGTTCCCTTAGACAGAGCAGATTTGAAACACTCTTTTTGTGCAATTGGCAAGTGGAGATTTCAAGCGCTTTAAGGTCAATGGCAGAAAAGGAAATATCTTCGTTTCAAAATTAGACAGAATGATTCTCAGAAACTCCTTTGTGATGTGTGCGTTCAACTCACAGAGTTCAACCTTTCTTTTCATAGAGCAGTTGGGAAACACTCTCTTTGTAAAGTCTGCAAGTGGATATTCAGACTTCTTTGAGGCCTTCGTTGGAAGCGGGATTTCTTCATATTCTGCTAGACAGAAGAATTCTCAGTAACTTCCTTGTGTTGTGTGTATTCAACTCACAGAGTTGAACGATCCTTTACACAGAGCAGACTTGAAACACTCTTTTTGTGGAATTTGCAAGTGGAGATTTCAGCCGCTTTGAGGTCAATGGTAGAATAGGAAATATCTTCCTATAGAAACTAGCCAGAATGATTCTCAGAAACTCCTTTGTGATTTGGGTGTTCAACTCACAGAGTGTAACCTTTCTTTTCATAGAGCAGTTAGGAAACACTCTGTTTGTAAAGTCTGCAAGTGGATATTTTTACCTCTTTGAGGCCTTCGTTGGAAACGGGTTTTTTTCATGTAAGGCTAGACAGAAGAATTCTCAGTAACTTCCTTGTGTTGTGTGTATTCAACTGACAGAGTTGAACTTTCATTTAGAGAGAGCAGATTTGAAACACTCTTTTTTTGGAATTTGCAAGTGGAGATTTCAAGCGCTTTGAGGCCAAAGGCAGAAAAGGAAATATCTTCGTATAAAAACTAGACAGAATCATTCTCAGAAACTGCTCTGCGATGTGTGCGTTCAGATCTCAGAGTTTAACTTTTCTTTTCATTCAGCAGTTTGGAAACACTCTGTTTGTAAAGTCTGCACGTGGATATTTTGACCACTTAGAGGCCTTCGTTGGAAACGGGATTTTGTCATGTAAGGCTAGACAGAAGAATTCCCAGTAACTTCCTTGTGTTGTGTACATTCAACTCACAGAGTTGAACGTTCCCTTATACAGAGCAGATTTGAAACACTCTTTTTGTGAAATTGGCAAGTGGAGATATCAAGCGCTGAAGGTCAATGGCAGAAAAGGAAATATCTTCGTTTCAAAACTAGACAGAATCATTCCCACAAACTGCGTTGTGATGTGTTCGTTCAACTCACAGAGTTTAACCTTTCTTTTCATAGAGCAGTTAGGAAACAGTCTGTTTGTCAATTCTGTAAGTGGATATTCTGACATCTTGTGGCCTTCGTTGGAAACGGGATTTTTTCATATTCTGCTAGACAGAAGAATTCTCAGTAACTTCCTTGTGTTGTGTGTATTCAACTCACAGAGTTGAACGATCCTTTACAGAGAGCAGACTTGAAACACTCTTTTTGTGGAATTTGCAAGTGGAGATTTCAGCCGCTTTGAGGTCAATGGTAGAATAGGAATTATCTTCCTATAGAAACTAGACAGAATGATTCTCAGAAACTCCTTTGTGATGTGTGCGTTGAACTCACAGAGTTTAACCTTGCTTTTCATAGAGCAGTTAGGAAACACTCTGTTTGTAATGTCTGCAAGTGGATATTCAGACCTCCTTGAGGCCTTCGTTGGAAAAGGGATTTCTTCATATTATGCTAGACAGAAGAATTCTCAGAAACTTCCTTGTGTTGTGTGTTTTCAACTCACAGAGTTGAACGATCCTGTACACAGAGCAGACTTGAAACACTCTTTTTGTGGAATTTGCAAGTGGAGATTTCAGCCGCTTTGAGGTCAATGGTAGAATAGGAAATATCTTCCTATAGAAACTAGACAGAATCATTCTCAGAAACTGCTCTGCGATGTGTGCGTTCAACTCTCAGAGTTTAACTTTTCTTTTCATTCAGCAGTTTGGAAACACTCTGTTTGTAAAGTCTGCACGTGGATATTTTGACCACTTAGAGGCCTTCGTTGGAAACGGGTTTTTTTCCTGTAAGGCTAGACAGAAGAATTCTCAGTAACTTCCTTGTGTTGTGTACATTCAGCTCACAGAGTTGAACGTTCCCTTAGACAGAGCAGATTTGAAACACTCTTTTTGTGCAATTGGCAAGTGGTGATTTCAGCCGCTTTGAGGTCAATGGTAGAAAAGGAAATATCTTCGTATAAAAACTAGACAGAATCATTCCCACAAACTGCGTTGTGATGTGTTCGTTCAACTCACAGAGTTTAACCTTTCTTTTCATAGAGCAGTTAGGAAACAGTCTATTTGAAAATTCTGTAAGTGGATATTCTGACATCTTGTGGCCTTCGTTGGAAACGGGATTTCTTCATATTCTGCTAGACAGAAGAATTCTCACTAACTTCCTTGTGTTGTGTGTATTCAACTCACAGAGTTGAACGATCCTTTACACAGAGCGGACTTGAAACACTCATTTTGTGGAATTTGCAAGTGGAGATTTCAGCCGCGTTGAGGTCAATGGTAGAAAAGGAAATATCTTCGTATAAAAACTAGACAGAATGATTCTCAGAAACTCCTTTGTGATGTGTGTGTTCAACTCACAGAGTTTCACCTTTCTTTTCATAGAGCAGATAGGAAACACTCTGTTTGTAAAGTCTGCAAGTGGATATTCACACCTCTTTGAGGCCTTCGTTGGAAACGGGTTTTTTTCATATAAGGCTAGACAGAAGAATTCCCAGTAACTTCCCTTGTGTTGTGTGTGTTCAACTCACAGAGTTGAACTTTCATTTACACAGAGCAGATTTGAAACACTCTTTTTGTGGAATTTGCAAATGGAGATTTCAAGCGCTTTGAGGCCAAAGGCAGAAAAGGAAATATCTTCGTTTCAAAACTAGACAGAATCATTCTCAGAAACTGCTCTGCGATGTGTGCGTTCAACTCTCAGAGTTTAACTTTTCTTTTCATTCAGCAGTTTGGAAACACTCTGTTTGTAAAGTCTGCACGTGGATATTTTGACCACTTAGAGGCCTTCGTTGGAAACGGGTTTTTTCCTGTAAGGCTAGACAGAAGAATTCCCAGTAACTTCCTTGTGTTGTGTACATTCAACTCACAGAGTTGAACGTTCCCTTAGAAAGAGCAGATTTGAAACACTCTTTTTGTGCAATTGGCAAGTGGAGATTTCAAGCGATTTAAGGTCAATGGCAGAAAAGGAAATATCTTCGTTTCAAAACTAGACAGAATGATTCTCAGAAACTCCTTTGTGATGTGTGCGTTCAACTCACAGAGTTTAACCTTTCTGTTCATAGAGCAGTTAGGAAACACTCTGTTTGTAAAGTCTGCAAGTGGATATTCAGACCTCTTTGAGGCCTTCGTTTTAAACGGGATTTCTTCATATTATGCTAGACAGAATAATTCTCAGTAACTTCCTTGTGTTGTGTGTATTCAACTCACAGAGTTGAACGATCCTTTACACAGAGCAGACTTGAAACACTCTATTTGTAGAATTTGCAAGTGGAGATTTCAGCCGCTTTGAGGTCAATAGTAGAAAAGGAAATATCTTCGTAGAAAAACTAGACAGAATGATTCTCAGAAACTCCTTTGTGATGTGTGCATTCAACTCACAGAGTTTAACCTTTCTTTTCATAGAGCAGTTAGGAAACACTCTGTTTGTAAAGTCTGCAACTGGATATTCAGACCTCTTTGAGGCCTTCGTTGGAAACGGGATTTCTTCATATTATGCTAGACAGAAGAATTCTCAGTAAATTCCTTGTTTTGTGTGTATTCAACTCACAGAGTTGGACGATCCTTTACACAGAGCAAACTTGAAACACTCTTTTTGTGGAATTTGCAATTGGAGATTTCAGCCGCTTTGAGGTCAATTGTAGAAAAGGAAATATCTTCGTATAAAAACTAGACAGAATGATTCTCAGAAACTCCCTTGTGATGTGCGCGTTCAACTCACAGAGTTTAACCTTTCTTTTCATAGAGCAGTTAGGAAACACTCAGTTTGTAAAGTCTGCAAGTGGATATTCAGACCTCCTTGAGGCCTTCGTTGGAAACGGGATTTCTTCATATTATGCTAGACAGAAGAATTCCCAGTAACTTCCTTGTGTTGTGTACATTCAACTCACAGAGTTGAACGTTCCCTTAGACAGAGCAGATTTGAAACACTCTTTTTGTGCAATTGGCAAATGGAGATTTCAAGCGCTTTAAGGTCAATGGCAGGAAAGGAAATATCTTCGTTTCAAAACTAGACAGAATCATTCCCACAAACTGCGTTGTCATGTGTTCGTTCAACTCACAGAGTTTAACCTTTCTTTTCATAGAGCAGTTAGGAAACAGTCTGTTTGTAAATTCTGTAAGTGGATATTCTGACATCTTGTGGCCTTCGTTGGTAACGGGATTTCTTCATATTCTGCTAGACAGAATAATTCTCAGTAACTTCCTTGTGTTGTGTGTATTCAACTCACAGATTTGAAGGATCCTTTACAGAGAGCAGGCTTGAAACACTCTTCTTCTCGAATTTGCAAGTGGAGATTTCAGCCGCTTTGAGGTCAATGGTAGAAAAGTAAATATCTTCGTATAAAGACGAGACAGAATTATTCTCAGAAACTCCTTTGTGATGTGTGCGTTCAACTCACAGAGTTTAACCTTTCTTTTCATAGAGCAGTTAGGAAACACTCTGTTTGTAAAGTCTGCAAGTGGATATTCAGACATCTTTGAGGCTTTCGTTGAAAACGGGATTTCTTCATATTATGCTAGACAGAAGAATTCCCAGTAACTTCCTTGTGTTGTGTGTGTTCAACTCACAGAGATGAACTCTCATTTACACAGAGCAGATTTGAAACTCTCTTTTTGTGGAATTTGCAAATGGAGATTTCAAGCGCTTTGAGGCCAAAGGCAGAAAAGGAAATATCTTCGTATAAAAACTAGACAGAATCATTCTCAGAAACTGCTGCGTGATGTGTGCGTTCAACTCTCAGAGTTTAACTTTTCTTTTCATTCAGCGGTTTGGAAACACTCTGTTTGTAAAGTCTGCACGTGGAAATTTTGACCACATAGAGGCCTTCGTTGGAAACGGGTTTTTTTCATGTAAGGCTAGACAGAAGAATTCCCAGTAACTTCCTTGTGTTGTGTGCATTCAACTCACAGAGTTGAACGTTCCCTTAGACAGAGCAGATTTGAAACACTCTATTTGTGCAATTTGCAAGTGTAGATTTCAAGCGCTTTAAGGTCAATGGCAGAAAAGGAAATATCTTCGTTTCAAAACTAGACAGAATGATTCTCAGAAACTCCTTCGTGATGTGTGCGTTCAACTCACAGAGTTTAACCTTTCTTTTCATAGAGCAGTTAGGAAACACTCTGTTTGTAAAGTCTGCAAGTGGATATTCAGACCTCTTTGAGGCCTTCGTTGGAAACGGGATTTCTTCATATTCTGCTAGACAGAAGAATTCTCAGTAACTTCCTTGTGTTGTGTGTATTCAACTCACAGAGTTGAACGATCCTTTACACAGAGCAGACTTGAAACACTCTTTTTGTGGAATTTGCAAGTGGAGATTTCTGCCGCTTTGAGGTCAATGGTAGAATAGGAAATATCTTCCTATAGAAACTAGACAGAATGATTCTCAGAAACTTCTTTGTGATGTGTGTGTTCAACTCACAGTGTTTAACCTTTCTTTTCATAGAGCAGTTAGGAAACACTGTGTTTTTAAACTCTGCAAGTGGATATTCAGACCTCTTTGAGGCCTTCGTTGGAAACGGGTTTCTTCATACTGTGCTAGACAGAAGAATTCTCAGTAACTTACCTTGTGTTGTGTGTATTCAACTCACAGAGTTGAACGATCCTTTACACAGAGCAGACTTGTAACACTCTTTTTGTGGAATTTGCAAGTTGAGATTTCAGCCGCTTTGAAGTCAAAGATAGAAAAGGAAATATCTTCCTATAAAAACTAGACAGAATGATTCTCAGAAACTCCTTTGTGATGTGTGCGTTCAACTCACAGAGTTTAACTTTTCTTTTCATAGAGCAGTTAGGAAACACTCTGTTTGTAAAGTCTGCAAGTGGATATTCAGACCTCTTTGAGGCCTTCGTTGGAAACGGGATTTATTCATATTCTGCTAGACAGAAGAATTCCCAGTAACTTCCTTGTGTTGTGTGCATTCAACTCACAGAGTTGAACGTTCCCTTAGACAGAGGAGATTTGAAACACTCTATTTGTGCAATTTGCAAGTGTAGATTTCAAGCGCTTTAAGGTCAATGGCAGAAAAGGAAATATCTTCGTTTCAAAGCTAGACAGAATCATTCCCACAAACTGCGTTGTGATGTGTTCGTTCAACTCACAGAGTTTAACCTTTCTGTTCATAGAGCAGTTAGGAAACACTCTGTTTGTAAAGTCTGCAAGTGGATATTCAGACCTCCTTGAGGCCTTCGTTGGAAACTGGATTTCTTCATATTCTGCTAGACAGAAGAATTCTCAGTGACTTCCTTGTGTTGTGTGTATTCAACTCACAGAGTTGAACGATCCTTTACACAGAGCAGACTTGAAACACTCTTTTTGTGGAATTTGCAAGTGGAGATTTCAGCCGCTTTGAGGTCAATGGTAGAATAGGAAATATCTTCCTATAGAAACTAGACAGAATGATTCTCAGAAACTCCTTTGTGATGTGTGTGTTCAACTCACAGAGTTTAACCTTTCTTTTCATAGAGCAGTTAGGAAACACTCTGTTTGTAAAGACTGCAAGTGGATATTCAGGCCTCTTTGAGGCCTTCGTTGGAAACGGGTTTTTTTCATATAAGGCTAGACAGAAGAATTCTCAGTAACTTCCCTTGTGTTGTGTGTATTCAACTGACAGAGTTGAACTTTCATTTGGAGAGAGCAGATTTGAAACACTGTTTTTGTGGAATTTGCAAGTGGAGATTTCAAGCGCTTTGCGGCCAAAGGCTGAAAAGGAAATATCCTCGTATAAAAACAAGACAGAATCATTCTCAGAAACTGCTCTGTGATGTGTGCGTTCAACTCTCAGAGTTTAACTTTTCTTTTCATTCAGCAGTTTGGAAACACTCTGTTTGTAAAGTCTGCACGTGGATAACTTGACCACTTAGAGGCCTTCGTTGGAAACGGGTTTTTTTCATGTAAGGCTAGACAGAAGAATTCCCAGTAACTTCCTTGTGTTGTGTACATTCAACTCACAGAGTTGAACGTTCCCATAGACAGAGCAGATTTGAAACACTCTTTTTGTGCAATTGGCAAGTGGAGATTTCAAGCGCTTTAAGGTCAATGGCAGAAAAGGAAATATCTTCGTTTCAAAACTAGACAGAATCATTCCCACAAACTGCGTTGTGATGTGTTCGTTCAACTCACAGAGTTTAACCTTTCTTTTCATAGAGCAGTTAGGAAACAGTCTGTTTGTAAATTCTGTAAGTGGATATTCTGACATCTTGTGGCCTTCGTTGGAAACGGGATTTCTTCATATTCTGCTAGACAGAAGAATTCTCAGTAACTTCCTTGTGTTGTGTTTATTCAACTCACAGAGTTGAACGATCCTTTACACAGAGCAGACTTGAAACACTCTTTTTCTTGAATTTGCAAGTGGAGATTTCAGCCGCTTTGAGGTCAATGGTAGAAAAGGAAATATCTTCGTATAAAGACTAGACAGAATGATTCTCAGAAACTTCATTGTGACGTGTGCGTTCAACTCACAGAGTTTAACCTTTCTTTTCATAGAGCAGTTAGGAAACACTCTGTTTGTAAAGTCTGCAAGTGGATATTCAGACCTCTCTGAGGCCTTCGTTGGAAACGGGATTTCTTCATACTGTGCTAGACAGAAGAATTCTCAGTAACTTCCTTGTGTTGTGTGTATTCAACTCACAGAGTTGAACGATCCTTTACACAGAGCAGACTTGAACCATTCTTTTTGTGGAATTTGCAAGTGGAGATTTCAGCCGCTTTGAGGTCAATGGTAGAATAGGAAATATCTTCCTATAGAAACTAGACAGAATCATTCTCAGAAACTGCTCTGCGATGTGTGCGTTCAACTCTCAGAGTTTAACTTTTCTTTTCATTCAGCAGTTTGGAAACACTCTGTTTGTAAAGTCTGCACGTGGATATTTTGACCACTTAGAGGCCTTCGTTGGAAACGGGTTTTTTTCCTGTAAGGCTAGACAGAAGAATTCCCAGTAACTTCCTTGCGTTGTGTACATTCAACTCACAGAGTTGAACGTTCCCTTAGACAGAGCAGATTTGAAACACTCTTTTTGTGCAATTGGCAAGTGGAGATTTCAAGCGCTTTAAGGTCAATGGCAGAAAAGGAAATATCTTCGTTTCAAAACTAGACAGAAATCATTCCCACAAACTGCGTTGTGATGTGTTCGTTCATCTCACAGAGTTTAACCTTTCTTTTCGTAGAGCAGTTAGGAAACAGTCTGTTTGTAAATTCTGTAAGTGGATATTCTGACATCTTGTGGCCTTCGTTGGAAACGGGATTTCTTCATATTCTGCTAGACAGAAGAATTCTCAGAATCTTCCTTGTGTTGTGTGTATTCAACTCACACAGTTGAACGATTGTTTACACAGAGCAGATTTGAAACACTCTTTCTGTGGAATTTGCAAGTGGAGATTTCAGCCGCTTTGAGGTCAATGGTAGAAAAGGAAATATCTTCGTATAAAAAACTAGACAGAATGATTCTCAGAAACTCCTGTGTGATGTGTGCGTTCAACTCACAGAGTTTAACCTTTCTTTTCATAGAGCAGTTAGGAAACACTCTGTTTGTAAAGTCTGCAAGTGGATATTCAGACCTCTTTGAGGCCTTCGTGGGAAACGGGTTTTTTTCATATAAGGCTAGACAGAAGAATTCCCAGTAACTTCCTTGTGTTGTGTGTGTTCAACTCACAGAGTTGAACTTTCATTTACACAGAGCAGATTTGAAACACTCTTTTTGTGGAATTTGCAAGTGGAGATTTCAAGCGCTTTGAGGCCAAAGGCAGAAAAGGAAATATCTTCTTTTGAAAACTAGACAGAATCATTCTCAGAAACTGCTCTGCGATGTGTGCGTTCAACTCTCAGAGTTTAACTTTTCTTTTCATTCAGCAGTTTGGAAACACTCTGTTTGTAAAGTCTGCACGTGGATATTTTGACCACTTAGAGGCCTTCGTTGGAAACGGGTTTTTTTCCTGTAAGGCTAGACAGAAGAATTCCCAGTAACTTCCTTGTGTTGTGTGCATTCAACTCACAGAGTTGAACGTTCCCTTAGACAGAGCAGATTTGAAACACTCTATTTGTGCAATTTGCAAGTGTAGATTTCAAGCGCATTAAGGTCAATGGCAGAAAAGGAAATATCTTCGTTTCAAAATTAGACAGAATCATTCCCACAAACTGCGTTGTGATGTGTTCGTTCAACTCACAGAGTTTTACCTTTCTGTTCATAGAGCAGTTAGGAAACACTCTGTAAAGTCTGTAAGTGGATATTCTGACATCTTGTGGCCTTCGTTGGAAACGGGATTTCTTCATATTCTGCTAGACAGAAGAATTCCCAGTAACTTCCTTGTGTTGTGTGTGTTCAACTCACAGAGTTGAACTTTCATTTACACAGAGCAGATTTGAAACACTCTTTTTGTGCAATTGGCAAGTGGTGATTTCAGCCGCTTTGAGGTCAATGGTAGAAAAGGAAATATCTTCGTATAAAAACTAGACAGAATGATTCTCAGAAACTCCTTTGTGATGTGTGCGTTCAACTCACAGAGTTTAACCTTTCTTTTCATAGAGCAGTTAGGAAACACTCTGTTTGTAAAGTCTGCAAGTGGATATTCAGACCTCTTTGAGGCCTTCGTTGGAAACGGGTTTTATTCATATAAGGCTAGACAGAAGAATTCCCAGTAACTTCCTTGTGTTGTGTGTGTTCAACTCACAGAGTTGAACTTTCATTTACACAGAGCAGATTTGAAACACTCTTTTTGTGGAATTTGCAGGTGGAGATTTCAAGCGCTTTGAGGCCAAAGGCAGAGAAGGAAATATCTTCGTATAAAACCTAGACAGAATCATTCTCAGAAACTGCTGCGTGATGTGTGCGTTCAACTCTCAGAGTTTAACTTTTCTTTTCATTCAGCGGTTTGGAAACACTCTGTTTGTAAAGTCTGCACGTGGATATTTTGACCACTTAGAGGCCTTCGTTGGAAACGGGTTTTTTTTCATGTAAGGCTAGACAGAAGAATTCTCAGTAACTTCCTTGTGTTGTGTGTATTCAACTCACAGAGTTGCACGATCCTTTACACAGAGCAGACTTGAAACACTCTTTTTGTGGAATTTGCAAGTGGAGATTTCAGCCACTTTGAGGTCAATGGTAGAATAGGAAATATCTTCCTATAGAAACTAGACAGAATGATTCTCAGAAACTCCTTTGTGATGTGTGCGTTCAACTCACAGAATTTAACATTTCTTTTCATAGAGCAGTTAGGAAACACTCTGTTTGTAAAGTCTGTAAGTGGATATTCAGACCTCTTTGAGGCCTTCGTTGGAAACGGGATTTCTTCGTATTCTGCTAGACAGAAGAATTCTCAGTAACTTCCTTGTGTTGTGTGTATTCAACTCACAGAGTTGAACGATCCTTTACAGAGAGCAGACTTGAAACACTCTTTTTGTGGAATTTGCAAGTGGAGATTTCAGCCGCTTTGAGGTCAATGGTAGAATAGGAAATATCTTCGTAGAAAAACTAGACAGAATGATTCTCAGAAACTCCCTTGTGATGTGTGCGTTCAACTCACAGAGTTTAACCTTTCTTTTCATAGAGCAGTTAGGAAACACTCTGTTTGTAAAGTCTGCAAGTGGATATTCAGACCTCCTTGAGGCCTTCGTTGGAAACGGGATTTCTTCATATTATGCTAGACAGAAGAATTCTCAGTACCTTCCTTGTGTTGTGTGTATTCAACTCACAGAGTTGAACGATCCTTTACACAGAGCATACTTGAAACACTCTTGTTGTGGAATTTGCAAGTGGAGATTTCAGCCGCTTTGAGGTCAATGGTAGAATAGGAAATATCTTCCTATAGAAACTAGACAGAATGATTCTCAGAAACTCCTTTGTGATGTGTGCGTTGAACTCACAGGGTTTAACCTTTCTTTTCATAGAGCAGTTAGGAAACACTCTCTTTGTAAAGTCTGGAAGTGGATATTCAGACCTCCTTGAGGCCTTCGTTGGAAACGGGATTTCTTCATATTATGCTAGACAGAAGAATTCCCAGTAACTTCCTTGTGTTGTGTACATTCAACTCACGGAGTTGAACGTTCCCTTAGACAGAGCAGATTTGAAACACTCTTTTTGTGCAATTGGCAAATGGAGATTTCAAGCGCTTTAAGGTCAATGGCAGAAAAGGAAATATCTTCGTTTCAAAACTAGACAGAATCATTCCCACAAACTGCGTTGTGATGTGTTCGTTCAACTCACAGAGTTTAACCTTTCTTTTCATAGAACAGTTAGGAAACAGTCTGTTTGTAAATTCTGTAAGTGGATATTCTGATATCTTTTGGCCTTCGTTGGAAACGGGATTTCTTCATATTCTGCTAGACAGAAGAATTCTCAGTAACTTCCTTGTGTTGTGTGTATTCAACTCACAGAGTTGAACGATCCTTTACACAGAGCAGACTTGAAACACTCTTTTTGTGGAATTTGCAAGTGGAGATTTCAGCCGCTTTGAGGTCAATGGTAGAAAAGGAAATATCTTCGTATAAAGACTAGACAGAATGATTCTGAGAAACTCCTTTCTGATGTGTGCGTTCAACTCACAGAGTTTAACCTTTCTTTTCATAGAGCAGTTAGGAAACACTCTGTTTGTAAAGTCTGCAAGTGGATATTCAGACCTCCTTGAGGCCTTCGTTGGAAACGGGATTTCTTCATATTATGCTAGACAGAAGAATTCCCAGTAACTTCCTTGTGTTGTGTGTGTTCATCTCACAGAGTTGAACTTTCATTTACACAGAGCAGATTTGAAACACTCTTTTTGTGGAATTTGCAGGTGGAGATTTCAAGCGCTTTGAGGCCAAAGGCAGAAAAGGAAATATCTTCGTATAAAAACTAGACAGAATCATTCTCAGAAACTGCTCTGCGATGTGTGCGTTCAACTCTCAGAGTTTAACTTTTCTTTTCATTCAGCAGTTTGGAAACACTCTGTTTGTAAAGTCTGCACGTGGATATTTTGACCACTTAGAGGCCTTCGTTGGAAACGGGTTTTTTTCCTGTAAGGCTAGACAGAAGAATTCCCAGTAACTTCCTTGTGTTGTGTACATTCAACTCACAGAGTTGAACGTTTCCTTAGACAGAGCAGATTTGAAACACTCTTTTTGTGCAATTGGCAAGTGGAGATTTCAAGCGCTTTGAGGTCAATGGCAGAAAAGGAAATATCTTCGTTTCAAAACTAGACAAAATCATTCCCACAAACTGCGTTCTGATGTGTTCGTTCAACTCACAGAGTTTAACCTTTCTGTTCATAGAGCAGTTAGGAAACACTCTGTTTGTAAAGTCTGTAAGTGGATATTCTGACATCTTGTGGCCTTCGTTGGAAACGGGATTTCTTCATATTCTGCTAGACAGAAGAATTCTCAGTAACTTCCGCGTGTTGTGTGTATTCAACTCACAGAGCTGAACGATCCTTTACACAGAGTAGACTTGAAACACTCTTTTTGTGGAATTTGCAAGTGGAGATTTCAGCCGCTTTGAGGTCAATGGTAGAAAAGGAAATATCTTCCTATAAAAACTAGACAGAATGATTCTCAGAAACTCCTTTGTGATGTGTGCGTTCAACTCACAGAGTTTAACCTTTCTTTTCATAGCGCAGTTGGGAAACACACTGTTTGTAAAGTCTGCAAGTGGATATTCAGACATCCTTGAGGCTTTCGTTGGAAACGGGATTTCTTCATATTCTGCTAGAAAGAAGAATTCTCAGTAACTTCCTTGTGTTGTGTGTATTCAACTCACAGAGTTGAACGATCCTTTACAGAGAGCAGACTTGAAACACTCTTTTTGTGGAATTTGCAAGTGGAGATTTCAGCCGCTTTTCTGGTCAATGGTAGAATAGGAAATATCTTCCAATAGAAACTAGACAGAATGATTCTCAGAAACTCCTTTGTGATGTGTGCGTTCAACTCACAGAGTTTAACTTTTCTTTTCATAGAGCAGTAAGGAAACACTCTGTTTGTAAAGTCTGCAAGTGGATATTCAGACCTCTTTGAGGCCTTCGTTGGAAACGGGATTTCTTCATATTCTGCTAGACAGAAGAATTCCCAGTAACTTCCTTGTGTTGTGTGCATTCAACTCACAGAGTTGAACGTTCCCTTAGACAGAGAAGATTTGAAACACTCTATTTGTGCAATTTGCAAGTGTAGATTTCAAGCGCTTTAAGGTCAACGGCAGAAAAGGAAATATCTTCGTTTCAAAACCAGACAGAATCATTCCCACAAACTGCGTTGTGATGGGTTCGTTCAACTCACAGAGTTTAACCTTTCCGTTCATAGAGCAGTTAGGAAACACACTGTTTGTAAAGTCTGTAAGTGGATATTCTGACATCTTGTGGCCCTCGTTGGAAACGGGATTTCTTCATATTCTGCTAGACAGAAGAATTCTCAGAATCTTCCTTGTGTTGTGTGTATTCAACTCACAGAGTTGAACGATCCTTTACACAGAGCAGACTTGAAACACTCTTTTTGTGGAATTTGCAAGTGGAGATTTCAGCCGCTTTGAGGTCCCATGGTAGAAAAGGAAATATCTTCGTATAAAAACTAGACAGAATGATTCTCAGAAACTTCTTTGTGATGTGTGTGTTCAACTGACAGAGTTTAACCTTTCTTTTCATAGAGCAGTTAGGAAACACTCTGTTTGTAAACTCTGCAAGTGGATATTCAGACCTCTTTGAGGCCTTCGTTGGAAACGGGTTTTGTTCATATAAGGCTAGACAGAATAATTCTCAGTAACTTCCTTGTGTTGTGTTTATTCAACTCACAGAGTTGAATGATCCTTTACAGAGAGCAGACTTGAAACACTCTTTTTGTGGAATTTGCAAGTGGAGATTTCAGCCGCTTTGAGGTCAATGGTAGAAAAGTAAATATCTTCGTATAAAGACTAGACAGAATCATTCTCAGAAACTGCTCTGCGATGTGTGCGTTCAACTCTCAGAGTTTAACTTTTCTTTTCATTCAGCAGTTTGGAAACACTCTGTTTGTAAAGTCTGCACGTGGATAATTTGACCACTTAGAGGCCTTCGTTGGAAACGGGTTTTTTTCATGTAAGGCTAGACAGAAGAATTCCCAGTAACTTCATTGTGTTGTGTACATTCTACTCACAGAGTTGAACGTTCCCTTAGACAGAGCAGATTTGAAACACTCTTTTTGTGCAATTGGCAAGTGGTGATTTCAACCGCTTTGAGGTCAATGGTAGAAAGGGAAATATCTTCGTATTAAAACTAGACAGAATCATTCCCACAAACTGCGTTGTGATGTGTTCGTTCAACTCACAGAGTTTAACCTTTCTGTTCATAGAGCAGTTAGGAAAAACTCTGTTTGTAAAGTCTGTAAGTAGATATTCTGACATCTTGTGGCCTTCTTTGGAAACGGGATTTCTTCATATTCTGCTAGACAGAAGAATTCTCAGTAACTTACCTTGTGTTGTGTGTATTCAACTCACAGAGTTGAACGATCCTTTACACAGAGCAGACTTGAAACACTCTTTTTGTGGAATTTTGCAAGTGGAGATTTCAGCCGCTTTGAGGTCAATGGTAGAAAAGGAAACTATCTTCATATAAAGACTAGACAGAATGATTCTCAGGAACTCCTTTGTGATGTGTGAGTTCAACTCACAGAGTTTATCCTTTCTTTTCATAGAGCAGTTAGGAAACACTCTGTTTGTAAAGTCTGCAAGTGGATATTCAGACCTCTTTGAGGCCTTCGTTGGAAACGGGATTTCTTCATATTCTGCTAGACAGAAGAATTCTCAGTAACTTCCTTGTGTTGTGTGTATTCAACTGACAGAGTTGAACTTTCATTTGGAGAGAGCAGATTTGAAACACTGTTTTTGTGGAATTTGCAAGTGGAGATTTCAAGCGCTTTTGGGCCAAAGGCAGAAAAGGAAATATCTTCGTATAAAAACTAGACAGAATCATTCTCAGAAACTGCTCTGCGATGTGTGCGTTCAACTCTCAGAGTTTAACTTTTCTTTTCATTCAGCAGTTTGGAAACACTCTGTTTGTAAAGTCTGCACTTGGATATTTTGACCACTTAGAGGCCTTCGTTGGAAACGGGTTTTTTTCCTGTAAGGCTAGACAGAAGAATTCCCAGTAACTTCCTTGTGTTGTGTGCATTCAACTCACAGAGTTGAACGTTCCCTTAGACAGAGCAGATTTGAAACACTCTATTTGTGCAATTGGCAACTGTAGATTTCAAGCGTTTAAGGTCAATGGCAGAAAAGGAAATATCTTCGTTTCAAAACTAGACAGAATCATTCCCACAAACTGCGTTGTGATGTGTTCGTTCAACTCACAGAGTTTAACCTTTCTGTTCATAGAGCAGTTAGGAAACACTCTGTTTGTAAAGTCTGTAAGTGGATATTCTGACATCTTGTGGCCTTCGTTGGAAACGGGATTTCTTCATATTCTGCTAGACAGAAAGAATTCTCAGTAACTTCCTTGTGTTGTGTGTATTCAACTCACAGTGTTGAACGATCCTTTACACAGAGCATACTTGAAACACTCTTTTTGTGGAATTTGCAAGTGGAGATTTCAGCCGCTTTGATGTCAATGGTAGAAAAGGAAATAACTTCGTATAAAGACTAGACAGATGATTCTCAGAAACTCCTTTGTGATGTGTGCGTTCAACTCACAGAGTTTAACCTTTCTTTTCATAGAGCAGTTAGGAAACACTCTGTTTGTAAAAGTCTGCAAGTGGATATTCAGACCTCTTTGAGGCCTTCGTTGGAAACGGGTTTTTTTCATATAAGGCTAGACAGAAGAATTCTCAGTAACTTCCTTGTGTTGTGTGTATTCAGCTGACAGAGTTGAACTTTCATTTAGAGAGAGCAGATTTGAAACACTGTTTTTGTGGAATTTGCAAGTGGAGATTTCAAGCGCTTTGGGGCCAAAGGCAGAAAAGGAAATATCTTCGTATAAAAACTAGACAGAATCATTCTCAGAAACTGCTCTGCTGATGTGTGCGTTCAACTCTCAGAGTTTAACTTTTCTTTTCATTCAGCAGTTTGGAAACACTCTGTTTGTAAAGTCTGCACGTGGATATTTTGACCATTTAGAGGCTTTCGTTGGAAACGGGTTTTTTTCTTGTAAGGCTAGACAGAAGAATTCCCAGTAACTTCCTTGTGTTGTGTGCAATCAAATCACAGAGTTGAACGTTCCCTTAGACAGAGTAGATTTGAAACACTCTATTTGTGCAATTTGCAAGTGTAGATTTCAAGCGCTTTAAGGTCAAAGGCAGAAAAGGAAATATCTTCGTTTCAAAACTAGACAGAATGATTCTCAGAAACTTCTTTGTGATGTGTGCGTTCAACTCAGAGAGTTTAACATTTCTTTTCATAGAGCAGTTAGGAAACACTCTGTTTGTAAACTCTGCAAGTGGATATTCAGACCTCTTCGAGGTCTTCGTTGGAAACGGGATTTCTTCATACTGTGCTAGACAGAAGAATTCTCAGTAACTTCCTTGTGTTGTGTGTATTCAACTCACAGAGTTGAACGATCCTTTACACAGAGCAGACTTGGAACACTCTTTTTGTGGAATTTGCAAGTGGAGATTTCAGCCGCGTTGAGGTCAATGGTAGAAAAGGAAATATCTTCGTATAAAAACTAGACAGAATGATTCTCAGAAACTCCTTTGTGATGTGTGCGTTCAACTCACAGAGTTTAACCTTTCTGTTCATAGAGCAGTTAGGAAACACTCTGTTTGTAAAGTCTGCAAGTGGATATTCAGATCCTCCTTGAGGCCTTCGTTGGAAACGGGATTTCTTCATATTCTGCTAGACAGAAGAATTCTCAGTAACTTCCTTGTGTTGTGTGTATTCAACTGACAGAGTTGAACTTTCATTTAGAGAGAGCAGATTTGAAACACTGTTTTTGTGGAATTTGCAAGTGGAGATTTCAAGCGCTTTGGGCCCAAAGGCAGAAAAGGAAATATCTTCGTATAAAAACTAGACAGAATCATTCTCAGAAACTGCTCTGCGATGTGTGCGTTCAACTCTCAGAGTTTAACTTTTCTTTTCATTCAGCAGTTTGGAAACACTCTGTTTGTAAAGTCTGCACGTGGATATTTTGACCACTTAGAGGCCTTCGTTGGAAACGGGTTTTTTTCCTGTAAGGCTAGACAGAAGAATTCCCAGTAACTTCCTTGTGTTGTGTACATTCAACTCACAGAGTTGAACCGTTCCCTTAGACAGAGCAGATTTGAAACACTCTTTTTGTGCAATTGGCAAGTGGAGATTTCAAGCGCTTTGAGGTCAATGGCAGAAAAGGAAATATCTTCGTTTCAAAACTAGACAGAATGATTCTCAGAAACTCCTTTGTGATGTGTGCGTTCAACTCACAGAGTTTAACCTTTCTTTTCATAGAGCAGTTAGGAAACACTCTGTTTGTAAAGTCTGCAAGTGGATATTCAGACATCTTTGAGGCTTTCGTTGGAAACGGGATTTCTTCATATTCTGTTAGACAGAAGAATTCTCAGAAACTTCGTTGTGTTGTGTGTTTTCAACTCACAGAGTTCAACGATCCTTTACACAGAGTAGATTTGAAACACTCTTTTTGTGGAATTGGCAGGGTGGAGATTTCAGCCGCTTTGAGGTCAATGGTAGAAAAGGAAATATCTTCGTATAAAAACTAGACAGAGTGATTCTCAGAAACTCCTTTGTGATGTCTGCGTTTAACTCACAGAGTTTAACCTTTCTTTTCATAGAGCAGTTAGGAAACACTCTGTTTGTAAAGTGTGCAAGTGGATATTCAGACCTCCTTGAGGCCTTCGTTGGAAACGGGATTTCTTCATATTCTGCTATACAGAAGAATTCCCAGTAACTTCCTTGTGTTGTGTGTGTTCAACTCACAGAGTTGAACTTTCATTTACACAGAGCAGATTTGAAACACTCTTTTTGTGGAATTTGCAAATGGAGATTTCAAGCGCTTTGAGGCCAAAGGCAGAAAAGGAAATATCTTCGTATAAAAACTAGACAGAATCATTCTCAGAAACTGCTCTGCGATGTGTGCGTTCAACTCTCAGAGTTTAACTTTTCTTTTCATTTAGCAGTTTGGAAACACTCTGTTTGTAAAGTCTGCACGTGGATATTTTGACCACTTAGAGGCCTACGTTGGAAACGGGTTTTTTTCCTGTAAGGCTAGACAGAAGAATTCCCAGTAACTTCCTTGTGTTGTGTACATTCAACTCACAGAGTTGAACGTTCCCTTAGACAGAGCAGATTTGAAACACTCTTTTTGTGCAATTGGCAAATGGAGATTTCAAGCGCTTTAAGGTCAATGGCAGAAAAGGAAATATCTTCGTTTCAAAACTAGACAGAATCATTCCCACAAACTGCGTTGTGATGTGTTCGTTCAACTCACAGCAGTTTAACCTTTCTGTTCATAGAGCAGTTAGGAAACACTCTGTTTGTAAAGTCTGTAAGTGCATATTCTGACATCTTGTGGCCTTCGTTGGAAACGGGATTTCTTCATATTCTGCTAGACAGAAGAATTCTCAGTAACTTCCTTGTGTTGTGTGTATTCAACTCACAGAGTTGAACGATCCTTTACACAGAGCAGACTTGAAACACTCTTTTTGTGGAATTTGCAAGTGGAGATTTCAGCCGCTTTGATGTCAATGGTAGAAAAGGAAATATCTTCGTATAAAGACTAGACAGAATGATTCTCAGAAACTCTTTTGTGATGTGTGCGTTCAACTCACAGAGTTTAACCTTTCTTTTCATAGAGCAGTTAGGAAACACTCTGTTTGTAAAGTCTGCAAGTGGATATTCAGACCTCTTTGAGGCCTTCGTTGGAAACGGGATTTCTTCATATTCTGCTAGACAGAAGAATTCTCAGTAACTACCTTGTGTTGTGTGTATTCACCTGACAGAGTTGAACATTCATTTAGAGAGAGCAGATTTGAAACACTGTTTTTGTGGAATTTGCAAGTGGAGATTTCAAGAGGTTTGGGGCCAAAGGCAGAAAAGGAAATATCTTCGTATAAAAACTAGACAGAATCATTCTCAGAAACTGCTCTGCGATGTGTGCGTTCAACTCTCAGAGTTTAACTTTTCTTTTCATTCAGCAGTTTGGAAACACTCTGTTTGTAAAGTCTGCACGTGGATATTTTGACCACTTAGAGGCCTTCGTTGGAAACGGGCTTTTTCCTGTAAGGCTAGACAGAAGAATTCCCAGTAACTTCCTTGTGTTGTGTACATTCAACTCACAGAGTTGAACGTTCCCTTAGACAGAGCAGATTTGAAACACTCTTTTTGTGCAATTGGCAAATGGAGATTTCAAGCGCTTTAAGGTCAATGGCAGAAAAGGAAATATCATCGTTTCAAAACTAGACAGAATGATTCTCAGAAACTCCTTTGGGATGTGCGCGTTCAACTCACAGAGTTTAACCTTTCTTTTCATAGAGCAGTTAGGAAACACTCTGTTTGTAAAGTCTGCAAGTGGATATTCAGACATCCTTGAGGCTTTCGTTGGAAACGGGATTTCTTCATATTCTGCTAGAAAGAAGAATTCTCAGTAACTTCCTTGTGTTGTGTGTATTCAACTCACAGAGTTGAACGATCCTTTACACAGAGCAGACTTGAAACACTCTTTTTGTGTAATTTGCAAGTGGAGATTTCAGCCGCTTTGAGTTCAATGGTAGAATAGGAAATATCTTCCTATAGAAACTAGACAGAATGATTCTCAGAAACTCCTTTGTGATGTGTGCGTTCAACTCACAGAGTTCAACCTTTCTTTTCATAGAGCAGTTGGGAAACACTCTGTTTGTAAAGTCTGCAAGTGGATATTCAGACTTCTTTGAGGCCTTCGTTGGAAGCGGGATTTCTTCATGTTCTGCTAGAGAGAAGAATTCTCAGAAACTTCCTTGTGTTGTGTGTTTTCAACTCACAGAGTTGAACGATCCTTTACACAGAGCAGACTTGAAACACTCTTTTTGTGGAATTTGCAAGTGGAGATTTCAGCCTCTTTGAGGTCAATGGTAGAATAGGAAATATCTTCCTATAGAAACTAGACAGAATCATTCTCAGAAACTGCTCTGCGATGTGTGCGTTCAACTCTCAGAGTTTAACTTTTCTTTTCATTCAGCAGTTTGGAAACACTCTGTTTGTAAAGTCTGCACGTGGATATTTTGACCATTTAGAGGCCTTCGTTGGAAACGGGTTTTTTTCTTGTAAGGCTAGACAGAAGAATTCCCAGTAACTTCCTTGTGTTGTGTGCATTCAACTCACAGAGTTGAACGTTCCCTTAGACAGAGCAGATTTGAAACACTCTATTTGTGCAATTTGCAAGTGTAGATTTCAAGCGCTTTAAGGTCAACGGCAGAAAAGGAAATATCTTCGTTTCAAAACTAGACAGAATCATTCCCACAAACTGCGTTGTGATGTGTTCGTTCAACTCACAGAGTTTAACCTTTCTGTTCATAGAGCAGTTAGGAAACACTCTGTTTGTAAAGTCTGCAAGTGGATATTCAGACCTCCTTGAGGCCTTCGTTGGAAACGGGATTTCCTCATATTCTGCTAGACAGAATAATTGTCAGTAACTTCCTTGTGTTGTGTGTATTCAACTCACAGAGTTGAACGATCCTTTACAGAGAGCACACTTGAAACACTCTTTTTGTGGAATTTGCAAGTGGAGATTTCAGCCGCTTTGAGGTCAATGGTAGAATAGGAAATATCTTCCTATAGAAACTAGACAGAATGATTCTCAGAAAGTCCTTTGTGATGTGTGTGTTCAAATCACAGAGTTTAACCTTTCTTTTCATAGAGCAGTTAGTAAACACTCTGTTTATAAAGTCTGCAAGTGGATAATCAGACCCCTTTGAGGCCTTCGTTGGAAACGGGATTTCCTCATATTATGCTAGACAGAAGAATTCCCAGTAACTTCCTTGTGTTGTGTGTGTTCAACTCACAGAGTTGAACTTTCATTTACACAGAGCAGATTTGAAACACTCTTTTTGTGGAATTTGCAAGTGGAGATGTCAAGCGCTTTGAGGCCAAAGGCAGAAAAGGAAATATCTTCGTAAAAAAACTAGACAGAATCATTCTCAGAAACTGCTCTGCGATGTGTGCGTTCAACTCTCAGACTTTAACTTTTCTTTTCATTCAGCAGTTTGGAAACACTCTGTTTGTAAAGTCTGCACGTGGATAATTTGACAACTTAGAGGCCTTCGTTGGAAACGGGTTTTTTCATGTAAGGCTAGACAGAAGAATTCCCAGTAACTTCCTTGTGTTGTGTACATTCAACTCACAGAGTTGAACGTTCCGTTAGACAGAGCAGATTTGAAACACTCTTTTTGTGCAATTGGCAAATGGAGATTTCAAGCGCTTTAAGTTCAATGGCAGAAAAGGAAATATCTTCGTTTCAAAACTAGACAGAATCATTGCCACAAACTGCGTTGTGATGTGTTCGTTCAACTCACAGAGTTTAACCTTTCTTTTCATAGAGCAGTTAGGAAACAGTCTGTTTGTAAATTCTGTAAGTGGATATTCTGACATCTTGTGACCTTCGTTGGAAACGGGATTTCTTCATATTCTGCTAGACAGAAGATTTCTCAGAAATTTCCTTGTGTTGTGTGTATTCAACTCACAGAGTTGAACGATCCTTTACTCAGAGAAGACTTGAAACACTCCTTCTGTGGAATTTGCAAGTTGAGATTTCAGCCGCTTTGAGGTCAATGGTAGAATAGGAAATATCTTCCTATAGAAACTAGACAGAATGATTCTCAGAAACTCCTTTGTGATGTGTGCGTTCAACTCACAGAGTTTAACCTTTCTTTTCATAGAGCAGTTAGGAAACACTCTGTTTGTAAAGTCTGCAATTGGATATTCAGACCTCTTTGAGGCCTTCGTTGGAAACGGGATTTCTTCATATTATGCTAGACAGAAGAATTCTCAGTAACTTCCTTGTGTTGTGTGTATTCAACTCACAGAGTTGGACTATCCTTTACACAGAGCAGACTTGAAACACTCTTTTTGTGGAATTTGCAAGTGGAGATTTCTGCCGCTTTGAGGTCAATGGTAGAAAAGGAAATATCTTCGTATAAAAACTAGAGAGAATCATTCTCAGAAACTGCTCTGTGATGTGTGCGTTCAACTCTCAGAGTTTAACTTTTCTTTTCATTCAGCAGTTTGGAAACACTCTGTTTGTAAAGTCTGCACGTGGATATTTTGACCATTTAGAGGCCTTCGTTGGAAACGGGTTTTTTTCTTGTAAGGCTAGACAGAAGAATTCCCAGTAACTTCCTTGTGTTGTGTACATTCAACTCACAGAGTTGAACGTTCCCTTAGACAGAGCAGATTTGAAACACTCTTTTTGTGCAATTGGCAAGTGGTGATTTCAGCTGCTTTGAGGTCAATGGTAGAAAAGGGAATATCTTCGTATAAAAACTAGACAGAATCATTCCCACAAACTGCGTTGTGATGTGTTCGTTCAACTCACAGAGTTTTACCTTTCTGTTCATAGAGCAGTTAGGAAACACTCTGTAAAGTCTGTAAGTGGATATTCTGACATCTTGTGGCCTTCGCTGGAAACGGGATTTCTTCATATTCTGCTAGACAGAAGAATTCTCAGTAACTTCCTTGTTGTTGTGTGTATTCAACTCACAGAGTTGAACGATCCTTTACACAGAGCAGACTTGTAACACTCTTTTTGTGGAATTTGCAAGTGGAGATTTCAGCCGCTTTGACGTCAAAGGTAGAAAAGGAAATATCTTCCTATAAAAACTAGACAGAATGATTCTCAGAAACTTCCTTGTGATGTGTGCGTTCACCTCACAGAGTTTAACCTTTCTTTTCATAGAGCAGTTAGGAAACACTCTGTAAAGTCTGCAAGTGGATATTCAGACCTCTTTGAGGCCTTCGTTGGAAACGGGTTTTTTTCATATAAGGCTAGACAGAAGAATTCTCAGTAACTTCCTTGTGTTGTGTGTATTCAACTCACAGAGTTGAACGATCCTTTACACAGAGCAGACTTGAAACACTCTTTTTGTGGAGTTTGCAAGTGGAGATTTCAGCCGCTTTGAGGTCAATGGTAGAAAAGGAAATATCTTCGTATAAAAACTAGACAGAATCATTCTCAGAAAATGCTCTGTGATGTGTGCGTTCAACTCTCAGAGTTTAACTTTTCTTTTCATTCAGCAGTTTGGAAACACTCTGTTTGTAAAGTCTGCACGTGGATATTTTGACCACTTAGAGGCCTTCGTTGGAAACGGGTTTTTTTCATGTAAGGGTAGACAGAAGAATTCCCAGTAACTTCCTTGTGTTGTGTGCATTCAACTCACAGAGTTGAACGTTCCCTTAGACAGAGCAGATTTGAAACACTCTATTTGTGCAATTTGCAAGTGTAGATTTCAAGCGCTTTAAGGTCAACGGCAGAAAAGGAAATATCTTCGTTTCAAAACTAGACAGAATCATTCCCACAAACTGCGTTGTGATGTGTTCGTTCAACTCACAGAGTTTAACCTTTCTGTTCATAGAGCAGTTAGGAAACACTCTGTTTGTAAAGTCTGCAAGTAGATATTGAGACCTCCTAGAGGCCTTCGTTGGAAACGGGATTTCTTCATATTCTGCTAGACAGAAGAATTCTCAGTACCTTCCTTGTGTTGTGTGTATTCAACTCACAGAGTTGAACGATCCTTTACACACAGCAGACTTGTAACACTCTTTTTGTGGAATTTGCAAGTGGAGATTTCAGCCGCTTTGAAGTCAAAGGTAGAAAAGGAAATATCTTCCTATAAAAACTAGACAGAGTGATTCTCAGAAACTCCTTTGTGATGTGTGCGTTTAACTCACAGAGTTTAACCTTTCTTTTCATAGAGCAGATAGGAAACACTCTGTTTGTAAAGTCTGCAAGTGGATATTCAGACCTCCTTGAGGCCTTCGTTGGAAACGGGATTTCTTCATATTATGCTAGACAGAAGAATTCCCAGTAACTTCCTTGTGTTGTGTGTGTTCAACTCACAGAGTTGAACTTTCATTTACACAGAGCAGATTTGAAACACTCTTTTTGTGGAATTTGCAGGTGGAGATTTCAAGCGCTTTGAGACCAAAGGCAGAAAAGGAAATATCTTCGTATAAAAACTAGACAGAATCATTCTCAGAAACTGCTCTGCGATGTGTGCGTTCAACTCTCAGAGTTTAACTTTTCTTTTCATTCAGCAGTTTGGAAACACTCAGTTTGTAAACTCTGCAAGTGGATATTCAGACCTCTTTGAGGCCTTCGTTGGAAACGGGATTTCTTCATACTATGCTAGACAGAAGAATTCCCAGTAACTTCCTTGCGTTGTGTACATTCAACTCACAGAGTTGAACGTTCCCTTAGACAGAGCAGATTTGAAACACTCTTTTTGTGCAATTGGCAAGTGGAGATTTGAAGCGCTTTGAGGTCAATGGCAGAAAAGGAATTATCTTCGTTTCAAAACTAGACAGAATGATTCTCAGAAAATCTTTTGTGATGTGTGCGTTCAACTCACAGAGTTTAACTTTTCTTCTCATAGAGCAGTTAGGAAACACTCTGTTTGTAAAGTCTGCAAGTGGATATTCAGACCTGTTTGAGGCCTTCGTTGGATACGGGATTTCTTCATATTATGCTAGACAGAATAATTCTCAGTAACTTCCTTGTGTTGTGTGTATTCAACTCACAGAGTTGAAGGATCCTTTACAGAGAGCAGGCTTGAAACACTCTTTTTGTCGAATTTGCAAGTGGAGATTTCAGCCGCTTTGAGGTCAATGGTAGAATAGGAAATATCTTCTTATAGAAACTAGACAAAATGATTCTCAGAAACTTCATTGTGATGTGTGCGTTCAACTCACAGAGTTTAACCTTTCTTTTCATAGAGCAGTTAGGAAACACTCTGTTTGTAAAGTCTGCAAGTGGATATTCAGACCTCTTTGAGGCCTTCGTTGGAAACGGGTTTTTTTCATGTAAGGCTAGACAGAAGAATTCTCAGTAACTTCCTTGTGTTGTGTGTATTCACACTGACAGAGTTGAACTTTCATTTAGAGAGAGCAGTTTTGAAACACTGTTTTTGTGGAATTTGCAAGTGGAGATTTCAAGCGCTTTGGGGCCAAAGGCAGAAAAGGAAACATCTTCGTATGAAAACTAGACAGAAATCATTCTCAGAAAACTGCTGCGTGATGTGTGCGTTCAACTCTCAGAGTTTAACTTTTCTTTTCATTCAGCGGTTTGGAAACACTCTGTTTGTAAAGACTGCACGTGGATATTTTGACCACTTAGAGGCCTTCGTTGGAAACGGGTTTTTTTCATGTAAGGCTAGACAGAAGAATTCCCAGTAACTTCCTTGTGTTGTGTGCATTCAACTCACAGAGTTGAACGTTCCCTTAGACAGAGCAGATTTGAAACACTCTATTTGTGCAATTTGCAAGTGTAGATTTCAAGCGCTTTAAGGTCAATGGCAGAAAAGGAAATATCTTCGTTTCAAAACTAGACAGAATGATTCTCAGAAACTCCTTTGTGATGTGTGCCTTCAACTCACAGAGTTTAACCTTTCTGTTCATAGAGCAGTTAGGAAACACTCTGTTTGTAAAGTCTGCAAGTGGATATCCGACCTCCTTGAGGCCTTCGTTGGAAACGGGATTTCTTCATATTCTGCTAGACAGAATAATTCTCAGTAACTTCCTTGTGTTGTGTGTATTCAACTCACAGAGTTCAACGATCCTTTACACAGAGCAGACTTGAAACACTGTTTTTGTGGAATTTGCAAGTGGAGATTTCAGCCGCTTTGAGGTCAATGGTAGAAAAGGAAATATCTTCCTATAAAAACTAGACAGAATGATTCTCAGAAACTCCTTTCTGATGTGTGCGTTCAACTCACAGAGTTTAACTTTTCTTTTCATAGAGCAGTTAGGAAACACTCTGTTTGTAAAGTCTGCAAGTGGATATTCAGACCTCTTTGAGGCCTTCGTTGGAAACGGGATTTCTTCATATTATGCTAGACAGAAGAATTCTCAGTAACTTCCTTGTGTTGTGTGTATTCAACTCACAGAGTTGAACTTTCATTTACACAGAGCAGATTTGAAACACTCTTTTTGTGGAATTTGCAAGTGGAGATTTCAAGCGCTTTGAGGCCAAAGGCAGAAAAGGAAATGTCTTCGTTTCAAAACTAGACAGAATCATTCTCAGAAACTGCTCTGCGATGTGTGCGTTCAACTCTCAGAGTTTAACTTTTCTTTTCATTCAGCAGTTTGGAAACACTCTGGTTGTAAAGTCTGCACGTGGATATTTTGACCACTTAGAGGCCTTCGTTGGAAACGGGTTTTTTTCCTGTAAGGCTAGACAGAAGAATTCCCAGTAACTTCCTTGTGTTGTGTACATTCAACTCACAGAGTTGAACGTTCCCTTAGACAGAGCAGATTTGAAACACTCTTTTTGTGCAATTGGCAAATGGAGATTTCAAGCGCTTTAAGGTCAATGGCAGAAAAGGAAATATCTTCGTTTCAAAACTAGACAGAATGATTCTCAGAAACTCCTTTGTGATGTGTGCGTTCAACTCACAGAGTTTAACTTTTCTTTTCATAGAGCAGTTAGGAAACACTCGGTTTGTAAAGTCTGCAAGTGGATATTCAGACCTCTTTGAGGCCTTCGTTGGAAACGGGATTTCTTCATATTATGCTAGACAGAAGAATTCTCAGTAACTTCCTTGTGTTGTGTGTATTCAACTCACAGAGTTGAACGATGCTTTACACAGAGCAGACTTGAAACATTCTTTTTGTGGAATTTGCAAGTGGAGATTTCAGCCGCTTTGAGGTCAATGGTAGAATAGGAAATATCTTCCTATAGAAACTAGACAGAATGATTCTCATAAACTCCTTTGTGATGTGTGCGTTGAACTCACAGAGTTTAACCTTTCTTTTCATGGAGCAGTTAGGAAACACTCTGTTTATAAAGTCTGCAAGTGGATATTCAGACCCCTTTGAGGCCTTCGTTGGAAACGGGATTTCTTCATATTATGCTAGACAGAAGAATTCTCAGTAACTTCCTTGTGTTGTGTGTATTCAACTGACAGAGTTGAACTTTCATTTAGAGAGAGCAGATTTGAAACACTGTTTTTGTGGAATTTGCAAATGGAGATTTCAAGCGCTTTGGGGCCAAAGGCAGAAAAGGAAATGTCTTCGTATAAAAACTAGACAGAATCATTCTCAGAAACTGCTGCGTGATGTGTGCGTTCAACTCTCAGAGTTTAACTTTTCTTTTCATTCAGCGGTTTGGAAACACTCTGTTTGTAAAGTCTGCACGTGGATATTTTGACCACTTAGAGGCCTTCGTTGGAAACTGGTTTTTTGCATGTAAGGCTAGACAGAAGAATTCCCAGTAACTTCCTTGTGTTGTGTGCATTCAACTCACAGAGTTGAACGTTCCCTTAGACAGAGCAGATTTGAAACAGCCTATTTGTGCAATTTGCAAGTGTAGATTTCAAGCGCTTTAAGGTCAACGGCAGAAAAGGAAATATCTTCCTTTCAAAACAAGACAGAATCATTCCCACAAACTGCGTTGTGATGTGTTCGTTCAACTCACAGAGTTTAACCTTTCTGTTCATAGAGCAGTTAGGAAACACTCTGTTTGTAAAGTCTGTAAGTGGATATTCTGACATCTTGTGGCCTTCGTTGGAAACGGGATTTCTTCATATTCTGCTAGACAGAAGAATTCTCAGTAACTTCCTTGTGTTGTGTGTATTCAACTCACAGAGTTGAACGATCCTTTACACAGAGCAGACTTGAAACACTCTTTTCGTGGAATTTGCAAGTGGAGATTTCAGCCGTTTTGAGGTCAATGGTAGAAAAGGAAATATCTTCGTATAAAGACTAGACAGAATGATTCTCAGAAACTCCTTTGTGATGCGTGCGTTCAACTCACAGAGTTTAACCTTTCTTTTCATAGAGCAGTTAGGAAACACTCTGTTTGTAAAGTCTGCAAGTGGATATTCAGACCTCCTTGAGGCCTTCGTTGGAAACGGGATTTCTTCATATTATGCTAGACAGAAGAATTCTCAGTAACTTCCTTCTGTTGTGTTTATTCAACTCACAGAGTTGAATGATCCTTTACACAGAGCAGACTTGAAACACTCTTTTTGTGGAAATTGCAAGTGGAGATTTCAGCCGCTTTGAGGTCAATGGTAGAAAAGTAAATATCTTCGTATAAAGACTAGACATAATCATTCTCAGAAACTGCTGTGTGATGTGTGCGTTCAACTCTCAGAGTTTAACTTTTCTTTTCATTCAGCGGTTTGGAAACACTCTGTTTGTAAAGTCTGCACGTGGAAATTTTGACCACTTAGAGGCCTTCGTTGGAAACGGGTTTTTTTCATGTAAGGCTAGACAGAAGAATTCCCAGTAACTTCCTTGTGTTGTGTACATTCAACTCACAGAGTTGAACGTTCCCTTAGACAGAGCAGATTTGAAACACTCTTTTTGTGCAATTGGCAAGTGGAGATTTCAAGCGCTTTAAGGTCAATGGCAGAAAAGGAAATATCTTCGTTTCAAAACTAGACAGAATCATTCCCACAAACTGCGTTGTGATGTGTTCGTTCAACTCACAGAGTTTAACTTTTCTTCTCATTCAGCAGTTTGGAAACACTCTGTTTGTAAAGTCTGCACGTGGATAATTTGACCACTTAGAGGCCTTCGTTGGAAACGGGTTTTTTTCATGTAAGGCTAGACAGAAGAATTCTCAGTAACTTCCCTTGTGTTGTGTGTATTCAACTCACAGAGTTGAACGATCCTTTACACAGAGCAGACTTGAAACACTCTTTTTGTGGAATTTGCAAGTGGAGATTTCAGCCGCTTTGAGGTCAATAGTCGAAAAGGAAATATCTTCGTAGAAAAACTAGACAAAATGATTCTCAGAAACTCCTTTGTGATGTGTGCGTTCAACTCACAGAGTTTAACCTTTCTTTTCATAGAGCAGTTAGGAAACACTCTGTTTGTAAAGTCTGCAAGTGGATATTCAGACCTCCTTGAGGCCTTCGTTGGAAACGGGATTTCTTCATGTTCTGCTATACAGAAGAATTCTCAGTAACTTCCCTTGTGTTGTGTGTATTCAACTGACAGAGTTGAACTTTCATTTAGAGAGAGCAGATTTGAAACACTGTTTTTGTGGAATTTGCAAGTGGAGATTTCAAGCGCTTTGGGACCAAAGGCAGAAAAGGAAATATCTTCGTATAAAAACTAGACAGAATCATTCTCAGAAACTGCTCTGCGATGTGTGCGTTCAACTCTCAGAGTATAACTTTTCTTTTCATTCAGCAGTTTGGAAACACTCTGTTTGTAAAGTCTGCACGTGGATAATTTGACCACTTAGAGGCCTTCGTTGGAAACGGGTTTTTTTCATGTAAGGCTAGACAGAAGAATTCCCAGTAACTTCCTTGTTGTTGTGTGCATTCAACTCACAGAGTTGAACGTTCCCTTAGACAGAGCAGATTTGAAACACTCTATTTGTGCAATTTGCAAGTGTAGATTTCAAGCGCTTTAAGGTCAATGGCAGAAAAGGAAATTTCTTCGTTTTAAAACTAGACAGAATTATTCTCAGAAACTCCTTTGTGATGTGTGCGTTCAACTCACAGAGTTCAACCTTTCTTTTCATAGAGCAGTTGGGAAACACTCTGTTTGAAAAGTCTGCAAGTGGATATTCAGACTTCTTTGAGGCCTTCGTTGGAAGCGGGATTTCTTCATGTTCTGCTAGAGAGAAGAATTCTCAGAAACTTCCTTGTGTTGTGTGTTTTCAACTCACAGAGTTGAACGATGCTTTACACAGAGTAGACTTGAAACAATCTTTTTGTGTAATTTGCAAGAGGAGATTTCAGCCGCTTTGAGGTCAATGGTAGAAAAGGAAATATCTTCGTATAAAAACTAGACAGAATGATTCTCAGAAACTCCTTTGTGATGTGTGCGTTCAACTCACAGAGTTTAACCTTTCTTTTCATAGAGCAGTTAGGAAACACTCTGTTTGTAAAGTCTGCAAGTGGATATTCAGACCTCCTTGAGGCCTTCGTTGGAAACGGGATTTCTTCATATTATGCTAGACAGAAGAATTCTCAGAAACTTCCTTGTGTTGTGTGTATTGAACTCACAGAGTTGAATGATCCTTTACTCAGAGCAGACTTGAAACACTCCTTTTGTGGAATTTGCAAGTGGAGATTTCAGCCGCTTTGAGGTCAATGGTAGAATAGGAATTATCTTCCTATAGAAACTAGACAGAATCATTCTCAGAAACTGCTGCGTGATGTGTGCGTTCAACTCTCAGAGTTTAACTTTTCTTTTCATTCAGCGGTTTGGAAACACTCTGTTTGTAAAGTCTGCACGTGGAAATTTTGACCACTTAGAGGCCTTCGTTGGAAACGGTTTTTTTTCATGTAAGGCTAGACAGAAGAATTCCCAGTAACTTCCTTGTGTTGTGTACATTCAACTCACAGAGTTGAACGTTCCCTTAGACAGAGCAGATTTGAAACACTCTTTTTGTGCAATTGGCAAATGGAGATTTCAAGCGCTTTAAGTTCAATGGCAGAAAAGGAAATATCTTCGTTTCAAAACTAGACAGAATGATTCTCAGAAACTCCTTTGTGATGTGTGCGTTCAACTCACAGAGTTTAACCTTTCTTTTCGTAGAGCAGTTAGGAAACACTCTGTTTGTAAAGTCTGCAAGTGGATATTCAGACCTCTTTGAGGCCTTCGTTGGAAACGGGATTTCTTCATATTCTGCTAGACAGAAGAATTCTCAGAAACTTCCTTGTGTTGTGTGCATTCAACTCACAGAGTTGAACGATCCGTTACACAGTGCAGACTTGAAACACTCTTTTTGTGGAATTTGCAAGGGGAGATTTCAGCCGCTTTGAGGTCAATGGTAGTAAAGGAAATATCTTCGTATAAAAACTAGACAGAATGATTCTCAGAATCTCCTTTGTGATGTGTGCGTTCAACTCACAGAGTTTAACCTTTCTTTTCATAGAGCAGTTAGGAAACACTCTGTTTGTAAAGTCTGCAAGTGGATATTCAGACCTCTTTGAGGCCTTCGTTGGAAACGGGTTTTTTACATATAAGGCTAAACAGAAGAATTCCCAGTAACTTCCTTGTGTTGTGTGTGTTCAACTCACAGAGTTGAACTTTGATTTACACAGAGCAGATTTGAAACACTCTTTTTGTGGAATTTGCAAGTGGAGATTTCAAGCGCTTTGAGGCCAAAGGCAGAAAAGGAAATATCTTCGTATAAAAACTTGTCAGAATCATTCTCAGAAACTGCTCTGCAATGTGCGCGTTCAACTCTCAGAGTTTAACTTTTCTTTTCATTCAGCAGTTTGGAAACACTCTGTTTGTAAAGTCTGCACGTGGATATTTTGACCACTTAGAGGCCTTCGTTGGAAACGGGTTTTTTTCCTGTAAGGCTAGACAGAAGAATTCCCAGTAACTTCCTTGTGTTGTGTACATTCAACTCACAGAGTTGAACGTTCCCTTACACAGAGCAGATTTGAAACACTCTTTTTGTGCACTTGGCAAGTGGAGATTTCAAGCGCTTTAAGGTCAATGGCAGAAAAGGAAATATCTTCGTTTCAAAACTAGACAGAATCATTCTCAGAAACTGCTCTGCGATGTGTGCGTTCAACTCTCAGAGTTTAACTTTTCTTTTCATTCAGCAGTTTGGAAACAATCTGTTTGTAAAGTCTGCACGTGGATAATTTGACCACTTAGAGACCTTCGTTGGAAACGGGTTTTTTTCATGTAAGGCTAGACAGAAGAATTCTCAGAATCTTCCTTGTGTTGTGTGTATTCAACTCACAGAGTTGAACGATCCTTTACACAGAGCAGACTTGAAACACTCTTTTTGTGGAATTTGCAAGTGGAGATTTCAGCCGCTTTGAGGTCCGTGTTAGAAAAGGAAATATCTTCGTACAAAAACTAGACAGAATGATTCTCAGAAACTCCTTTGTGATGTGTGCGTTCAACTCACAGAGTTTAAACTTTCTTTACATACAGCAGTTAGGAAACACTCTGTTTGTAAAGTCTGCAAGTGGATATTCAGACCTCTTTGAGGCCTTCGTTGGAAACGGGTTTTTTTCATATAAGGCTAGACAGAAGAATTCCCAGTAACTTCCTTGTGTTGTGTGTGTTCAACTCACAGAGTTGAACTTTCATTTACACAGAGCAGATTTGAAACACTCTTTTTGTGGAATTTGCAAGTGGAGATTTCAAGCGCTTTCAGGCCAAAGGCAGAAAAGGAAATATCTTCGTATAAAAACTAGACAGAATCATTCTCAGAAACTGCTCTGCGATGTGTGCGTTCAACTCTCAGAGTTTAACTTTTCTTTTCATTCAGCAGTTTGGAAACACTCTGTTTGTAAAGTCTGCACGTGGATAATTTGACCACTTAGAGTCCTTCGTTGGAAACGGGTTTTTTTCATGTAAGGCTAGACAGAAGAATTCTCAGTAACTTCCTTGTGTTGTGTGTATTCAACTCACAGAGTTGAACGATCCTTTACACAGAGCAGACTTGTAACACTCTTTTTGTGGAATTTGCAAGTGGAGATTTCAGCCGCTTTGAAGTCAAAGGTAGAAAAGGAAATATATTCCTATAAAAACTAGACAGAATGATTCTCAGAAACTTCTTGGTGATGTGTGCGTTCAACTCACAGAGTTTAACCTTTCTTTTCATAGAGCAGTTAGGAAACAGTCTGTTTGTAAACTCTGCAAGTGGATATTCAGACCTCTTTGAGGCCTTCGTTGGAAACGGGATTTCTTCATACTGTGCTACACAGAAGAATTCTCAGTAACTTCCTTGTGTTGTGTGTATTCAACTCACAGAGTTGAACGATCCTTTACACAGAGCAGACTTGAAACACTCTTTTTGTGGAATTTGCAAGTGGAGATTTCAGCCGCGTTGAGGTCAATGGTAGAAAAGGAAATATCTTCGTATAAAAACTAGACAGAATCATTCTCAGAAACTCCTTTGTGATGTGTGTGTTCAACTCACAGAGTTTAACCTTTCTTTTCATAGAGCAGTTAGTAAACACTCTGTTTATAAAGTCTGCAAGTGGATATTCAGACCCCTTTGAGGCCTTCGTTGGAAACGGGATTTCTTCATATTATGCTAGACAGAAGAATTCCCAGTAACTTCCTTGTGTTGTGTGTGTTCAACTCACAGAGTTGAACTTTCATTTACACAGAGCAGATTTGAAACACTCTTTTTGTGGAATTTGCAAGTGGAGATTTCAAGCCCTTTGAGGCCAAAGGCAGAAAAGGAAATATCTTCGTATAAAAACTAGACAGCATCATTCTCAGAAACTGCTCTGCGATGTGTGCGTTCAACTCTCAGAGTTTAACTTTTCTTTTCATTCAGCAGTTTGGAAACACTCTGTTTGTAAAGTCTGCACGTGGATAACTTGACCACTTAGAGGCCTTCGTTGGAAACGGGTTTTTTTCATGTAAGGCTAGACAGAAGAATTCCCAGTAACTTCCTTGTGTTGTGTACATTCAACTCACAGAGTTGAACGTTCCCTTAGACAGAGCAGATTTGAAACACTCTTTTTGTGCAATTGGCAAATGGAGATTTCAAGCGCTTTAAGGTCAATGGCAGAAAAGGAAATATCTTCGTTTCAAAACTAGACAGAATCATTCCCACAAACTGCGTTGTGATGTGTTCGTTCAACTCACAGAGTTTAACCTTTCTTTTCATAGAGGAGTTAGGAAACAGTCTGTTTGTCAATTCTGTAAGTGGATATTCTGACATCTTGTGGCCTTCGTTGGAAACGGGATTTCTTCATATTCTGCTAGACAGAAGAATTCCCAGTAACTTCCTTGTGTTGTGTGTGTTCAACTCACAGAGTTGAACTTTCATTTACACACAGCAGATTTGAAACACTCTTTTTGTGGAATTTGCAAGTGGAGATTTCAGCCGCGTTGAGGTCAATGGTAGAAAAGGAAATATCTTCGTATAAAAACTAGACAGAATGATTCTGAGAAACTCCTTTGTGATGTGAGCGTTCAACTCACACAGTTTAACCTTTCTTTTCATAGAGCAGTTAGGAAACACTCTGTTTGTAAAGTCTGCAAGTGGATATTCAGACCTCCTTGAGGCCTTCGTTGGAAACGGGATTTCTTCATATTATGCTAGACAGAAGAATTCTCAGTAACTTCCTTGTGTTGTGTGTATTCAACTCACAGAGTTGAACGATCCTTTACACAGAGCAGACTTGAAACACTCCTTTTGTGGAATTTGCAATTGGAGATTTCAGCCGCTTTGAGGTCAATGGTAGAATAGGAAATATCTTCCTATAGAAACTAGACAGAATGATTCTCATAAACTCCTTTCTAATGTGTGCGTTCAACTCACAAAGTTTAACTTTTCTTTTCATAGAGCAGTTAGGAAACACTCTGTTTGTAAAGTCTGCAAGTGGATATTCAGACCTCTTTGAGGCCTTCGTAGGAAACGGGATTTCTTCATATTATGCTAGACAGAAGAATTCCCAGTAACTTCCTTGTGTTTTGTGCATTCAACTCACAGAGTTGAACGTTCCCTTAGACAGAGCAGATTTGAAACACTCTATTTGTGCAATTTGCAAGTGTAGATTTCAAGCGCTTTAAGGTCAATGGCAGAAAAGGAAATATCTTCGTTTCAAAACTAGACAGAATCATTCCCACAAACTGCGTTGTGATGTGTTCGTTCAACTCACAGAATTTAACCTTTCTGTTCATAGAGCAGTTAGGAAACACTCTGTTTGTAAAGTCTGTAAGTGGATATTCTGACATCTTGTGGCCTTCGTTGGAAACGGGATTTCTTCATATTCTGCTAGACAGAATAATTCTCAGTAACTTCCTTGTGTTGTGTGTATTCAACTCACAGAGTTGAACGATCCTTTACACAGAGCAGACTTGAAACACTCTTTTTGTGGAATTTGCAAGTGGAGATTTCAGCCGCTTTGAGGTCAATGGTAGAATAGGAAATATCTTCCTATAGAAACTAGACAGAATGATTCTCAGAAACTTCTTTGTGATGTGTGTGTTCAACTCACAGAGTTTAACCTTTCTTTTCATAGAGTAGTTAGGAAACACTGTGTTTTCAAACTCTGCAAGTGGATATTCAGACCTCTTTGAGGCCTTCGTTGGAAACGGGTTTCTTCATACTGTGCTAGACAGAAGAATTCCCAGTAACTTCCTTGTGTTGTGTGTGTTCAACTCACAGAGTTGAACTTTCATTTACCCAGAGCAGATTTGAAACACTCTTTTTGTGGAATTTGCAAGTGGAGATTTCAAGCGCTTTGAGGCCAAAGGCAGAAAAGGAAATATCTTCGTTTCAAAACTAGACAGAATCATTCTCAGAAACTGCTCTGCGATGTGTGCGTTCAACTCTCAGAGTTTAACTTTTCTTTTCATTCAACAGTTTGGAAACACTCTGTTTGTAAAGTCTGCACGTGGATATTTTGACCACTTAGAGGCCTTCGTTGGAAACGGGATTTTTTCCTGTAAGGCTAGACAGAAGAATTCCCAGTAACTTCCTTGTGTTGTGTACATTCAACTCACAGAGTTGAACGTTCCCTTAGACAGAGCAGATTTGAAACACTCTTTTTGTGCAATTGGCAAATGGAGATTTCAAGCGCTTTAAGGTCAATGGCAGAAAAGGAAATATCTTCGTTTCAAAACTAGACAGAATCATTCCCACAAACTGCGTTGTGATGTGTTCGTTCAACTCACAGAGTTTAACCTTTCTTTTCATAGAGCAGTTAGGAAACAGTCTGTTTGTAAATTCTGTAAGTGGATATTCTGACATCTTGTGGCCTTCGTTGGAAACGGGATTTCTTCATATTCTGCTAGACAGAAAAAATTCTCAGTAACTTCCTTGTGTTGTGTGTATTCAACTCACAGAGTTGATCGATCCTTTACACAGAGCATACTTGAAACACTCTTCTTGTGGAATCTGCAAGTGGAGATTTCAGCCGCTTTGAGGTCAATGGTAGAATAGGAAATATCTTCCTATAGAAACTAGACAGAATGATTCTCATAAACTCCTTTGTGATGTGTACGTTCAACTCACAGAGTTTAACATTTCTTTTCATAGAGCAGTTAGGAAACACTCTGTTTGTAAAGTCTGCAAGTGGATATTCAGTCCTCCTTGAGGCCTTCGTTGGAAACGGGATTTCTTCATATTCTGCTAGACAGAAGAATTCTCAGTAACTTCCTTGTGTTGTGTGTATTCAACTGACAGAGTTGAACTTTCATTTGGAGAGAGCAGATTTGAAACACTGTTTTTGTGGAATTTGCAAGTGGAGATTTCAAGCGCTTTGGGGCCAAAGGCAGAAAAGGAAATATCTTCGTATAAAAACGAGACAGAATCATTCTCAGAAACTGCTGTGTGATGTGTGCGTTCAACTCTCAGAGTTTAACTTTTCTTTTCATTCAGCGGTTTGGAAACACTCTGTTTGTAAAGTCTGCACGTGGATATTTTGACCACTTAGAGGCCTTCGTTGGAAACGGGTTTTTTTCATGTAAGGCTAGACAGAAGAATTCCCAGTAACTTCCTTGTGTTGTGTGCATTCAACTCACAGAGTTGAACGTTCCCTTAGACAGAGCAGATTTGAAACACTCTATTTGTGCAATTTGCAAGTGTAGATTTCAAGCGCTTTAAGGTCAACGGCAGAAAAGGAAATATCTTCGTTTCAAAACTAGACAGAATTATTCCCACAAACTGCGTTGTGATGTGTTCGTTCAACTCACAGAGTTTAACCTTTCTGTTCATAGAGCAGTTAGGAAACACTCTGTTTGTAAAGTCTGTAAGTGGATATTCTGACATCTTGTGGCCTTCGTTGGAAACGGGATTTCTTCATATTCTGCTAGACAGAAGAATTCTCAGAATCTTCCTTGTGTTGTGTGTATTCAACTCACAGAGTTGAACGATCCTTTACACAGAGCAGACTTGAAACACTCTTTTTGTGGAATTTGCTAGTGGAGATTTCAGCCGCTTTGAGGTCCATGGTAGAAAAGGAAATATCTTCGTATAAAAACTAGACAGAATGATTCTCAGAAACTCCTTTGTGATGTGTGCGTTCAACTCACAGAGTTCAACCTTTCTTTTCATAGAGCAGTTGGGAAACACTCTGTTTGTAAAGTCTGCAAGTGGATATTCAGACTTCTTTGAGGCCTTCGTTGGAAGCGGGATTTCTTCATGTTCTGCTAGACAGAAGAATTCTCAGAAACTTCCTTGTGTTGTGTGTTTTCAACTCACAGAGTTGAACGATCCTTTACACAGAGCAGACTTGAAACACTACTTTTGTGGAATTTGCAAGTGGAGATTTCAGCCGCTTTGAGGTCAATGGTAGAATAGGAAATATCTTCCTATAGAAACTAGACAGAATCATTCTCAGAAACCGCTCTGTGATGTGTGCGTTCAACTCTCAGAGTTTAACTTTTCTTTTCATTCAGCAGTTTGGAAACACTCTGTTTGTAAAGTCTGCACGTGGATATTTTGACCACTTAGAGGCCTTCGTTGGAAACGGGTTTTTTTCATGTAAGGCTAGACAGAAGAATTCCCAGTAACTTCCTTGTGTTGTGTGCATTCACCTCACAGAGCTGAACGTTCCCTTAGACAGAGCAGATTTGAAACACTCTATTTGTGCAATTTGCAAGTGTAGATTTCAAGCGCTTTAAGGTCAATGGCAGAAAAGGAAATATCTTCGTTTCAAAACTAGACAGAATGATTCTCATAAACTCCTTTGTGATGTGTGCGTTCAACTCACAGAGTTTAACTTTTCTTTTCATAGAGCAGTTAGGAAACACTCTGTTTGTAAAGTCTGCAAGTGGATATTCAGACCTCTTTGAGGCCTTCCTTGGAAACGGGATTTCTTCATATTCTGCTAGACAGAAGAATTCTCAGTAACTTCCTTGTGTTGTGTGTATTCAACTCACAGAGTTGAACGATCCTTTACACAGAGCAGACTTGAAACATTCTTTTTGTGGAATTTGCAAGTGGAGATTTCAGCCGCTTTGAGGTCAATGGTAGAATAGGAAATATCTTCCTATAGAAACTAGACAGAATGATTCTCAGAAACTCCTTTGTGATGTGTGCATTCAACTCACAGAGTTTAACCTTTCTTTTCATAGAGCAGTTAGGAAACACTCTGTTTGTAAAGTCTGCAAGTGGATATTCAGACATCCTTGAGGCTTTCGTTGGAAACGGGATTTCTTCATATTCTGCTAGAAAGAAGAATTCTCAGTAACTTCCCTTGTGTTGTGTGTATTCAACTCACAGAGTTGAACAATCCTTTACACAGAGCAGACTTGAAACACTCTTTTTGTGGAATTTGCAAGTGGAGATTTCAGCCACTTTGAGGTCAATGGTAGAATAGGAAATATCTTCCTATAGAAACTAGACAGAATCATTCTCAGAAACTGCTGCTTGATGTGTGCGTTCAACTCTCAGAATTTAACTTTTCTTTTCATTCAGCGGTTTGGAAACACTCTGTTTGTAAAGTCTGCACGTGGAAATTTTGACCACTTAGAGGCCTTCGTTGGAAACGGGTTTTTTTCATGTAAGGCTAGACAGAAGAATTCCCAGTAACTTCCTTGTGTTGTGTGCATTCAACTCACAGAGTTGAACGTTCCCTTAGACAGAGCAGATTTGAAACACTCTATTTGTGTAATTTACAAGTGTAGATTTCAAGCGCATTAAGGTCAATGACAAAAAGGAAATATCTTCGTTTCAAAACTAGACAGAATCATTCCCACAAACTGCGTTGTGATGTGTTCGTTCAACTCACAGAGTTTAACCTTTCTGTTCATAGAGCAGTTAGGAAACACTCTGGTTGTAAAGTTTGCCAGTGGATATTCAGACCTCTTTGAGGTCTTCGTTGGAAACGGGATTTCTTCATATTCTGCTAGACAGAATAATTCTCAGTAACTTCCTTGTGTTGTGTGTATTCAACTCACAGAGTTGAACGATCCTTTACACAGAGCAGACTTGAAACACTCTTTTTGTGGAATTTGTAAGTGGAGATTTCAGCCGCTTTGAGGTCAATGGTAGAATAGGAAATATCTTCCTATAGAAACTAGACAGAATGATTCTCAGAAACTCCTTTGTGATGTGTGCGTTCAACTCACAGAGTTTAACCTTTCTTTTCATAGAGCAGTTAGGAAACACTCTGTTTGTAAAGTCTGCAAGTGGATATTCAGACATCCTTGAGGCCTTCGCTGGAAAAGGGATTTCTTCATATTATGCTAGACAGAAGAATTCCTAGTAACTTCCTTGTGTTGTGTGTGTTCAACTCACAGAGTTGAACTTTCATTTACACAGAGCAGATTTGAAACACTCTTTTTGTGGAATTTGCAAGTGGAGATTTCAAGCGCTTTGAGACCAAAGGCAGAAAAGGATATATCTTCGTATAAAAACTAGACAGAATCATTCTCAGAAAATGCTCTGCGATGTGTGCGTTCAACTCTCAGAGTTTAACTTTTCTTTTCATTCAGCAGTTTGGAAACAATCTGTTTGTAAAGTCTGCACGTGGATAATTTGACCACTTAGAGGCCTTCGTTGGAAACGGGTTTTTTTCATGTAAGGCTAGACACAAGAATTCTCAGTAACTTCCTTGTGTTGTGTGTATTCAACTCACAGAGTTGAACGATCCTTTACACAGAGCAGACTTGAAACACTCTTTTTGTGGAATTTGCAAGTGGAGATTTCAGCCGCTTTGAGGTCAATGCTAGAATAGGAAATATCTTCCTATAGAAACTAGACAGAATGATTCTCAGAAAGTCCTTTGTGATGTGTGCGTTCAACTCACAGAGTTTAACCTTTCTTTTCATAGAGCAGTTAGGAAACACTCTGTGTGTAAAGTCTGCAAGTGGATATTCAGACCTCTTTGAGGCCTTCGTTGGAAACGGGATTTCTTCATATTATGCTAGACAGAATAATTCTCAGTAACTTCCTTGTGTTGTGTGTATTCAACTCACAGAGTTGAACGATCCTTTACAGAGAGCAGACTTGAAACACTCTTTTTGTGGAATTTGCAAGTGGAGATTTCAGCCGCTTTGAGGTCAATGGTACAATAGGAAATATCTTCCTATAGAAAATAGACAGAATGATTCTCAGAAACTCCTTTGTGATGTGTGTGTTCAACCCACAGAGTTTAACCTTTCTTTTCATAGAGCAGTTAGTAAACACTCTGTTTATAAAGTCTGCAAGTGGATATTCAGACCCCTTTGAGGCCTTCGTTGGAAACGGGATTTCTTCATATTATGCTAGACAGAAGAATTCCCAGTAACTTCCTTGTGTTGTGTGTGTTCAACTCACAGAGTTGAACTTTCATTTACACAGAGCAGTTTTGAGACACTCTTTTTGTGGAATTTGCTAATGGAGATTTCAAGCGCTTTGAGGCCAAAGGCAGAAAAGGAAATATCTTCGTATAAAAACTAGACAGAATCATTCTCAGAAACTGCTCTGCGATGTGTGCGTTCAACTCTCAGAGTTTAACTTTTCTTTTCATTCAGCAGTTTGGAAACACTCTGTTTGTAAAGTCTGCACGTGGATAATTTGACCACTTAGAGGCCTTCGTTGGAAACGGGTTTTTTTCATGTAAGGCTAGACAGAAGAATTCTCAGTAACTTCCTTGTGTTGTGTGTATTCAACTGACAGAGTTGAACTTTCATTTAGAGAGAGCAGATTTGAAACACTGTTTTTGTGGAATTTGCAAGTGGAGATTTCAAGCGCTTTAAGGTCAACGGCAGAAAAGGAAATATCTTCGTTTCAAAACTAGACAGAATGATTCTCAGAAACTCCTTTGTGATGTGTGCGTTCAAGTCACAGAGTTCAACCTTTCTTTTCATAGAGCAGTTGGGAAACACTCTGTTTGTAAAGTCTGCAAGTGGATATTCAGACTTCTTTGAGGCCTTCGTTGGAAGCGGGATTTCTTCATATTCTGCTAGACAGAAGAATTCTCAGTAACTGCCTTGTGTTGTGTGTATTCAACTCACAGAGTTGAACGATGCTTTACACAGAGCAGACTTGAAACACTCTTTTTGTGGAATTTGCAAGTGGAGATTTCAGCCGCTTTGAGGTCAATGGTAGAATAGGAAATATCTTCCTATAGAAACTAGACAGAAATGATTCTCAGAAACTCCTTTGTGATGTGTGCGTTCAACTCACAGAGTTTAACCTTTCTTTTCATAGAGCAGTTAGGAAACACTCTGTTTGTAAAGTCTGCAAGTGGATATTCAGACATCCTTGAGGCTTTCGTTGGAAACGGGATTTCTTCATATTCTGCTAGAAAGAGAATTCCCAGTAACTTCCTTGTGTTGTGTGTGTTCAACTCACAGAGTTGAACTTTCATTTACACAGAGCAGATTTCAAACACTCTTTTTGTGGAATTTGCAAATGGAGATTTCAAGCGCTTTGAGGCCAAAGGCAGAAAAGGAAATATCTTCGTTTCAAAACTAGACAGAATCATTCTCAGAAACTGCTCTGTGATGTGTGCGTTCAACTCTCAGAGTTTAACTTTTGTTTTCATTCAGCAGTTTGGAAACAATCTGTTTGTAAAGTCTGCACGTGGATATTTTGACCACTTAGAGGCCTTCGTTGAAAACGGGTTTCTTTCATGTAAGGGGAGACAGAAGAATTCCCAGTAACTTCCTTGCGTTGTGTACATTCAACTCACAGAGTTGAACGTTCCCTTAGACAGAGCAGATTTGAAACACTCTTTTTGTGCAATTGGCAAGTGGAGATTTCAAGCGCTTTAAGGTCAATGGCAGAAAAGGAAATATCTTCGTTTCAAAACTAGACAGAATGATTCTCAGAAACTTCTTTGTGATGTGTGCGTTCAACTCACAGAGTTTAACCTTTCTTTTCATAGAGCAGTTAGGAAACACTCTGTTTGTAAACTCTGCAAGTGGATATTCAGACCTCTTGGAGGCCTTCGTTGGAAACGGGATTTCTTCATACTATGCTAGACAGAAGAATTCTCAGTAACTTCCTTGTGTTGTGTGTATTCAACTCACAGAGTTGAACGATCCTTTACACAGAGCAGACTTGTAACACTCTTTTTGTGGAATTTGCAAGTGGAGATTTCAGCCGCTTTGAAGTCAAAGGTAGAAAAGGAAATATCTTCCTATAAAAACTAGACAGAATGATTCTCAGAAACTCCTTTGTGATGTGTGCGTTCAACTCACAGAGTTTAACCTTTCTTTTCATAGAGCAGTTAGGAAACACTCTGGTTGTAAAGACTACAAGTGGATATTCAGACCTCTTTGAGGCCTTCGTTGGAAACGGGTTTTTTTCCTGTAAGTCTAGACAGAAGAATTCCCAGTAACTTCCTTGTGTTGTGTGTGTTCAACTCACAGAGTTGAACTTTGATTTACACAGAGCAGATTTGAAACACTCTTTTTGTGGAGTTTGCAAGTGGAGATTTCAAGCGCTTTGAGGCCAAAGGCAGAAAAGGAAATATCTTCGTATAAAAACTAGACAGAATCATTCCCACAAACTGCGTTGTGATGTGTGCGTTCAACTCACAGAGTTTAACCTTTCTTTTCATAGAGCCGTTTGTAAACGCTCTGTTTGCCAAGTCTGCAAGTGGATATTCTGACATCTTGTGGACTTCGTTGGAAACGGGATTTCTTCATATTCTGCTAGACAGAAGAATTCTCAGAAACTTCCTTGTGTTCTGTGTATTCAACTCACAGAGTTGAACGATCCTTTACACAGAGCAGATTTGACACACTCTTTTTGTGGAATTTGCAAGTGGAGATTTCAGCCGCTTTGAGGTCCATGGTAGAAAAGGAAATATCTTCGTATAAAAACTAGACAGAATGATTCTCAGAAACTTCTTTGTGATGTGTGCGTTCAACTCACAGAGTTTAACCTTTCTTTTCATAGAGCAGTTAGGAAACACTCTGTTTGTAAATCAGCAAGTGGATATTCAGACCTCTTTGAGGCCTTCGTTGGAAACGGAATTTCTTCATATTATGCTAGACAGAGGAATTCTCAGTAACCTCCTTGTGTTGTGTGTACTCAACTCACAGAGTTGAACGATCCTTTACACAGAGCAGACTAGAATCACTCTTTTTGTGGAATTTGCAAGTGGAGATTTCAGCCGCTTTGAGGTCAATGGTAGAAAAGGAAATATCTTCGTATAAAAACTAGACAGAATGATTCCCAGAAACTCCTTTGTGATGTGTACGTTCAACTCACAGAGTTTAACCTTTCTTTTCATAGAGCAGTTAGGAAACACTCTGTTTGTAAACTCTGCAAGCGGATATTCAGACCGCTTTGAGGCCTTCGTTGGAAACGGGATTTCTTAATATTATGCTAGACAAAAGAATTCCCAGTAACTTCCTTGTGTTGTGTGTGTTCAACTCACAGAGTTGAACTTTCATTTACACAGAGCAGATTTGAAACACTCTTTTTATGGAATTTGCAAATGGAGGTTTCAAGCGCTTTGAGGCCAAAGGCAGAAAAGGAAATATCTTCGTATAAAAACTAGACAGAATCATTCTCAGAAACTGCTGCGTGATGTGTGCGTTCAACTCACAGAGTTTAACTTTTCTTTTCATTCAGCGGTTTGGAAACACTCTGTTTGTAAAGTCTGCACGTGGATATTTTGACCACTTAGAGGCCTTCGTTGGAAACGAGATTTTTTCATGTAAGGCTAGACAGAAGAATTCCCAGTAACTTCCTTGTGTTGTGTGCATTCAACTCACAGAGTTGAACGTTCCCTTAGACAGAGCAGATTTGAAACACTCTATTTGTGCAACTTGCAAGTGTAGATTTCAAGCGCTTTAACCTCAATGGCAGAAAAGGAAATATCTTCGTTTCAAAACTAGACAGAATCATTCCCACAAACTGCTTTGTGATGTGTTCGTTCAACTCACAGAGTTTAACCTTTCTTTTCATAGAGCAGTTAGGAAACAGTCTGTTTGTCAATTCTGTAAGTGGATATTCTGACATCTTGTGGCCTTCGTTGGAAACGGGATTTCTTCATATTCTGCTAGACAGAAGAATTCTTAGAAACTTCCTTGTGTTGTGTGTTTTCAACTCACAGAGTTGAACGATCCTTTACACAGAGCAGACTTGAAACACTCTTTTTGTGGAATTTGCAAGTGGAGATTTCAGCCGCTTTGAGGTCAATGGTAGAATAGGAAATATCTTCCTATAGAAAGTAGACAGAATGATTCTCAGAAACTCCTTTGTGATGTGTGCGTTCAACTCACAGAGTTTAACCTTTCTTTTCATAGAGCAGTTAGGAAACACTCTGTTTGTAAAGTCTGCAAGTGGATATTCAGACCTCCTTGAGGCCTTCTTTGGAAACGGGATTTCTTCCTATTATGCTAGACAGAAGAATTCTCAGTAACTTCCTTGTGTTGTGTGTATTCAACTCACAGAGTTGAACGATCCTTTACACAGAGCAGACTTGAAACACTCTTTTTGTGGAATTTGCAAGTGGAGATTTCAGCCGCTTTGAGGTCAATGGTAGAATAGGAAATATCTTCCTGTAGAAACTAGACAGAATCATTCTCAGAAACTGCTCTGCGATGTGTGCGTTCAGCTCTCAGAGTTTAACTTTTCTTTTCATTCAGCAGTTTGGAAACACTCTGTTTGTAAAGTCTGCACGTGCATAATTTGACCACTTAGAGGCCTTCGTTGGAAACGGGTTTTTTTCATGTAAGGCTAGACAGAAGAATTCCCAGTAACTTCCTTGTGTTGTGTACATTCAACTCACAGAGTTGAACGTTCCCTTAGACAGAGCAGATTTGAAATACTCTTTTTATGCAATTGGCAAGTGGAGATTTCAAGCGCTTTAAGGTCAATGGCAGAAAAGGAAATATCTTCGTTTCAAAACTAGACAGAATCATTCCCACAAACTGCGTTGTGAAGTGCTCGTTCAACTCATAGAGTTTAACCTTTCTGTTCATAGAGCAGTTAGGAAACACTCTGTTTGAAAAGTCTGTAAGTGGATATTCTGACATCTTGTGGCCTTCGTTGGAAACGGGATTTCTTCATATTCTGCTAGAAAGAAGAATTCTCAGTAACTTCCTTGTGTTGTGTGTATTCAACTCACAGAGTTGAACGATCCTTTACACAGAGCAGACTTGAAACACTCTTTTTGTGGAATTTGCAAGTGGAGATTTCAGCCGCTTTGAGGTCAATGGTAGAATAGGAAATATCTTCCTATAGAAACTAGACAGAATGATTCTCAGAAACTCCTTTGTGATGTGTGCGTTCAACTCACAGAGTTTAACCTTTCTTTTCATAGAGCAGTTAGGAAACACTCTGTTTGTACAGTCTGCAAGTGGATATTCAGACCTCCTTGAGGCCTTCGTTGGAAACGGGTTTTTTTCATATAAGGCTAGACAGAAGAATTCCCAGTAACTTCCTTGTGTTGTGTGTGTTCAACTCACAGAGTTGAACTTTCATTTACACAGAGCAGATTTGAAACACTCTTTTTGTGGAATTTGCAAGTGGAGATTTCAAGCGCTTTGAGGCCAAAGGCAGAAAAGGAAATATCTTCGTTTCAAAACTAGACAGAATCATTCTCAGAAACTGCTCTGCGATGTGTGCCTTCAGCTCTCAGAGTTTAACTTTTCTTTTCATTCAGCAGTTTGGAAACACTCTGTTTGTAAAGTCTGCACGTGGATATTTTGACCACTTAGAGGTCTTCGTTGGAAACGGGTTTTTGTCATGTAAGGCTAGACAGAAGAATTCCCAGTAACTTCCTTGTGTTGTGTGCATTCAACTCACAGAGTTGAACTTTCCCTTAGACGGAGCAGATTTGAAACACTCTATTTGTGCAATTTGCAAGTGTAGATTTCAAGCGCTTTAAGGTCAATGGCAGAAAAGGAAATATCTTCGTTTCAAAACTAGAGAGAATCATTCCCACAAACTGCGTTGTGATGTGTTCGTTCAACTCACAGAGTTTAACCTTTCTGTTCATAGAGCAGTTAGGAAACACTCTGTTTGTAAAGTCTGTAAGTGGATATTCTGACATCTTGTGGCCTTCGTTGGAAACGGGATTTCTTCGTATTCTGCTAGACAGAAGAATTCTCAGTAACTTCCTTGTGTTGTGTGTATTCAACTCACAGAGTTGAACGATCCTTTACACAGAGCAGACTTGAAACACTCTTTTTGTGTAATTTGCAAGTGGAGATTTCAGCCGCTTTGAGGTCAATGGTAGAAAAGGAAACTATCTTCATATAAAGACTAGACAGAATGATTCTCAGAAAATCTTTTGTGATGTGTGCGTTCAACTCACAGAGTTTAACTTTTCTTCTCATAGAGCAGTTAGGAAACACTCTGTTTGTAAAGTCTGCAAGTGGATATTCAGACCTCTTTGAGGCCTTCGTTGGAAACGGGATTTCTTCATATTATGCTAGACAGAAGAATTCCCAGTAACTTCCTTGTGTTGTGTGTGTTCAACTCACAGAGTTGAACTTTCATTTACACAGAGCAGATTGGAAACACTCTTTTTGTGGAATTTGCAAGTGGAGATTTCAAGCGCTTTGAGGACAAAGGCAGAAAAGGATATATCTTCGTATAAAAATTAGACAGAAATCATTCTCAGAAACTGCTCTGCGATGTGTGCGTTCAACTCTCAGAGTTTAACTTTTCTTTTCATTCAGCAGTGTGGAAAAACTCTGTTTGTAAAGTCTGCACGTGGATATTCTGACCACTTAGAGGCCTTCGTTGGAAACGGGTTTTTTTCCTGTAAGGCTAGACAGAAGAATTCCCAGTAACTTCCTTGTGTTGTGTACATTCAACTCACAGAGTTGAACGTTCCCTTAGACAGAACAGATTTGAAACACTCTTTTTGTGCAATTGGCAAGTGGTGATTTCAGCCGCTTTGAGGTCAATGGTAGAAAAGGAAATATCTTCGTATAAAAACTAGACAGAATGATTCTCAGAAACTCCTTTGTGATGTGTGCGTTCAACTCACAGAGTTTTACCTTTCTTTTCATAGAGCAGTTAGGAAACACTCTGTTTGTAAAGTCTGCAAGTGGATATTCAGACCTCTTTGAGGCCTTCGTTGGAAACGGGATTTCTTCATATTATGCTAGACGGAAGGATTCTCAGTAACTTCCTTGTGTTGTGTGTATTCAACTCACAGAGTTGAACGATCCTTTACACAGAGCAGACTTGAAACACTCTTTTTGTGGAATTTGCAAGTGGAGATTTCAGCCTCTTTGAGGTCAATGGTAGAAAAGGAGATATCTTCGTATAAAAACTAGACAGAATGATTCTCAGAAACTCCTTTGTGATGTGTGCGTTCAACTCACAGAGTTTAACCTTTCTTTTCATAGAGCAGTTAGGAAACACTCTGTTTGTAAAGTCTGCAAGTGGATATTCAGACCTCTTTGAGGCCTTCGTTGGAAACGGGATTTCTTCATATTATGCTAGACAGAAGAATTTCCCAGTAACTTCCTTGTGTTGTGTGTGTTCAACTCACAGAGTTGAACTTTCATTTACACAGAGCAGATTTGAAACACTCTTTTTGTGGAATTTGCAAGTGGAGATTTCAAGCGCTTTGAGGCCAAAGGCAGAAAAGGAAATATCTTCGTTTCAAAACTAGACAGAATCATTCTCAGAAACTGCTCTGCGATGTGTGCGTCCAACTCTCAGAGTTTAACTTTTCTTTTCATTCAGCAGTTTGCAAACACTCTGTTTGTAAAGTCTGCACGTGGATATTTTGACCACTTAGAGGCCTTCGTTGGAAACGGGTTTTTTTCATGTAAGGCTAGACAGAAGATTTCCCAGTAACTTCCTTGTGTTGTGTACATTCAACTCACAGAGTTGAACGTTCCCTTAGGCAGAGCAGATTTGAAACACTCTTTTTGTGCAATTGGCAAATGGAGATTTCAAGCGCTTTAAGGTCAATGGCAGAAAAGGAAATATCTTCGTTTCAAAACTAGACAGAATCATTCCCACAAACTGCGTTGTGATGTGTTCGTTCAACTCACAGAGTTTAACCTTTCTGTTCATAGAGCAGTTAGGAAACACTCTGTTTGTAAAGTCTGTAAGTGGATATTCTGACATCTTGTGGCCTTCGTTGGAAACGGGATTTCTTCATATTCTGCTAGACAGAAGAATTCTCAGTAACTTCCTTGTGTTGTGTGTATTCAACTCACAGAGTTGAACGATCCTTTACACAGAGCAGACTTGAAACACTCTTTTTGTGGAATTTGCAATTGGAGATTTCAGCCGCTTTGAGGTCAATGGTAGAAAAGGAAACTATCTTCATATAAAGATTAGACAGAATGATTCTCAGAAACTCCTTTGTGATGTGTGAGTTCAACTCACAGAGTTTAACCTTTCTTTTCATAGAGCAGTTAGGAAACACTCTGTTTTTAAAGTCTGCAAGTGGATATTCAGACCTCTTTGAGGCCTTCGTTGGAAACGGGTTTTTTTCATATAAGGCTAGAGAGAAGAATTCTCAGTAACTTCCTTGTGTTGTGTGTATTCAACTGACAGAGTTGAACTTTCATTTAGACAGAGCAGATTTGAAACACTATTTATGTGGAATTGGCAATTGGAGATTTCAACCTCTTTGAGGCCAAAGGCAGAAAAGGAAATATCTTCGTTTCAAAACTAGACAGAATCATTCTCAGAAACTGCTCTGCGATGTGTGCGTTCAACTCTCAGAGTTTAACTTTTCTTTTCATTCAGCATTTTGGAAACACTCTGTTTGTAAAGTCTGCACGTGGATAATTTGACCACTTAGAGGCCTTCGTTGGAAACGGGTTTTTTTCATGTAAGGCTAGACAGAAGAATTCCCAGTAACTTCCTTGTGTTGTGTACATTCAACTCACAGAGTTGAACGTTCCCTTAGACAGAGCAGATTTGAAACACTCTTTTTGTGCAATTGGCAAGTGGAGATTTCAAGCGCTTTAAGGTCAATGGCAGAAAAGGAAATATCTTCGTTTCAAAACTAGACAGAATCATTCCCACAAACTGCGTTGTGCTGTGTTCGTTCAACTCACAGAGATTAACCTTTCTTTTCATAGAGCATTAGGAAACAGTCTGTTTGTAAATTCTGTAAGTGGATATTCTGACATCTTGTGGCCTTCGTTGGAAACGGGATTTCTTCATATTCTGCTAGACAGAAGAATTCTCAGTAACTTCCTTGTGTTGTGTGTATTCAACTCACGGAGTTGAACGATCCTTTACACAGAGCAGACTTGAAACACTCTTTTTGTGGAATTTGCAAGTGGAGATTTCAGCCGCTTTGAGGTCAATGGTAGAATAGGAAATATCTTCCTATAGAAACTAGACAGAATGATTCTCAGAAACTCCTTTGTGATGTGTGCGTTCAACTCACAGAGTTTAACTTTCCTTTTCATAGAGCAGTTAGGAAACACTCTGTTTGTAAAGTCTGCAAGTGGATATTCAGACCTCTTTGAGGCCTTCTTTGGAAACGGGATTTCTTCATATTCTGATATACAGAAGAATTCCCAGTAACTTCCTTGTGTTGTGTGTGTTCAACTCACAGAGTTGAACTTTCATTTACACAGAGCAGGTTTGAAACACTCTTTTTGTGGTATTTGCAAATGGAGATTTCAAGCGCTTTGTGGCCAAATGCAGAAAAGGAAATATCTTCGTATAAAAACTAGACAGAATGATTCTCAGAAAATCCTTTGTGATGTGTGCGTTCAACTCACAGAGTTTAACTTTTCTTTTCATAGAGCAATTAGGAAACACTCTGTTTGTAAAGTCTGCAAGTGGATATTCAGACCTCTTTGAGGCCTTCGTTGGAAACGGGATTTCTTCATATTATGCTAGACAGAAGAATTCTCAGTAACTTCCTTGTGTTGTGTGCATTCAACTCACAGAGTTGAACGTTCCCTTAGACAGAGCAGATTTGAAACACTCTATTTGTGCAATTTGCAAGTGTAGATTTCAAGCGCATTAAGGTCAAAGGCAGAAAAGGAAATATCTTCGTTTCAAAACTAGACAGAATCATTCCCACAAACTGCGTTGTGATGTGTTCGTTCAACTCACAGAGTTTAACCTTTCTTTTCATAGAGCAGTTAGGAAACAGTCTGTTTGTCAATTCTGTAAGTGGATATTCTGACATCTTGTGGCCTTCGTTGGAAACGGGATTTCTTCATATTCTGCTAGACAGAAGAATTCTCAGTAACTTCCTTGTGTTGTGTGTATTCAACTCACAGAGTTGAACGATCCTTTACACAGGGCAGACTTGAAACACTCTTTTTGTGGAATTTGCAAGTGGAGATTTCAGCCGCGTTGAGGTCAATGGTAGAAAAGGAAATATCTTCGTATAAAAACTAGACAGAATGATTCTCAGAAACTCCTTTGTGATGTGTGCGTTCAACTCACAGAGTTCAACCTTTCTTTTCATAGAGCAGTTGGGAAACACTCTGTTTGTAAAGTCTGCAAGTGGATATTCAGACTTCTTTGAGGCCTTCGTTGGAAGCGGGATTTCTTCATATTCTGCTAGACAGAAGAATTCTCAGTAACTTCCTTGTGTTGTGTGTATTCAACTCACAGAGTTGAACGATCCTTTACACAGAGCAGACTTGAAACACTCTTTTTGTGGAATTTGCAAGGGGAGATTTCAGCCGCTTTGAGGTCAATGGTAGAATAGGAAATATCTTCCTATAGAAACTAGACAGAATCATTCTCAGAAACTGCTCTGCGATGTGTGCGTTCAACTCTCAGAGTTTAACTTTTCTTTTCATTCAGCAGTTTGGAAACACTCTGTTTGTAAAGTCTGCACGTGGATAATTTGACCACTTAGAGGCCTTCGTTGGAAACGGGTTTTTTTCATGTAAGGCTAGACAGAAGAATTCCCAGTAACTTCCCTGTGTTGTGTACATTCAACTCACAGAGTTGAACGTTCCCTTAGACAGAGCAGATTTGAAACACTCTTTTTGTGCAATTGGCAAGCGGAGATTTCAAGCGCTTTAAGGTCAATGGCAGAAAAGGAAATATCTTCGTTTCAAAACTAGACAGAATCATTATCAAAAACTGCGTTGTGATGTGTTCGTTCAACTCACAGAGTTTAACCTTTCTTTTCATAGAGCAGTTGGGAAACAGTCTGTTTGTAAATTCTGTAAGTGGATATTCTGACATCTTGTGGCCTTCGTTGGAAACGGGATTTCTTCATATTCTGCTAGACAGAAGAATTCTCAGTAACTTCCTTGTGTTGTGTGTATTCAACTCACAGAGTTGAACGATCCTTTACACAGAGCAGACTTGAAACACTCTTTTTGTGGAATTTGCAAGTGGAGATTTCAGCCGCTTTGAGGTCAATGGTAGAAAAGGAAATATCTTCGTATAAAAACTAGACAGAATGATTCTCAGAAAATCTTTTGTGATGTGTGCGTTCAACTCACAGAGTTTAACTTTTCTTCTCATAGAGCAGTTAGGAAACACTCTGTTTGTAAAGTCTGCCAGTGGATATTCAGACCTCTTTGAGGTCTTCGTTGGAAACGGGATTTCTTCATATTATGCTAGACAGAAGAATTCCCAGTAACTTCCTTGTGTTGTGTGTGTTGAACTCACAGAGTTGAACTTTCATTTACACAGAGCAGATTTGAAACACTCTTTTTGTGGAATTTGCAAGTGGAGATTTCAAGCGCTTTCAGGCCAAAGGCAGAAAAGGAAATATCTTCGTATAAAAACTAGACAGAATCATTCTCAGAAACTGCTCTGCGATGTGTGCGTTCAACTCTCAGAGTTTAACTTTTCTTTTCATTCAGCAGTTTGGAAACACTCTGTTTGTAAAGTCTGCACGTGGATAATTTGACCACTTAGAGGCCTTCGTTGGAAACGGGTTTTTTTCATGTAAGGCTAGACAGAAGAATTCCCAGTAACTTCCTTGTGTTGTGTACATTCAACTCACAGAGTTGAACGTTCCCTTAGACAGAGCAGATTTGAAACACTCTTTTTGTGCAATTGGCAAGTGGAGATTTCAAGCGCTTTAAGGTCAATGGCAGAAAAGGAAATATCTGCGTTTCAAAACTAGAGAGAACGATTCTCAGAAACTCCTTTGTGATGTGTGCGTTCAACTCACAGCAGTTTAACCTTTCTGTTCATAGAGCAGTTAGGAAACACTCTGTTTGTAAAATCTGCAAGTGGATATTCAGACCTCTTTGAGGCCTTCGTTGGAAACGGGATTTCTTCATATTCTGCTAGACAGAAGAATTCTCAGTAACTTCCTTGTGTTGTGTGTATTCAACTCACAGAGTTGAACGATCCTTTACACAGAGCAGACTTGAAACACTCTTTTTGTGGAATTTGCAAGTGGAGATTTCAGCCGCTTTGAGGTCAATAGTCGAAAAGGAAATATCTTCGTAGAAAAACTAGACAGAATGATTCTCAGAAACTTCTTTGTGATGTGTGCGTTCAACTCACAGAGTTTAACCTTTCTTTTCATAGAGCAGTTAGGAAACACTCTGTTTGTAAACTCTGCAAGTGGATATTCAGACCTCTTTGAGGCCTTCGTTGGAAACGGGATTTCTTCATACTATGCTAGACAGAAGAATTCTCAGTAACTTCCTTGTGTTGTGTGTATTCAACTGACAGAGTTGAACTTTCATTTAGACAGAGGAGATTTGAAACACTCTTTTTGTGGAATTTGCAAGTGGAGATTTCAAGCGCTTTGAGGCCAAAGGCAGAAAAGGAAATATCTTCGTATAAAAACTAGACAGAATCATTCTCAGAAACTGCTGCGTGATGTGTGCGTTCAACTCTCAGAGTTTAACTTTTCTTTTCATTCAGCGGTTTGGAAACACTCTGTTTGTAAAGTCTGCACGTGGATATTTTGACCACTTAGAGGCCTTCGTTGGAAACGGGTTTTTTTCATGAAGGCTAGACAGAAAGAATTCCCAGTAACTTCCTTGTGTTGTGTGCATTCAACTCACAGAGTTGAACGTTCCCTTAGGCAGAGCAGATTTGAAACACTCTATTTGTGCAATTTGCAAGTGTAGATTTCAAGCGCTTTAAGGTCAATGGCAGAAAAGGAAATATCTTCGTTTCAAAACTAGACAGATGATTCTCAGAAACTTCATTGTGACGTGTGCGTTCAACTCACAGAGTTTAACCTTTCTTTTCATAGAGCAGTTAGGAAACACTCTGTTTGTAAAGTCTACAAGTGGATATTCAGACCTCTTTGAGGCCTTCGTTGGAAACGGGATTTCTTCATACTGTGCTAGACAGAAGAATTCTCAGTAACTTCCTTGTGTTGTGTGTATTCAACTCACAGTAGTTGAACGATCCTTTACACAGAGCGGACTTGAAACACACTTTTTGTGGAATTTGCAAGTGGAGATTTCAGCCGCGTTGAGGTCAATGGTAGAAAAGGAAATATCTTCGTATAAAAACTAGACAGAATGATTCTCAGAAACTCCTTTGTGATGTGTGTGTTCAACTCACAGAGTTTAACCTTTCTTTTCATAGAGCAGTTAGGAAACACTCTGTTTGTAAAGACTGCAAGTGGATATTCAGGCCTCTTTGAGGCCTTCGTTGGAAACGGGTTTTTTCATATAAGGCTAGACAGAAGAATTCCCAGTAACTTCCTTGTGTTGTGTGTGTTCAACTCACAGAGTTGAACTTTCATTTACACAGAGCAGATTGGAAACACTCTTTTTGTGGAATTTGCCAGTGGAGATTTCAAGCGCATTGAGGCCAAAGGCAGAAAAGGAAATATCTTCGTATAAAAACTAGACAGAATCATTCTCAGAAACTGCTCTGTGATGTGTGCGTTCAACTCTCAGAGTTTAACTTTTCTTTTCATTCAGCAGTTTGGAAACCCTCTGTTTGTAAAGTCTGCACGTGGATATTTTGACCACTTAGAGGCCTTCGTTGGAAACGGGTTTCTTTCCTTTAAGGCTAGACAGAAGAATTCCCAGTAACTTCCTTGCGTTGTGTACATTCAACTCACAGAGTTGAACGGTTCCCTTAGACAGAGCAGATTTGAAACACTCTTTTTGTGCAATTGGCAAGTGGAGATTTCAAGCGCTTTAAGGTCAATGGCAGAAAAGGAAATATCTTCGTTTCAAAACTAGACAGAATCATTCTCACAAACTGCGTTGTGATGTGTTCGTTCAACTCACAGAGTTTAACCTTTCTGTTCATAGAGCAGTTAGGAAACACTCTGTTTGTAAAGTCTGTAAGTGGATATTCTGACATCTTGTGGCTTTCGTTGGAAACGGGATTTCTTCATATTCTGCTAGACAGAATAATTCTCAGTAACTTCCTTGTGTTGTGTGTATTCAACTCACAGAGTTGAACGATCCTTTACACAGAGCAGACTTGAAACACTCTTTTTGTGGAATTTGCAAGTGGAGATTTCAGCCGCTTTGAGGTCAATAGTAGAAAAGGAAATATCTTCGTAGAAAAACTAGACAGAATGATTCTCATAACTCTTTTGTGATGTGTGCGTTCAACTCACAGAGTTCAACCTTTCTTTTCATAGAGCAGTTGGGAAACACTCTGTTTGTAAAGTCTGCAAGTGGATATTCAGACTTCTTTGAGGCCTTCGTTGGAAGCGGGATTTCTTCATATTCTGCTAGACAGAAGAATTCTCAGTAATTTCCTTGTGTTGTGTGTATTCAGCTGACAGAGTTGAACTTTCATTTAGAGAGAGCAGATTTGAAACACTGTTTTTGTGGAATTTGCAAGTGGATATTTCAAGCGATTTGAGGCCAAAAGCAGAAAAGGAAATATCTTCGTATAAAAACTAGACAGAATCATTCTCAGAAACTGCTCTGCGATGTGTGCGTTCAACTCTCAGAGTTTAACTTTTCTTTTCATTCAGCAGTTTGGAAACACTCTGTTTGTAAAGTCTGCACGTGGATAATTTGACCACTTAGAGGCCTTCGTTGGAAACGGGTTTTTTTCATGTAAGGCTAGACAGAAGAATTCTCAGTAACTTCCTTGTGTTGTGTGTATTCAACTCACAGAGTTGAACGATCCTTTACACAGAGCAGACTTGAAACACTCTTTTTGTGGAATTTGCAAGTGGAGATTTCAGCCGCTTTGAGGTCAATGGTAGAAAAGGAAATATCTTCGTGTAGAAACAAGACAGAATGATTCTCAGAAACTCCTTTGTGATGTGTGCGTTCAACTCACAGAGTTTAACCTTTCTTTTCATAGAGCAGTTAGGAAACACTCTGTTTGTAAAGTCTGCAAGTGGATATTCAGACCTCTTTGAGGCCTTCGTTGGAAACGGCATTTCTTCACATTATGCTAGACAGTTTAATTCTCAATAACTTCCTTGTGTTGTGTGTATTCAACTCACAGAGTTGAACGATCCTTTACAGAGAGCAGACTTGAAACACTCTTTTTGTGGAATTTGCAAGTGGAGATTTCAGCCGCTTTGAGGTCAGTGGTAGAATAGGAAATATCTTCCTATAGAAACTAGACAGAATGATTCTCAGAAACTCCTTTGTGATGTGTGCGTTCAACTCACAGAGTTTAACCTTTCTTTTCATAGAGCAGTTAGGAAACACTCTGTTTGTAAAGTCTGCAAGTGGATATTCAGACCTCTTTGAGGCCTTCGTTGGAAACGGGATTTCTTCATATTCTGCTAGACAGAAGAATTCTCAGTAACTTCCTTGTGTTGTGTGTATTCAACTCTTAGAGTTGAACGATCCTTTACAGAGAGCAGACTTGAAACACTCTTTTTGTGGAATTTGCAAGTGGAGATTTCAGCCGCTTTGAGGTCAATGGTAGAATAGGAAATATCTTCCTATAGAAACTAGACAGAATCATTCTCAGAAACTGCTGCGTGATGTGTGCGTTCAACTCTCAGAGTTTAACTTTTCTTTTCATTCAGCGGTTTGGAAACACTCTGTTTGTAAAGTCTGCACGTGGATATTTTGACCACTTAGAGGCCTTCGTTGGAAACGGGTTTTTTTCATGTAAGGCTAGACAGAAGAATTCCCAGTAACTTCCTTGTGTTGTGTGCATTCAACTCACAGAGTTGAACGTTCCCTTAGACAGAGCAGATTTGAAACACTCTATTTGTGCAATTTGCAAGTGTAGATTTCAAGCGCTTTAAGGTCAATGGCAGAAAAGGAAATATCTTCGTTTCAAAACTAGACAGTATCATTCCCACAAACTGCGTTGTGATGTGTTCGTTCAACTCACAGAGTTTAACCTTTCTGTTCATAGAGCAGTTAGGAAACACTCTGTAAAGTCTGTAAGTGGATATTCTGACATCTTGTGGCCTTCGTTGTAAACGGGATTTCTTCATATTCTGCTAGACAGAAGAATTCTCAGTAACTTCCTTGTGTTGTGTGTATTCAACTCACAGAGTTGAACGATCCTTTACACAGAGCAGACTTGAAACACTCTTTTTGTGGAATTTGCAAGTGGAGATTTCAGCCTCTTTGAGGTCAATGGTAGAATAGGAAATATCTTCCTATGGAAACTAGACAGAATGATTCTCAGAAACTCCTTTGTGATGTGTGCGTTCAACTCACAGAGTTTAACCTTTCTTTTCATAGAGCAGTTGGGAAACACTCTGTTTGTAAAGTCTGCAAGTGGATATTCCGACATCCTTGAGGCTTTCGTTGGAAACGGGATTTCTTCATATTCTGCTAGAAAGAAGAATTCTCAGTAACTTCCTTGTGTTGTGTGTATTCAACTCACAGAGTTGAACGATCCTTTATACAGAGCAGACTTGAAACACTCTTTTTGTGGAATTTGCAAGTGGAGATTTCAGCCGCTTTGAGGTCAATGGTAGAATAGGAAATATCTTCCTATAGAAACTAGACAGAACGATTCTCAGAAACTCCTTTGTGATGTGAGCGTTCAACTCACAGAGTTTAACCTTTCTTTTCATAGAGCAGTTAGGAAACACTCTGTTTGTAAAGTCTGCAAGTGGATATTCAGACCTCTTTGAGGCCTTCGTTGGAAACGGGATTTCTTCATATTCTGCTACACAGAAGAATTCCCAGTAACTTCCTTGTGTTGTGTGCATTCCACTCACAGAGTTGAACGTTCCCTTAGACAGAGCAGATTTGAAACACTCTATTTGTGCAATTTGCAAGTGTAGATTTCAAGCTCTTTAAGGTCAATGGCAGAAAAGGAAATATCTTCGTTTCAAAACTAGACAGAATCATTCCCACAAACTGCGTTGCGATGTGTTCGTTCAACTCACAGAGTTTAACATTTCTTTTCATAGAGCACTTAGGAAACAGTCTGTTTGTAAATTCTGTAAGTGGATATTCTGACATCTTGTGGCCTTCGTTGGAAACAGGATTTCTTCATATTCTGCTAGACAGAAGAATTCTCAGTAACTTCCGGGTGTTGTGTGTATTCAACTCACAGAGTTGAACGATCCTTTACACAGAGCAGACTTGAAACACTCTTTTTGTGGAATTTGCAAGTGGAGATTTCAGCCGCTTTGAGGTCAATGGTAGAAAAGGAAATACCTTCCTATAAAAACTAGACAGAATGATTCTCATAAACTCCTTTGTGATGTGTGCGTTCAACTCACAGAGTTTAACTTTTCTTTTCATAGAGCAGTTAGGAAACACTCTGTTTGTAAAGTCTGCAAGTGGATATTCAGACCTCCTTGAGGCCTTCGTTGGAAACGGGATTTCTTCATATTCTGCTAGACAGAAGAATTCTCAGTAACTTCCTTGAGTTGTGTGTATTCAACTCACAGAGTTGAACGATCCTTTACACAGAGCAGACTTGAAACATTCTTTTTGTGGAATTTGCAAGTGGAGATTTCAGCCGCTTTGAGGTCAATGGTAGAATAGGAAATATCTTCCTATAGAAACTAGACAGAATCATTCTCAGAAACTGCTGCGTGATGTGTTCGTTCAACTCTCAGAGTTTAACTTTTCTTTTCATTCAGCGGTTTGGAAACACTCTGTTTGTAAAGTCTGCACGTGGAAATTTTGACCACTTAGAGGCCTTCGTTGGAAACGGGTTTTTTTCATGTAAGGCTAGACAGAAGAATTCCCAGTAACTTCCTTGTGTTGTGTGCATTCAACTCACAGAGTTGAACGTTCCCTTAGACAGAGCAGATTTGAAACACTCTATTTGTGCAATTTGCAAGTGTAGATTTCAAGCGCTTTAAGGTCAACGGCAGAAAAGGAAATATCTTCGTTTCAAAACTAGACAGAATGATTCTCAGAAACTCCTTTGTGATGTGTGCGTTCAACTCACAGAGTTTAACCTTTCTTTTCATAGAGCCTTTAGGAAACACTCTGTTTGTAAAGTCTGCAAGTGGATATTCAGACCTCCCTGAGGCCTTCGTCGGAAATGGGATTTCTTCATATTCTGCTAGACAGAAGAATTCTCACTAACTTCCTTGTGTTGTGTGTGTTCAACTCACAGAGTTGAACGATCCTTTACACAGAGCAGACTTGAAACACTCTTTTTGTGGAATTTGCAAGTGGAGATTTCAGCCGCTTTGAGGTCAATGGTAGAATAGGAAATATCTTCCTATAGAAAATAGACAGAATGATTCTCAGAAACTCCTTTGTGATGTGGGCGTTCAACTCACAGAGTTTAACCTTTCTTTTCATAGAGCAGTTAGGAAACACTCTGTTTGTAAAGTCTGCACGTGGATATTTGGACTTCTTTGAGGCCTTCGTTGGAAACGGGTTTTTTTCATGTAAGGCTAGACGGAAGAATTCCCAGTAACTTCTTTGTGTTGTGTGTGTTCAACTCACAGAGTTGAACTTTGATTTACACAGAGCAGATTTGAAACACTCTTTTTGTGGAATTTGCAAGTGGAGATTTCAAGCGATTTGAGGCCAAAGGCAGAAAAGGAAATATCTTCGTATAAAAACTAGACAGAATCATTCTCAGAAACTGCTGCGTGATGTGTGCGTTCAAGTCTCAGAGTTTAACTTTTGTTTTCATTCAGCGGTTTGGAAACACTCTGTTTGTAAAGTCTGCACGTGGAAATTTTGACCACTTAGAGGCCTTCGTTGGAAACGGGTTTTTTTCATGTAAGGCTCGACAGAAGAATTCCCAGTAACTTCCTTGTGTTGTGTACATTCAACTCACAGAGTTGAACGTTCCCTTAGACAGAGCAGATTTGAAACACTCTTTTTGTGCAATTGGCAAGTGGAGATTTCAAGCGCTTTGAGGTCAATGGCAGAAAAGGAAATATCTTCGTTTCAAAACTAGACAGAATCATTCCCACAAACTGCGTTGTGATGTGTTCGTTCAACTCACAGAGTTTAACCTTTCTTTTCATAGACCAGTTAGGAAACAGTCTGTTTGTCAATTCTGTAAGTGGATATTCTGACATCTTGTGGCCTTCGTTGGAAACGGGATTTCTTCATATTCTGCTAGACAGAAGAATTCTCAGTAACTTCCTTGTGTTGTGTGTATTCAACTCACAGAGTTGAAGGATCCTTTACAGAGAGCAGGCTTGAAACACTCTTTTTGTCGAATTTGCAAGTGGAGATTTCAGCCGCTTTGAGGTCAATGGTAGAATAGGAAATATCTTCCTATAGAAACTAGACAGAATGATTCTCAGAAACTCCTTTGTGATGTGTGCGTTCAACTCACAGAGTTTAACCTTTCTTTTCATAGAGCAGTTAGGAAACACTCTGTTTGTAAAGTCTGCAAGTGGATATTCAGACCTCTTTGAGGCCTTCGTTGGAATCGGGTTTTTTTCATATAAGGCTAGACAGAAGAATTCCCAGTAACTTCCTTGTGTTGTGTGTGTTCAACTCACAGAGTTGAACTTTCATTTACACAGAGCAGATTTGAAACACTCTTTTTGAGGAATTTGCAAGTGGAGATGTCAAGCGCTTTGAGGCCAAAGGCAGAAAAGGAAATATCTTCGTATAAAAACTAGACAGAATGATTGTCAGAAACTCCTTTGTGATGGGTGTGTTCAATTTAAAGAGTTTAACTTTTCTTTTCATAAAGCAGTTAGGAAACACTCTGTTTGTAAAGTCTGCAAGTGGATATTTTGACCTATTTGAGGCCTTCGTTGGAAACGGGTTTTTTTCCTGTAAGGCTAGATAGAAGAATTCCCAGTAACTTCCTTGTGTTGTGTACATTCAACTCACAGTGTTGAACGTTCCCTTAGACAGAGCAGATTTGAAACACTCTTTTTGTGCAATTGGCAAGTGGAGATTTCAAGCGCTTTAAGGTCAATGGCAGAAAAGGAAATATCTTCATTTCAAAACTAGACAGAATCATTCCCACAAACTGCGTTGTGATGTGTTCGTTCAACTCACAGGGTTTAACCTTTCTTTTCACAGAGCAGTTAGGAAACACTCTGTTTGTAAAGTCTGCACGTGGATATTTTGACCTCTTTGAGGCCTTCGTTGGAAACGGGTTTTTTCATATAAGGCTAGACAGAAGAATTCTCAGAATCTTCCTTGTGTTGTGTGTATTCAACTCACAGAGTTGAACGATCCTTTACACAGAGCAGACTTGTAACACTCTTTTTGTGGAATTTGCAAGTGGAGATTTCAGCCGCTTTGAGGTCAATGGTAGAAAAGGAAATCTCTTCGTATAAAAACTAGACAGAATGATTCTCAGAAACTCCTTTGTGATGTGTGCGTTCAACTCACAGAGTTCAACCTTTCTTTTCATAGAGCAGTTGGAAAACACTCTGTTTGTAAAGTCTGCAAGTGGATATTCAAACTTTCTTTGAGGCCTTCGTTGGAAGCGGGATATCTTCATATTCTGCTAGACAGAAGAATTCCCAGTAACTTCCTTGTGTTGTGTGTGTTCAACTCACAGAGTTGAACTTTGATTTACACAGAGCAGATTTGAAACACTCTTTTTGTGGAATTTGCAAGTGGAGATTTCAAGCGCTTTGAGGCCAAAGGCAGAAAAGGAAATATCTTCGTATAAAAAGTAGACAGAATCATTCTCAGAAACTGCTCTGCGATGTGTGCGTTCAACTCTCAGAGTTTAACTTTTCTTTTCATTCAGCAGTTTGGAAACACTCTGTTTGTAAAGTCTGCACGTGGATATTTTGACCACTTAGAGGCCTTCGTTGGAAACGGGTTTTTTTCCTGTAAGGCTAGACAGAAGAATTCCCAGTAACTTCCTTGTGTTGTGTGCATTCAACTCACAGAGTTGAACGTTCCCTTAGACAGAGCAGATTTGAAACACTCTATTTCTGCAATTTGCAAGTGTAGTTTTCAAGCTCTTTAAGGTCAACGGCAGAAAAGGAAATATCTTCGTTTCAAAACTAGACAGAATCATTCCCACAAACTGCGTTGTGATGTGTTCGTTCAACTCACAGAGTTTAACCTTTCTGTTCATAGAGCAGTTAGGAAACACTCTGTTTCTAAAGTCTGTAAGTGGATATTCTGACATCTTGTGGCCTTCGTTGGAAACGGGATTTCTTCATATTCTGCTAGACAGAAGAATTCTCAGTAACTTTCCTTGTGTTGTGTGTTTTCAACTCACAGAGTTCAACCATCCTTTACACAGAGTAGACTTGAAACACTCTTTTTGTGGAATTGGCAGGGTGGAGATTTCAGCCGCTTTGAGGTCAATGGTAGAAAAGTAAATATCTTCGTATAAAAACTAGACAGAATGATTCTCAGAAACTCCTTTGTGATGTGTGCGTTCAACTCACAGAGTTTAACCTTTCTTTTCATAGAGCAGTTAGGAAACACTCTGCTTGTAAAGTCTGCATGTGGATATTCAGCCCTCTTTGAGGCCTTCGTTGGAAACGGGTTTTTTTCATATAAGGCTAGACAGAAGAATTCCCAGTAACTTCCTTGTGTTGTGTGTGTTCAACTCACAGAGTTGAACTTTCATTTACACAGAGCAGATTTGAAACACTCTTTTTGTGGAATTTGCAAGTGGAGATTTCAAGCGCTTTGAGGCCAAAGGCAGAAAAGGAAATATCTTCGTATAAAAACTAGACAGAATCATTCTCAGAAACTGCTGCGTGATGTGTGCGTTCAACTCTCAGCAGTTTAACTTTTCTTTTCATTCAGCGGTTTGGAAACACTCTGTTTGTAAAGTCTGCACGTGGATATTTTGACCACTTAGAGACCTTCGTTGGAAACGGGTTTTTTTCATGTAAGGCTAGACAGAAGAATTCCCAGTAACTTCCTTGTGTTGTGTACATTCAACTCACAGAGTTGAACGTTCCCTTAGACAGAGCAGATTTGAAACACTCTTTTTGTGCAATTGGCAAGTGGAGATTTCAAGCGCTTTAAGGTCAATTGCAGAAAAGGAAATATCTTCGTTTCAAAACTAGACAGAATGATTCTCAGAAACTCCTTTGTGATGTGTGCGTTCAACTCACAGAGTTTAACCTTTCTTTTCATAGATCAGTTAGGAAACACTCTGTTTGTAAAGTCTGCAAGTGAATATTCAGACCTCTTTGAGGTCTTCGTTGGAAACGGGATTTCTTCATATTCTGCTAGACAGAAGAATTCTCAGTAACTTCCTTGTGTTGTGTGTATTCAACTCACAGAGTTGAACGATCCTTTACACAGAGCAGACTTGAAACACTCTTTTTGTGGAATTTGCAAGTGGAGATTTCAGCCGCTTTGAGGTCAATGGTAGAAAAGGAAACTATCTTCATATAAAGACTAGACAGAATGATTCTCAGAAAATCTTTTGTGATGTGTGCGTTCAACTCACAGAGTTTAACTATTCTTCTCATAGAGCAGTTAGGAAACACTCTGTTTGTAAAGTCTGCAAGTGGATATTCAGACCTCTTTGAGGCCTTCGTTGGAAACGGGATTTCTTCATATTATGCTAGACAGAAGAATTCTCAGTAACTTCCTTGTGTTGTGTGTATTCAACTCACAGAGTTGAACTTTCATTTACACAGAGCAGATTTGAAACACTCTTTTTGAGGAATTTGCAAATGGAGAATTCAAGCGTTTTGAGGCCAAAGGCAGAAAAGGAAATATCTTCGTATAAAAACTAGACAGAATCATTCTCAGAAACTGCTCTGCGATGTGTGCATTCAACTCTCAGAGTTTAATTTTTCTTTTCATTCAGCAGTTTGGAAACACTCTCTTTGTAAAGTCTGCACGTGGATATTTTGACCACTTAGAGGCCTTCGTTGGAAACGGGTTTTATTCCTGTAAGTCTAGACAGAAGAATTCCCAGTAACTTCCTTGTGTTGTGTACATTCAACTCACAGAGTTGAACGTTCCCTTAGACAGAGCAGATTTGAAACACTCTTTTTGTGCAATTGGCAAGTGGAGATTTCAAGCGCTTTAAGGTCAATGGCAGAAAAGGAAATATCTTCGTTTCAAAACTAGACAGAATGATTCTCAGAAACTCCTTTGTGATGTGTGCGTTCAACTCACAGAGTTTAACCTTTCTTTTCATAGAGCAGTTGGGAAACACTCTGTTTGTAAAGTCTGCAAGTGGATATTCAGACCTCTTTGACGCCTTCGTTGGAAACGGGATTTCTTCATATTCTGCTAGACAGAAGAATTCTCAGTAACTTTCCTTGTGTTGTGTGTATTCAACTCACAGAGTTGAACGATCCTTTACACAGAGCAGACTTGAAACACTCTTTTTGCGGAATTTGCAAGTGGAGATTTCAGCCGCTTTGAGGTCAATGGTAGAATAGGAAATATCTTCCTATAGAAACTAGACAGAGTGATTCTCAGAAACTCCTTTGTGATGTCTGCGTTCAACTCACAGAGTTTAACCTTTCTTTTCATAGAGCAGTTAGGAAACACTCTGTTTGTAAAGTCTGCAAGTGGATATTCAGACCTCCTTGAGGCCTTCGTTGGAAACGGGATTTCTTCATATTCTGCTATACAGAGGAATTCTCAGTAACTTCCTTGTGTTGTGTGTATTCAACTGACAGAGTTAAACTTTCATTTAGAGAGAGCAGATTTGAAACACTGTTTTTGTGGAATTTGCAAGTGGAGATTTCAAGCGCTTTGGGGCCAAAGGCAGAAAAGGAAATATCTTCGTATAAAAACTAGACAGAATCATTCTCAGAAACTGCTCTGCGATGTGTGCGTTCAACTCTCAGAGTTTAACTTTTCTTTTCATTCAGCAGTTTGGAAACACTCTGTTTGTAACGTCTGCACGTGAATAATTTGACCACTTAGAGGCCTTCGTTGGAAACGGGTTTTTTTCATGTAAGGCTAGACAGAAGAATTCTCAGTAACTTCCTTGTGTTGTGTGTATTCAACTCACAGAGTTGAACGATCCTTTACACAGAGCAGACTTGTAACACGCTTTTTGTGGAATTTGCAAGTGGAGATTTCAGCCGCTTTGAAGTCAAATGTAGAAAAGGAAATATCTTCCTATAAAAACTAGACAGAATCATTCCCACAAACTGCGTTGTGATGTGTTCGTTCAACTCACAGAGTTTAACCTTTCTTTTCATAGAGCAGTTAGGAAACAGTCTGTTTGTCAATTCTGTAAGTGGATATTCTGACATCTTGTGGCCTTCGTTGGAAACGGGATTTCTTCATATTCTGCTAGACAGAAGAATTCTCAGTAACTTCCGCGTGTTGTGTGTATTCAACTCACAGAGTTGAACGATCCTTTACACAGAGCAGACTTGTAACACTCTATTTGGGGAATTTGCAAGTGGAGATTTCAGCCGCTTTGAAGTCAAAGGTAGAAAAGGAAATATCTTCCTATAAAAACTAGACAGAATGATTCTCAGAAACTCCTTTGTGATGTGTGCGTTCAACTCACAGAGTTTAACCTTTCTTTTCATAGAGCAGTTAGGAAACACTCTGTTTGTAAAGTCTGCAAATGGATATTCAGACCTCTCTGAGGCCTTCGTTGGAAACGGGCTTTTTCATATAAGGCTAGACAGAAGAATTCTCAGTAACTTCCTTGTGTTGTGTGTATTCAACTGACAGAGTTGAACTTTCATTTAGAGAGAGCAGATTTGAAACACTGTTTTTGTGGAATTTGCAAGTGGAGATTTCAAGCGCTTTGGGGCCAAGGGCAGAAAAGGAAATATCTTCGTATAAAAACAAGACAGAATCATTCTCAGAAACTGCTGCGTGATGTGTGCGTTCAACTCTCAGAGTTTAACTTTTCTTTTCATTCAGCGGTTTGGAAACACTCTGTTTGTAAAGTCTGCACGTGGACATTTTGACCACTTAGAGTCCTTCGTTGGAAACGGGTTTTTTTCATGTAAGGCTAGACAGAAGAATTCCCAGAAACTTCCTTGTGTTGTGTGCATTCAACTCACAGAGTTGAACGTTCCCTTAGACAGAGCAGATTTGAAACACTCTATTTGTGCAATTTGCAAGTGTAGATTTCAAGCGCTTTAAGGTCAATGGCAGAAAAGGAAATATCTTCGTTTCAAAACTAGACAGAATCATTCCCACAAACTGCGTTGTGATGTGTTCGTTCAACTCACAGAGTTTAACCTTTCTTTTCATAGAGCAGTTAGGAAACAGTCTGTTTGTCAATTCTGTAAGTGGATATTCTGACATCTTGTGGCCTTCGTTGGAAACGGGATTTCTTCATATTCTGCTAGACAGAATAATTCTCAGTAACTTCCTTGTGTTGTGTGTATTCAACTCACAGAGTTGAACGATCCTTTACATAGAGCAGACTTGAAACACTCTTTTTGTGGAATTTGCAAGTGGAGATTTCAGCCGCTTTGAGGTCAATAGTAGAAAAGGAAATATCTTCGTAGAAAAACTAGACAGAATGATTCTCAGAAACTCCTTTGTGATGTGTGCGTTCAACTCACAGTAGTTTAACTTTTCTTTTCATAGAGCAGTTAGGAAACACTCTGTTTGTAAAGTCTGCAAGTGGATATTCAGACCTCTTTGAGGCCTTCGTTGGAAACGGGATTTCTTCATATTATGCTAGACAGAAGAATTCCCAGTAACTTCCTTGTGTTGTGTGTGTTCAACTCACAGAGTTGAACTTTCATTTACACAGAGCAGATTTGAAACACTCTTTTTGTGGAATTTGCAAGTGGAGATTTCAAGCGCTTTGAGGCCAAAGGCAGAAAAGGAAATATCTTCGTATAAAAACTAGACAGAATCATTTTCAGAAACTGCTCTGCGATGTGTGCGTTCAACTCTCAGAGTTTGACTTTTCTTTTCATTCAGCAGTTTGGAAACACTCTGTTTGTAAAGTCTGCACGTGGATAATTTGACCACTTAGAGGCCTTCGTGGGAAACGGGTTTTTTTCATGTAAGGCTAGACAGAAGAATTCCCAGTAACTTCCTTGTGTTGTGTGCATTCAACTCACAGAGTTGAACGTTCCCTTAGACAGAGCAGATTTGAAACACTCTATTTGTGCAATTTGCAAGTGTAGATTTCAAGCGCTTTAAGGTCAACGGCAGAAAAGGAAATATCTTCGTTTCAAAACTAGACAGAATCATTCCCACGAACTACGTTGTGATGTGTTCGTTCAACTCACAGAGTTTAACCTTTCTTTTCATAGAGCAGTTAGGAAACAGTCTGTTTGTAAATTCTGTAAGTGGATATTCTGACATCTTGTGGCCTTCGTTGGAAACGGGATTTCTTCATATTCTGCTAGACAGAAGAATTCTCAGTAACTTCCTTGTGTTGTGTGTATTCAACTCACAGAGTTGAACGATCCTTTACACAGAGCAGACTTGAAACACTCTTTGTGTGGAATTTGCAAGTGGAGATTTCAGCCGCTTTGAGTTCAATGGTAGAATAGGAAATATCTTCCTATAGAAACTAGACAGAATGATTCTCAGAAACTCCTTTGTGATGTGTGCGTTCAACTCACAGAGTTTAACCTTTCTTTTCATAGAGCAGTTAGGAAACACTCTGTTTGTAAAGTCTGCAAGTGGATATTCAGACCTCCTTGAGGCCTTCTTTGGAAACGGGATTTCTTCATATTATGCTAGACAGAAGAATTCTCAGTAACTTCCTTGTGTTGTGTGTATTCAACTCACAGAGTTGAACGATCCTTTACACAGAGCATACTTGAAACACTCTTCTTGTGGAATTTGCAAGTGGAGATTTCAGCCGCTTTGAGGTCAACTGTAGAATAGGAAATATCTTCCTATAGAAACTAGACAGAAATGATTCTCAGAAACTCTTTTGTGATGTGTGCGTTCAACTCACAGAGTTTAACCTTTCTGTTCATAGAGCAGTTAGGAAACACTCTGTTTGTAAAGTCTGCAAGTGGATATTCAGACCTCCTTGGGGCCTTCGTTGGAAACGGGATTTCTTCATATTCTGCTAGACAGAAGAATTCCCAGTAACTTCCTTGTGTTGTGTACATTCAACTCACAGAGTTGAACGTTCCCTTAGACAGAGCAGATTTGAAACACTCTTTTTGTGCAATTGGCAAATGGAGATTTCAAGCGCTTTAAGGTCAATGGCAGAAAAGGAAATATCTTCGTTTCAAAACTAGACAGAATCATTCCCACAAACTGCGTTGTGATGTGTTCGTTCAACTCACAGAGTTTAACCTTTCTTTTCATAGAGCAGTTAGGAAACAGTCTGTTTGAAAATTCTGTAAGTGGATATTCTGACATCTTGTGGCCTTCGTTGGAAACGGGATTTCTTCATATTCTGCTAGACAGAAGAATTCTCAGTACCTTCCTTGTGTTGTGTGTATTCAACTCACAGAGTTGAACGATCCTTTACACAGAGCAGACTTGAAACACTCTTTTTGTGAAATTTGCAACTGGAGATTTAAGCCGCTTTGTGGTCAATGGTATAATAGGAAATATCTTCCTATAGAAACTAGACAGAATGATTCTGAGAAACTCCTTTGTGATGTGTGCGTTCAACTCACAGAGTTTAACCTTTCTTTTCATAGAGCAGTTAGGAAACACTCTGTTTGTAAAGTCTGCAAGTGGATATTCAGACCTCCTTGAGGCCTTCGTTGGAAACGGGATTTCTTCATATTATGCTAGACAGAAGAATTCTCAGTAACTTCCTTGTGTTTTGTGTATTCAACTCACAGAGTTGAACGATCCTTTACACAGAGCAGACTTGAAACACTCTTTTTGTGGAATTTGCAAGTGGAGATTTCAGCCGCTTTGAGTTCAATGGTAGAATAGGAAATATCTTCCTATGGAAACTAGACAGAATCATTCTCAGAAACTGCTGCGTGATGTGTGCGTTCAACTCTCAGAGTTTAACTTTTCTTTGCATTCAGCGGTTTGGAAACACTCTGTTTGTAAAGTCTGCACGTGGATATTTTGACCACTTAGAGGCCTTCGTTGGAAACGGGTTTTTTTCATGTAAGGCTAGACAGAAGAATTCCCAGTAACTTCCTTGTGTTGTGTGCATTCAACTCACAGAGTTGAACGTTCCCTTAGACAGAGCAGATTTGAAACACTCTATTTGTGCAATTTGCAAGTGTAGATTTCAAGCGCATTAAGGTCAATGGCAGAAAAGGAAATATCTTCGTTTCAAAATTAGACAGAATCATTCCCACAAACTGCGTTGTGATGTGTTCGTTCAACTCACAGAGTTTAACCTTTCTGTTCATAGAGCAGTTAGGAAACACTCTGTTTGTAAAGTCTGTAAGTAGATATTCTGACATCTTGTGGCCTTCGTTGGAAACGGGATTTCTTCATATTCTGCTAGACAGAAGAATTCTCAGTAACTTCCTTGTGTTGTGTGTATTCAACTCACAGAGTTGAACGATCCTTTACACAGAGCAGACTTGAAACACTCTTTTTGTGGAATTTGCAAGTGGAGATTTCAGCCGCTTTGAGGTCAATGGTAGAAAAGGAAACTATCTTCATATAAAGATTAGACAGAATGATTCTCAGAAACTCCTTTGTGATGTGTGCGTTCAACTCACAGAGTTTAACCTTTCTTTTCATAGAGCAGTTGGGAAACACTCTGTTTGTAAAGTCTGCAAGTGGATATTCAGACATCCTTGAGGCTTTCGTTGGAAACGGGATTTCTTCATATTCTGCTAGAAAGAAGAATTCTCAGTAACTTCCTTGTGTTGTGTGTATTCAACTCACAGAGTTGAACGATCCTTTACACAGAGCAGACTTGAAACACTCTTCTTGCGGAATTTGCAAGTGGAGATTTCAGCCGCTTTGAGGTCAATGGTAGAATAGGAAATATCTTCCTATAGAAACTAGACAGAATCATTCTCAGAAACTGCTCTGCGATGTGTGCGTTCAACTCTCAGAGTTTAACTTTTCTTTTCATTCAGCAGTTTGGAAACACTCTGTTTGTAAAGTCTGCACGTGGATATTTTGACCACTTAGAGGCCTTCGTTGGAAATGGGTTTTTTTCCTGTAAGGCTAGACAGAAGAATTCTCAGCAACTTCCTTGTGTTGTGTGTATTCAACTCACAGAGTTGAACGATCCTTTGAGCAGACTTGAGAAACTCTTTTTGTGGAATTTGCAAGTGGAGATTTCAGCCGGTTTGAGGTCAATGGTAGAAAAGGAAATATCTTCGAATAAAAACTAGACAGAATGATTCTCAGAAACTCCTTTATGATGTGTGCGTTCAACTCTCAGAGTTTAACCTTCCTTTTCATAAAGCAGTTAGGAAACACTCTGTTTGTAAAGTCTGCAAGTGGATAATCAGACCTCTTTGAGGCCTTCGTTGGAAACGGGATTTTTTCATATTCTGCTAGACAGAAGAATTCTCAGTAACTTCCTCGTGTTGTGTGTATTCAACTCACAGAGTTGAACGATCCTTTACACAGAGCAGACTTGAAACACTCTTTTTGTGGAATTTGCAAATGGAGATTTCAGCCGCTTTGAGGTCAGTGGTTGAAAAGGAAATATCTTCATATAAAAATTAGACAGAATGATTCTCAGAAACTTCTTTGTGATGTGTGCGTTCAACTCACAGAGTTTAACCTTTCTTTTCATAGAGCAGTTATGAAACACTCTGTTTGTAAACTCTGCAAGTGGATATTCAGACCTCTTTGAGGCCTTCGTTGGAAACGGGATTTCTTCATACTGTGCTAGACAGAAGAATTCCCAGTAACTTCCTTGTGATGTGTGTGTTCAACTCACAGAGTTCAACTTTCATTTACACAGAGCAGATTTGAAACACTCTTTTTGTGGAATTTGCAAGTGGAGATTTCAAGCGCTTTGAGGCCAAAGGCAGAAAAGGAAATATCTTCGTATAAAAACTACACAGAATGATTCTCAGAAACTCCTTTGTGATGTGTGCGTTCAACTCACAGAGTTTAACCTTTCTTTTCATAGAGCAGTTAGGAAACACTCTGTTTGTAAAGTCTGCAAGTGATATTCAGACCTCTTTGAGGCCTTCGTTGGAAACGGGTTTTTTTCATATAAGGCTAGACAGAAGAATTCCCAGTAACTTCCTTGTGTTGTGTACATTCAACTCACAGAGTTGAACCGTTCCCTTAGACAGAGCAGATTTGAAACACTCTTTTTGTGCAATTGGCAAGTGGAGATTTCAAGCGCTTTGAGGTCAATGGCAGAAAAGGAAATATCTTCGTTTCAAAACTAGACAGAATGATTCTCAGAAACTTCTTTGTGATGTGTGCGTTCAACTCACACAGTTTAACCTTTCTTTTCATAGAGCAGTTAGGAAACACTCTGTTTGTAAACTCTGCAAGTGGATATTCAGACCTCTTTGAGGCCTTCGTTGGAAACGGGATTTCTCCATACTGTGCTAGACAGAAGAATTCTCAGTAACTTCCTTGTGTTGTGTGTATTCAACTCACAGAGTTGAACGATCCTTTACACAGAGCGGACTTGAAACACTCGTTTTGTGGAATTTGCAAGTGGAGATTTCAGCCGCGTTGAGGTCAATGGTAGAAAAGGAAATATCTTCGTATAAAAACTAGACAGAATGATTCTGAAAACTCCTTTGTGATGTGTGCGTTCAACTCACACAGTTTAACCTTTCTTTTCATAGAGCAGTTAGGAAACACTCTGTTTGTAAAGTCTGCAAGTGGATATTCAGACCTCCTTGAGGCCTTCGTTGGAAACGGGATTTCTTCATATTATGCTAGACAGAAGAATTCTCAGTAACTTCCTTGTGTTGTGTGTATTAAACTGACAGAGTTGAACTTTCATTTAGAGAGAGCAGATTTGAAACACTGTTTTTGTGGAATTTGCAAGTGGAGATTTCAAGCGCTTTGGGGCCAAAGGCAGAAAAGGAAATATCTTCGTATAAAAACTAGACAGAATCATTCTCAGAAACTGCTCTGCGATGTGTGCGTTCAACTCTCAGAGTTTAACTTTTCTTTTCATTCAGCAGTTTGGAAACATTCTGTTTGTAAAGTCTGCACGTGGATATTTTGACCACTTAGAGGCCTTCGTTGGAAACGGGTTTTTTTCCTGTAAGGCTAGACAGAAGAATTCCCAGTAACTTCCTTGTGTTGTGTACATTCAACTCACAGAGTTGAACGTTCCCTTAGACAGAACAGATTTGAAACACTCTTTTTGTGCAATTGGCAAATGGAGATTTCAAGCGCTTTGAGATCAATGGTAGAAAAGGAAATATCTTCGTTTCAAAACTAGACAGAATCATTCCCACAAACTGCGTTGTGATGTGTTCGTTCAACCTACAGTGTTTAACCTTTCTTTTCATAGAGCAGTTAGGAAACAGTCTGTTTGTAAATTCTGTAAGTGGATATTCTGACATCTTGTGGCCTTGGTTGGAAACGGGATTTCTTCATATTCTGCTAGACAGAAGAATTCTCAGAATCTTCCTTGTGTTGTGTGTATTCAACTCACAGAGTTGAACGATGGTTTACACAGAGCAGATTTGAAACACTCTTTTTGTGGAATTTGCAAGTGGAGATTTCAGCCGCTTTGAGGTCAATGGTAGAAAAGGAAATATCTTCGTATAAAAACTAGACAGAATGATTCTCAGAAACTTCATTGTGTTGTGTGCGTTCAACTCACAGAGTTTAACCTTTCTTTTCATAGAGCAGTTAGGAAACACTCTGTTTGTAAACTCTGCAAGTGGATATTCAGAGCTCTTTGAGGCCTTCGTTGGAAACGGGATTTCTTCATACTGTGCTAGACAGAAGAATTCCCAGTAACTTCCTTGTGTTGTGTGTGTTCAACTCACAGAGTTGAACTTTGATTTACACAGAGCAGATTTGAAACACTCTTTTTGTGGAATTTGCAAGTGGAGATTTCAAGCGCTTTGAGGCCAAAGGCAGAAAAGGAAATATCTTCGTATAAAAACTAGACAGAATCATTCTCAGACACTGCTCTGCGATGTGTGCGTTCAACTCTCAGAGTTTAACTTTTCTTTTCATTCAGCAGTTTGGAAACACTCTGTTTGTAAAGTCTGCACGTGGATATTTTGACCACTTAGAGGCCTTCGTTGGAAACGGGTTTTTTTCCTGTAAGGCTAGACAGAAGAATTCCCAGTAACTTCCTTGTGTTGTGTACATTCAACTCACAGAGTTGAACGTTCCCTTAGACAGAGCAGATTTGAAACACTCTTTTTGTGCAATTGGCAAATGGAGATTTCAAGCGCTTTAAGGTCAATGGCAGAAAAGGAAATATCTTCGTTTCAAAACTAGACAGAACGATTCTCAGAAATTCCTTTGTGATGTGTGCGTTCAACTCACAGAGTTTAACCTTTCTTTTCATAGAGCAGTTAGGAAACACTCTGTTTGAAAAGTCTGCAAGTGGATATTCAGACCTCTTTGAGGCCTTCGTTGGAAACGGGATTTCTTCATATTCTGCTAGACAGAAGAATTCTCAGTAACTTCCTTGTGTTGTGTGTATTCAACTCACAGAGTTGAACGATCGTTTACACAGAGCAGACTTGAAACACTCTTTTTGTGGAATTTGCAAGTGGAGATTTCAGCCGCTTTGAGGTCAATAGTAGAAAAGGAAATATCTTCGGAGAAAAACTAGACAGAATGATTCTCAGAAACTCCTTTGTGATGTGTGTGTTCAACTCACAGAGTTTAACCTTTCTTTTCATAGAGCAGTTAGGAAACACTCTGTTTGTAAAGTCTGCAAGTGGATATTCAGACCTCTTTGAGGCCTTCGTTGGAAACGGGTTTTTTTCATATAAGGCTAGACAGAAGAATTCCCAGTAACTTCCTTGTGTTGTGTGTGTTCAACTCACAGAGTTGAACTTTCATTTACACAGAGCAGATTTGAAACACTCTTTTTGTGGAATTTGCAAGTGGAGATTTCAAGCGCTTTGAGGCCAAAGGCAGAAAAGGAAATATACTTCGTATAAAAACTAGACAGAATCATTCTCAGAAACTGCTCTGCGATGTGTGCGTTCAACTCTCAGAAGTTTAACTTTTCTTTTCATTCAGCAGTTTGGAAACACTCTGTTTGTAAAGTCTGCACGTGGATAACTTGACCACTTAGAGGCCTTCGTTGGAAACGGGTTTTTTTCATGTAAGGCTAGACAGAAGAATTCCCAGTAACTTCCTTGCGTTGTGTACATTCAACTCACAGAGTTGAACGTTCCCTTAGACAGAGCAGATTTGAAACACTCTTTTTGTGCAATTGGCAAGTGGAGATTTCAAGCGCTTTAAGGTCAATGGCAGAAAAGGAAATATCTTCGTTTCAAAACTAGACAGAATGATTCTCAGAAACTCCTTTGTGATGTGTGCGTTCAACTCACAGAGTTTAACTTTTCTTTTCATAGAGCAGTAAGGAAACACTCTGTTTGTAAAGTCTGCAAGTGGATATTCAGACCTCTTTGAGGCCTTCGTTGGAAACGGGATTTCTTCATATTATGCTAGACAGAATAATTCTCAGTAACTTCCTTGTGTTGTGTGTATTCAACTCACAGAGTTGAACGATCCTTTACAGAGAGCAGACTTGAAACACTCTTTTTGTGGAATTTGCAAGTGGAGATTTCAGCCGCTTTGAGGTCAATGGTAGAAAAGGAAATATCTTCGTATAAAGACTAGACAGAATGATTCTCAGAAACTCCTTTGTGATGTGTGCGTTCAACTCACAGAGTTTAACCTTTCTTTTCATAGAGCAGTTAGGAAACACTCTGTTTGTAAAGTCTGCAAGTGGATATTCAGACCTCCTTGAGGTCTTCGTTGGAAACGGGATTTCTTCATATTCTGCTAGACAGAAGAATTCTCAGTAACTTCCTTGTGTTGTGTGTATTCAACTGACAGAGTTGAACTTTCATTTACAGAGAGCAGATTTGAAACACTGTTTTTGTGGAATTTGCAAGTGGAGATTTCAAGCGCTTTGGGGCCAAAGGCAGAAAAGGAAATATCTTCGTGTAAAAACTAGACAGAATCATTCTCAGAAACTGCTGCGTGATGTGTGCTTTCAACTCTCAGAGTTTAACTTTTCTTTTCATTCAGCGGTTTGGAAACACTCTGTTTGTAAAGTCTGCACGTGGATATTTTGACCACTTAGAGGCCTACGTTGGAAACGGGTTTTTTTCATGTAAGGCTAGACAGAAGAATTCCCAGTAACTTCCTTGTGTTGTGTGCATTCAACTCACAGAGTTGAACGTTCCCTTAGACAGAGCAGATTTGAAACACTCTATTTGTGCAATTTGCAAGTGTAGATTTCAAGCGCTTTAAGGTCAATGGCAGAAAAGGAAATATCTTCGTTTCAAAACTAGACAGAATCATTCCCACAAACTGCGTTGTGATATGTTCGTTCAACTCACAGAGTTTAACCTTTCTGTTCATAGAGCAGTTAGGAAACACTCTGTTTGTAAAGTCTGTAAGTGGATATTCTGACATCTTGTGGCCTTCGTTGGAAACGGGATTTCTTCATATTCTGCTAGACAGAAGAATTCTCAGTAACTTCCTTGTGTTGTGTGTATTCAACTCACAGAGTTGAACGATCCTTTACACAGAGCGGACTTGAAACACTCTTTTTGTGAAATTTGCAAGTGGAGATTTCAGCCGCGTTGAGGTCAATGGTAGAAAAGGAAATATCTTCGTATAAAAACTAGACAGAATGATTCTCATAAACTCCTTTGTGATGTGTGCGTTCAACTCACAGAGTTTAACCTTTCTTTTCATAGAGCAGTTAGGAGACACTCTGTTTGTAAAGTCTGCAAGTGGATATTCAGACCTCTTTGAGGCCTTCGTTGGAAAAGGGATTTCTTCATATTATGCTAGACAGAAGAATTCTCAGTAACTTCCTTGTGTTGTGTGTATTCAACTGACAGAGTTGAACTTTCATTTAGAGAGAGCAGATTTGAAACACTGTTTTTGTGGAATTTGCAAGTGGAGATTTCAAGCGCTTTGGGGCCAAAGGCAGAAAAGGAAATATCTTCGTATAAAAACTAGACAGAATCATTCTCAGAAACCGCTCTGTGATGTGTGCGTTCAAGTCTCAGAGTTTAACTTTTCTTTTCATTCAGCAGTTTGGAAACACTCTGTTTGTAAAGTCTGCACGTGGATATTTTGACAACTTAGAGGCCTTCGTTGGAAACGGGTTTTTTTTCACGTAAGGCTAGACAGAAGAATTCCCAGTAACTTCCTTGTGTTGTGTACATTCAACTCACAGAGTTGAACGTTCCCTTAGACAGAGCAGATTTGAAACACTCTTTTTGTGCAATTGGCAAATGGAGATTTCAAGCGCTTTAAGGTCAATGGCAGAAAAGGAAATATCTTCGTTTCAAAACTAGACAGAATCATTCCCACAAACTGCGTTGTGATGTGTTCGGTCAACTCACAGAGTTTAACCTTTCTTTTCATAGAGCAGTTAGGAAACAGTCTGTTTGTAAATTCTGTAAGTGGATATTCTGACATCTTGTGGCCTTCGTTGGAAACGGGATTTCTTCATATTCTGCTAGACAGAAGAATTCTCAGTAACTTCCTTGTGTTGTGTGTATTCAACTCACAGAGTTGAACGATCCTTTACACTGAGCAGACTTGAAACACTCTTTTTGTGGAATTTGCAAGTGGAGATTTCAGCCGCTTTGAGGTCAATGGTAGAAAAGGAAATATCTTCGTATAAAGACTAGACAGAATGATTCTCAGAAACTCCTTTGTGATGTGTGCGTTCAACTCACAGAGTTTAACTTTTCTTTTCATAGAGCAGTTAGGAAACACTCTGTTTGTAAAGTCTGCAAGTGGATATTCAGACCTCTTTGAGGCCTTCGTTGGAAACGGGATTTCTTCATATTATGCTAGACAGAATAATTCTCAGTAACTTCCTTGTGTTGTGTGTATTCCACTCACAGAGTTGAACGATCCTTTACGGAGAGCAGACTTGAAACACTCTTTTTGTGGAATTTGCAAGTGGAGATTTCAGCCGCTTTGAGGTCAATGGTAGAATAGGAAATATCTTCCTATGGAAACTAGACAGAATCATTCTCAGAAACTGCTCTGCGATGTGTGCGTTCAACTCTCAGAGTTTAACTTTTCTTTTCATTCAGCAGTTTGGAAACACTCTGTTTGTAAAGTCTGCACGTGGATATTTTGACCACTTAGAGGCCTTCGTTGGAAACGGGTTTTTTTCCTGTAAGGCTAGACAGAAGAATTCCCAGTAACTTCCTTGTGTTGGGTGCATTCAACTCACAGAGTTGAACGTTCCCTTAGACAGAGCAGATTTGAAACACTCTATTTGTGCAATTTGCAAGTGTAGATTTCAAGCGCTTTAAGGTCAATGGCAGAAAAGGAAATATCTTCGTTTCAAAACTAGACAGAATCGTTCCCACAAACTGCGTTGTGATGTGTTCGTTCAACTCACAGAGTTTAACCTTTCTGTTCATAGAGCAGTTAGGAAACACTCTGTTTGTAAAGTCTGTAAGTGGATATTCTGACATCTTGTGGCCTTCGTTGGAAACGGGATTTCTTCATATTCTGCTAGACAGAAGAATTCTCAGTAACTTCCTTGTGTTGTGTGTATTCAACTCACAGAGTTGAATGATCCTTTACACAGAACAGTCTTGAAACACTCTTTTTGTGGAATTTGCAAGTGGAGATTTCAGCCGCTTTGAGGTCAATGGTAGAATAGGAAATATCTTCCTATAGAAAATAGACAGAATGATTCTCAGAAACTCCTTTGTGATGTGTGCGTTCAACTCACACAGTTTAACCTTTCTTTTCATAGAGCAGTTAGGAAACACTCTGTTTGTAAAGTCTGCAAGTGGATATTCAGACCTCTTTGAGGCCTTCGTTGGAAACGGGATTTTTTCATATTATGCTAGACAGAAGAATTCTCAGTAACTTCCTTGTGTTGTGTGTATTCAACTGACAGAGTTGAACTTTCATTTAGACCGAGCAGATTTGAAACACTCTTTTTGTGGAATTTGCAAGTGGAGATTTCAAGCGCTTTGAGGCCAAAGGCAGAAAAGGAAATATCTTCGTATAAAAACTAGACAGAATCATTCTCAGAAACTGCTGCGTGATGTGTGCGTTCAACTCTCAGAGTTTAACTTTTCTTTTCATTCAGCGGTTTGGAAACACTCTGTTTGTAAAGTCTGCACGTGGACATTTTGACCCCTTAGAGGCCTTCGTTGGAAACGGGTTTTTTTCATGTAAGGCTAGACAGAAGAATTCCCAGTAACTTCCTTGTGTTGTGTGCATTCAACTCACAGAGTTGAACGTTCCCTTAGACAGAGCAGATTTGAAACACTCTATTTGTGCAATTTGCAAGTGTAGATTTCAAGCGCTTTAAGGTCAACGGCAGAAAAGGAAATATCTTCGTTTCAAAACTAGACAGAATGATTCTCAGAAACTCCTTTGTGATGTGTGCGTTCAACTCACAGAGTTTAACCTTTCTTTTCATAGAGTAGTTAGGAAACACTCTGTTTGTGAAGTCTGCCAGTGGATATTCAGACCTCTTTGAGGCCTTCGTTGGAAACGGGGTTTCTTCATATTATGCTAGACAGAAGAATTCTCAATAACTTCCTTGTGTTGTGTGCATTCAACTCACAGAGTTGAATGATCCTTTACACAGAGCAGATTAGAAACACTCTTTTTGTGGAATTTGCAAGTGGAGATTTCAGCCGCTTTGAGGTCAATGGTAGAAAAGGAAATATCTTCGTATAAAAACTAGACAGAATGATTCTCAGAAACTCCTTTGTGATGTGTGCGTTCAACTCACAGAGTTTAACCTTTCTTTTCATAGAGCAGTTAGGAAACACTCTGTTTGTAAAGTCTGCAAGTGGATATTCAGACCTCTTAGAGGCCTTCGTTGGAAACGGGATTTCTTCATACTCTAGACAGAAGAATTCCCAGTAACTTCCTTGTGTTGTGTGTGTTCAACTCACAGAGTTGAACTTTCATTTACACAGAGGAGATTTGAAACACTCTTTTTGTGGAATTTGCAAATGGAGATTTCAAGCGCTTTGAGGCCAAAGGCAGAAAAGGAAATATCTTCGTATAAAAACTAGACAGAATCATTCTCAGAAACTGCTCTGCGATGTGTGCGTTCAACTCTCAGAGTTTAACTTTTCTTTTCATTCAGCAGTTTGGAAACACTCTGTTTGTAAAGTCTGCACGTGGATATTTTGACCACTTAGAGGCCTTCGTTGGAAACGGGTTTTTTTCCTGTAAGGCTAGACAGAAGAATTCCCAGTAACTTCCTTGTGTTGTGTGCATTCAACTCACAGAGTTGAACGTTCCCTTAGACAGAGCAGATTTGAAACACTCTATTTGTGCAATTTGCAAGTGTAGTTTTCAAGCTCTTTAAGGTCAACGGCAGAAAAGGAAATATCTTGGTTTCAAAACTAGACAGAATCATTCCCACAAACTGCGTTGTGATGTGTTCATTCAACTCACAGAGCTTAACCTTTCTGTTCATAGAGCAGTTAGGAAACACTCTGTTTGTAAAGTCTGTAAGTGGATATTCTGACATCTTGTGGCCTTCGTTGGAAACGGGATTTCTTCATATTCTGCTAGACAGAAGAATTCTCATTAACTTCCTTGTGTTGTGTGTATTCAACTCACAGAGTTGAACGATCCTTTACACAGAGCAGACTTGAAACATTCTTTTTGTGGAATTTGCAAGTGGAGATTTCAGCCGCTTTGAGGTCAATGGTAGAATAGGAAATATCTTCCTATAGAAACTAGACAGAATGATTCTCAGAAAATCTTTTGTGATGTGTGCGTTCAACTCACAGAGTTTAACTTTTCTTCTCATAGAGCAGTTAGGAAACACTCTGTTTATAAAGTCTGCAAGTGGATATTCAGACCTCTTTGAGGCCTTCGTTGGAAACGGGATTTCTTCATATTCTGCTAGACAGAAGAATTCCCAGTAACTTCCTTGTGTTGTGTGTGTTCAACTCACAGAGTTGAACTTTGATTTACAGAGCAGATTTGAAACACTCTTTTTGTGGAATGTGCAAGTGGAGATTTCAAGCGCTGTGAGGCCAAAGGCAGAAAAGGATATATCTTCGTATAAAAACTAGACAGAATCATTCTCAGAAACTGCTCTGCGATGTGTGCGTTCAACTCTCAGAGTTTAACTTTTCTTTTCATTCAGCAGTTTGGAAACACTCTGTTTGTAAAGTCTGCACGTGGATATTTTGACCACTTAGAGGCCTTCGTTGGAAACGGGTTTTTTTCCTGTAAGGCTAGACAGAAGAATTCCCAGTAACTTCCTTGTGTTGTGTGCATTCAACTCACAGAGTTGAACGTTCCCTTAGACAGAGCAGATTTGAAACACTCTATTTGTGCAATTTGCAAGTGTAGATTTCAAGCGCTTTAAGGTGAATGGCAGAAAAGGAAATATCTTCGTTTCAAAACTAGACAGAATGATTCTCAGAAACTCCTTTGTGATGTGTGCGTTCAACTCACAGAGTTTAACCTTTCTTTTCATAGAGCAGTTAGGAAACACTCTGTTTGTAAAGTCTGGAAGTGGATATTCAGACATCCTTGAGGCTTTCGTTGGAAACGGGATTTCTTCATATTCTGCTAGAAAGAAGAATTCTCAGTAACTTCCTTGTGTTGTGTGTATTCAACTCACAGAGTTGAACGATCCTTTACACAGAGCAGACTTGAAACACTCTTTTTGTGGAATTTGCAAGTGGAGATTTCAGCCGCTTTGAGTTCAATGGTAGAATAGGAAATATCTTCCTATAGAAACTAGACAGAATGATTCTCATAAACTCCTTTGTGATGTGTGCGTTCAACTCACAGAGTTTAACCTTTCTTTTCATAGAGCAGTTAGGAAACACTCTGTTTGTAAAGTCTGCAAGTGGATATTCAGACCTCTTTGAGGCCTTCGTTGGAAACGGGATTTCTTCATATTATGCTAGACAGAAGAATTCTCAGTAACTTCCTTGTGTTGTGTGTATTCAACTGACAGAGTTGAAGTTTCATTAAGAGAGAGCAGATTTGAAACACTGTTTTTGTGGAATTTGCAAGTGGAGATTTCAAGCGCTTTGGGGCCAAAGGCAGAAAAGGAAATATCTTCGTATAAAAACTAGACAGAATCATTCTCAGAAACTGCTGCGTGATGTGTGCGTTCAACTCTCAGAGTTTAACTTTTCCTTTTCATTCAGCGGTTTGGAAACACTCTGTTTGTAAAGTCTGCACGTGGATATTTTGACCACTTAGAGGCCTTCGTTGGAAACGGGTTTTTTTCATGTAAGGCTAGACAGAAGAATTCCCAGTAACTTCCTTGTGTTGTGTACATTCAACTCACAGAGTTGAACGTTCCCTTAGACAGAGCAGATTTGAAACACTCTTTTTGTGCAATTGGCAAATGGAGATTTCAAGCGCTTTAAGTTCAATGGCAGAAAAGGAAATATCTTCGTTTCAAAACTAGACAGAATCATTCCCACAAACTGCGTTGTGATGTGTTCGTTCAACTCACAGAGTTTAACCTTTCTTTTCATAGAGCACTTAGGAAACAGTCTGTTTGTAAATTCTGTAAGTGGATATTCTGACATCTTGTGGCCTTCGTTGGAAACGGGATTTCTTCATATTCTGCTAGACAGAATAATTCTCAGTAACTTCCTTGTGTTCTGTGTATTCAACTTACAGAGTTGAACGATCCTTTACAGAGAGCAGACTTGAAACACTCTTTTTGTGGAATTTGCAAGTGGAGATTTCAGCCGCTTTGAGGTCAATGGTAGAAAAGGAAATATCTTCGTATAAAGACTAGACAGAATGATTCTCAGAAACTCCTTTGTGATGTGTGCGTTCAACTCACAGAGTTCAACTTTTCTTTTCATAGAGCAGTTAGGAAACACTCTGTTTGTAAAGTCTGCAAGTGGATATTCAGACCTCTTTGAGGCCTTCGTTGGAAACGGGATTTCTTCATATTCTGCAAGACAGAAGAATTCTCAGTAACTTCCTTGTGTTCTGTGTATTCAACTCACAGAGTTGAACGATCCTTTACACAGAGCAGACTTGAAACACTCTTTTTGTGGAATTTGCAAGTGGAGATTTCAGCCGCTTTGAGGTCAATGGTAGAAAAGGAAATATCTTCGTATAAAGACTAGACAGAATCATTCTCAGAAACTGCTCTGCGATGTGTGCGTTCAACTCTCAGAGTTTAACTTTTCTTTTCATTCAGCAGTTTGGAAACACTCTGTTTGTACAGTCTGCACGTGGATAATTTGACCACTTAGAGGCCTTCGTTGGAAACGGGTTTTTTTCATGTAAGGCTAGACAGAAGAATTCTCAGTAACTTCCTTGTGTTGTGTGTATTCAACTCACAGAGTTGAACGATCCTTTACACAGAGCAGACTTGTAACACTCTTTTTGTGGAATTTGCAAGTGGAGATTTCAGCCGCTTTGAAGTCAAATGTAGAAAAGGAAATATCTTCCTATAAACACTAGACAGAATCATTCCCACAAACTGCGTTGTGATGTGTTCGTTCAACTCACAGAGTTTAACCTTTCTTTTCATAGAGCAGTTAGGAAACAGTCTGTTTGTCAATTCTGTAAGTGGATATTCTGACATCTTGTGGCCTTCGTTGGAAACGGGATTTCTTCATATTCTGCTAGACAGAAGAATTCTCAGAAACTTCCTTGTGTTGTGTGTATTCAACTCACAGAGTTGAACGATCGTTTACACAGAGCAGACTTGAGACACTCTTTTTGTGGAATTTGCAAGTGGAGATTTCAGCCGCTTTGAGGTCAATGGTAGAAAAGGAAATATCTTCATATAAAAACTAGACAGAATGATTCTCAGAATCTTCTTTGTGATGTGTGCGTTCAACTCACAGAGTTTAACCTTTCTTTTCATAGAGCAGTTAGGAAACACTCTGTTTGTAAATTCTGCAAGTGGATATTCAGACCTCATTGAGGCCTTCGTTGGAAACGGGATTTCTTCATACTATGCTAGACAGAAGAATTCTCAGTAACTTCCTTGTGTTGTGTGTATTCAACTGACAGAGTTGAACTTTCATTTAGAGAGAGCAGATTTGAAACACTGTTTTTGTGGAATTTGCAAGTGGAGATTTCAAGCGCTTTGGGGCCAAAGGCAGAAAAGGAAATATCTTCGTATAAAAACTAGACAGAATCATTCTCAGAAACTGCTCTGCGATGTGTGCGTTCAACTCTCAGAGTTTAACTTTTCTTTTCATTCAGCAGTTTGGAAACACTCTGTTTGTAAAGTCTGCACGTGTATATTTTGACCACTTAGAGGCCTTCGTTGGAAACGGGTTTTTTTCCTGTAAGGCTAGACAGAAGAATTCCCAGTAACTTCCTTGTGTTGTGTACATTCAACTCACAGAGTTGAACGTTCCCTTAGACAGAGCAGATTTGAAACACTCTTTTTGTGCAATTGGCAAATGGAGATTTCAAGCGCTTTAAGGTCAATGGCAGAAATGGAAATATCTTCGTTTCAAAACTAGACAGAATCATTCCCACAAACTGCGTAGTGATGTGTTCGTTCAACTCACAGAGTTTAACCTTTCTTTTCATAGAGCAGTTAGGAAACAGTCTGTTTGTCAATTCTGTAAGTGGATATTCTGACATCTTGTGGCCTTCGTTGGAAACGGGATTTCTTCATATTCTGCTAGACAGAAGAATTCCCAGTAACTTCCTTTTGTTGTGTACATTCAACTCACAGAGTTGAACGTTCCCTTAGACAGAGCAGACTTGTAACACTCTTTTTGTGGAATTTGCAAGTGGAGATTTCAGCCGCTTTGAAGTCAAAGGTAGAAAAGGAAATATCTTCCTATAAAAACTAGACAGAATGATTCTCAGAAACTCCTTTGTGATGTGTGCGTTCAACTCACAGAGTTTAACCTTTCTTTTCATAGAGCAGTTAGGAAACACTCTGTTTGTAAAGTCTGCAAGTGGATATTCAGACCTCTTTGAGGCCTTCGTTGGAAACGGGTTTTTTTCATATAAGGCTAGACAGAAGAATTCCCAGTAACTTCCTTGTGTTGTGTGTGTTCAACTCACAGAGTTGAACTTTCATTTACCCAGAACAGATTTGAAACACTCTTTTTGTGGAATTTGCAAGTGGAGATTTCAAGCACTTTGAGGCCAAAGGCAGAAAAGGAAATATCTTCGTTTCAAAACTAGACAGAATCATTCTCAGAAACTGCTGCGTGATGTGTGCGTTCAACTCTCAGAGTTTAACTTTTCTTTTCATTCAGTGGTTTGGAAACACTCTGTTTGTAAAGTCTGCACGTGGATATTTTGACCACTTAGAGGCCTTCGTTGGAAACGGGTTTTTTTCATGTAAGGCTAGACAGAAGAATTCCCAGTAACTTCCTTGTGTTGTGTACATTCAACTCACAGAGTTGAACGTTCCCTTAGACAGAGCAGATTTGAAACACTCTTTTTGTGCAATTGGCAAGTGGAGATTTCAAGCGCTTTAAGGTCAATGGCAGAAAAGGAAATATCTTCGTTTCAAAACTAGACAGAATGATTCTCAGAAACTCCTTTGTGATGTGTGCGTTCAACTCACAGAGTTCAACCTTTCTTTTCATAGAGCAGTTGGGAAACACTCTGTTTGTAAAGTCTGTAAGTGGATATTCAGACTTCTTTGAGGCCTTCGTTGGAAGCGGGGTTTCTTCATATTCTGCTAGACAGAAGAATTCTCAGAAACTTCCTTGTGTTGTGTGTTTTCAACTCACAGAGTTGAACGATCCTTTACACAGAGCAGACTTGAAACACTCCTTTTGTGGAATTTGCAAGTGGAGATTTCAGCCGCTTTGAGGTCAATGGTAGAATAGGAAATATCTTCCTATAGAAAGTAGACAGAATGATTCTCAGAAACTCCTTTGTGATGTGTGCGTTCAACTCACAGAGTTCAACCTTTCTTTTCATAGAACAGTTGGGAAACACTCTGTTTGTAAAGTCTGCAAGTGGATATTCAGACATCCTTGAGGCTTTCGTTGGAAACGGGATTTCTTCATATTCTGCTAGAAAGAAGAATTCTCAGTAACTTCCTTGTGTTGTGTGTATTCAACTGACAGAGTTGAACTTTCATTTAGAGAGAGCAGATTTGAAACACTGTTTTTGTGGTATTTGCAAGTGGAGATTTCAAGCGCTTTGGGGCCAAAGGCAGAAAAGGAAATATCTTCGTATAAAACTAGACAGAATCATTCTCAGAAACTGCTCTGCGATGTGTGCGTTCAGCTCTCAGAGTTTAACTTTTCTTTTCATTCAGCAGTTTGGAAACACTCTGTTTGTAAAGTCTGCACGTGGATATTTTGACCACTTAGAGGCCTTCGATGGAAATGGGTTTTTGTCATGTAAGGCTAGACAGAAGAATTCCCAGTAACTTCCTTGTGTTGTGTACATTCAACTCACAGAGTTGAACGTTCCCTTAGACAGAGCAGATTTGAAACACTCTTTTTGTGCAATTGGCAAGTGGAGATTTCAAGCGCTTAAGGTCAATGGCAGAAAAGGAAATATCTTCGTTTCAAAACTAGACAGAATCATTCCCACAAACTCCGTTGTGATGTGTTCGTTCAACTCACAGAGTTTAACCTTTCTTTTCATAGAGCAGTTAGGAAACAGTCTGTTTGTCAATTCTGTAAGTGGATATTCTGACATCTTGTGGCCTTCGTTGGAAACGGGATTTCTTCACATTCTGCTAGACAGAAGAATTCTCAGAAACTTCCTTGTGTTGTGTGTTTTCAAGTCACAGAGTTGAACGATCCTTTACACAGAGCAGACTTGAAACACTCTTTTTGTGGAATTTGCCAGTGGAGATTTCAGCCGCTTTGAGGTCAATGGTAGAAAAGGAAATATCTTCGTATAAAAAGTAGACAGAATGATTCTCAGAAACTCCTTTGTGATGTGGGCGTTCAACTCACAGAGTTTAACCTTTCTTTTCATAGAGCAGTTAGGAAACACTCTGTTTGTAAAGTCTCCACGAGGATACTTGGACTTCTTTGAGGCCTTCGTTGGAAACGGGTTTTTTTCATGTAAGGCTGGACAGAAGAATTCTCAGTAACTTCCTTGTGTTGTGTGTATTCAACTGACAGAGTTGAACTTTCATTTAGAGAGAGCAGATTTCAAACACTGTTTTTTTGGAATTTGCAAGTGGAGATTTCAAGCGCTTTGGGGTCAAAGGCAGAAAAGGAAATATCTTCGTATAAAAACTAGACAGAATCATTCTCAGAAACCGCTCTGTGATGTGTGCGTTCAACTCTCAGAGTTTAACTTTTCTTTTCATTCAGCAGTTTGGAAACACTCTGTTTGTAAAGTCTCCACGTGGATATTTTGACCACTTAGAAGCCTTCGTTTGAAACGGGTTTTTTTTTCATGTAAGGCTAGACAGAAGAATTCCCAGTAACTTCCTTGTGTTGTGTACATTCAACTCACAGAGTTGAACGTTACCTTAGACAGAGCAGATTTGAAACACTCTTTTTGTGCAATTGGCAAATGGAGATTTCAAGCGCTTTAAGGTCAATGGCAGAAAAGGAAATATCTTCGTTTCAAAACTAGACAGAATGATTCTCAGAAACTCCTCTGTGATGTGTGCGTTCAACTCTCAGAGTTTAACTTTTCTTTTCATTCAGCAGTTTGGAAACACTCTGTTTGTAAAGTCTGCACGTGGATATTTTGACCACTTAGAGGCCTTCGTTGGAAAAGGGATTTCTTCATATGATGCTAGACAGAAGAATTCTCAGTAACTTCCTTGTGTTGTGTGTATTCAACTCACAGAGTTGAACGGATCCTTTACACAGAGCAGACTTGAAACACTCTTTTTGTGGAATTTGCAAGTGGAGATTTCAGCCGCTTTGAGGTCAATGGTAGAATAGGAAATATCTTCCTATAGAAACTAGACAGAATGATTCTCAGAAACTCCTTTGTGATGTGTGTGTTCAACTCACAGAGTTTAACCTTTCTTTTCATAGAGCAGTTAGGAAACGCTCTGTTTGTAAAGTCTGCAAGTGGATATTCAGACCTCGTTGAGACCTTCGTTGGAAACGGGATTTCTTCATATTCTGCTAGACAGAAGAATCCTCAGTAACTTCCTTGTGTTGTGTTTATTCAACTCACAGAGTTGAATGATCCTTTACACAGAGCAGACTTGAAACACTCTTTTTGTGGAATTTGCAAGTGGAGATTTCAGCCGCTTTGTGGTCAATGGTAGAAAAGGAAATATCTTCGTATAAAGACTGGACAGAAATGATTCTCAGAAACTTCTTTGTGATGTGTGCGTTCAACTCACAGAGTTTAACCTTTCTTTTCATAGAGCAGTTAGGAAACACTCTGTTTGTAAACTCTGCAAGTCGATATTCAGACCTCTTTGAGGCCTTCGTTGGAAACGGGATTTCTTCATACTATGCTAGACAGAAGAATTCCCAGTAACTTCCTTGTGTTGTGTGCATTCAACTCACAGAGTTGAACGTTCCCTTAGACAGAGCAGATTTGAAACACTCTATTTGTGCAATTTGCAATTGTAGTTTTCAAGCTCTTTAAGGTCAACGGCAGAAAAGGAAATATCTTCGTTTCAAAACTAGACAGAATGATTCTCATAAACTCCTTTGTGATGTGTGCGTTCAACTCACAGAGTTTAACCTTTCTTTTCATTGAGCAGTTAGGAAACACTCTGTTTGTAAAGTCTGCAAGTGGATATTCAGACCTCCTTGAGGCCTTCATTGGAAACGGGATTTCTTCATATTCTGCTAGACAGAAGAATTCTCAGTAACTTCCTTGTGTTGTGTGTATTCAACTCACAGAGTTGAACGATCCTTTACACAGAGCAGACTTGAAACACTCTTTTTGTGGAATTTGCAATTGGAGATTTCAGCCGCTTTGAGGTCAATAGTAGAAAAGGTAATATCTTCGTAGAAAAACTAGACAGAATGATTCTCAGAAACTCCTTTGTGATGTGTGTGTTCAACTCACAGAGTTTAACCTTTCTTTTCATAGAGCAGTTAGTAAACACTCTGTTTATAAAGTCTGCAAGTGGATATTCAGACCCCTTTGAGGCCTTCGTTGGAAACGGGATTTCTTCATATTATGCTAGACAGAAGAATTCCCAGTAACTTCCTTGTGTTGTGTGTGTTCAACTCACAGAGTTGAACTTTCATTTACACAGAGCAGATTTGAAACACTCTTTTTGTGGAATTTACAAATGGAGGTTTCAAGCGCTTTGAGGCCAAAGGCAGAAAAGGAAATATCTTCGTATAAAAACTAGACAGAATCATTCTCAGAAACTGCTCTGCGATGTGTGCGTTCAACTCTCAGAGTTTAACTTTTCTTTTCATTCAGCAGTTTGGAAACACTCTGTTTGTAAAGTCTGCACGTGGATAACTTGACCACTTAGAGGCCTTCGTTGGAAACGGGTTTTTTTCCTGTAAGGCTAGACAGAAGAATTCTCAGTAACTTCCTTGTCTTGTGTGTATTCAACTCACAGAGTTGAACGATCCTTTACACAGAGCAGACTTGTAACACTCTTTTTGTGGAATTTGCAAGTGGAGATTTCAGCCGCTTTGAAGTCAAAGGTAGAAAAGGAAATATCTTCCTATAAAAACTAGACAGAATCATTCTAAGAAACTGCTCTGTGATGTGTGTGTTCAACTCTCAGAGTTTAACTTTTCTTTTCCTTCAGCAGTTTGGAAACACTCTGTTTGTAAAGTCTGCACGTGGATAATTTGACCACTTAGAGGCCTTCGTTGGAAACGGGTTTTTTCATGTAAGGCTAGACAGAAGAATTCTCAGTAACTTCCTTGTGTTGTGTGTATTCAACTCACAGAGTTGACCGATCCTTTACACAGAGCAGACTTGTAACACTCTTTTTTTGTGGAATTTGCAAGTGGAGATTTCAGCCGCTTTGAAGTCAATGGTAAAAAAGGAAATATCTTCGTTTCAAAACTAGACAGAATGATTCTCAGAAACTCCTTTGTGATGTGTGCGTTCAACTCAAAGAGTTTAACCTTTCTTTTCATAGAGCAGTTAGGAAACACTCTGTTTGTAAAGTCTGCAAGTGGATATTCAGACCTCTTTGAGGCCTTCTTTGGAAACGGGTTTTTTTCATATAAGGCTAGACAGAAGAATTCCCAGTAACTTCCTTGTGTTGTGTGTGTTCAACTCACAGAGTTGAACTTTCATTTACACAGAGCAGATTTGAAACACTCTTTTTGTGGAATTTGCAAGTGGAGATTTCAAGCGCTTTGAGGCCAAAGGCAGAAAAGGAAATATCTTCGTTTCAAAACTAGACAGAATCATTCTCAGAAACTGCTGCGTGATGTGTGCGTTCAACTCTCAGAGTTTAACTTTTCTTTTCATTCAGCGGTTTGGAAACACTCTGTTTGTAAAGTCTGCACGTGGACATTTTGACCACTTAGAGGCCTTCGTTGGAAACGGGTTTTTTTCATGTGAGGCTAGACAGAAGAATTCCCAGTAACTTCCTTGTGTTGTGTGCATTCAACTCACAGAGTTGAACGTTCCCTTAGACAGAGCAGATTTGAAACACTCTATTTGTGCAATTTGCAAGTGTAGATTTCAAGCGCTTTAAGGTCAATGGCAGAAAAGGAAATATCTTCGTTTCAAAACTAGACAGAATGATTCTCAGTAAACTCCTTAGTGATGTGTGCGTTCAACTCACAGAGTTTAACCTTTCTGTTCATAGAGCAGTTAGGAAACACTCTGTTTGTAAAGTATGCAAGTGGATATACAGACCTCCTTGAGGCCTTCGTTGGAAACGGGATTTCTTCATATTCTGCTAGACAGAAGAATTCTCAGTAACTTCCTTGTGTTGTGTGTATTCAACTCACAGAGTTGAACGATCCTTTACACAGAGCAGACTTGAAACACTCTTTTTGTGGAATTTGCAAGTGGAGATTTCAGCCGCTTTGAGGTCAATAGTAGAAAAGGAAATATCTTCGTAGAAAAACTAGACAGAATGATTCTCAGAAACTCCTTTGTGATGTGTGCGTTCAACTCACAGAGTTTAACCTTTCTTTTCATAGAGCAGTTAGGAAACACTCTGTTTGTAAAGTCTGCAAGTGGATATTCAGACCTCCTTGAGGCCTTGGTTGGAAACGGGATTTCTTCATATTATGCTAGACAGAAGAATTCCCAGTAACTTCCTTGTGTTGTGTGTGTTCAACTTACAGAGTTGAACTTTCATTTACACAGAGCAGATTTGAAACACTCTTTTTGTGGAATTTGCAAGTGGAGATTTCAAGCGCTTTGAGGCCAAAGGCAGAAAAGGAAATATCTTCGTATAAAAACTAGACAGAATCATTCTCAGAAACTGCTCTGCGATGTGTGCGTTCAACTCTCAGTGTTTAACTTTTCTTTTCATTCAGCAGTTTGGAAACACTCTGTTTGTAAAGTCTGCACGTGGATATTTTGACCACTTAGAGGCCTTCGTTGGAAACGGGTTCTTTTCCTGTAAGGCTAGACAGAAGAATTCCCAGTAACTTCCTTGTGTTGTGTACATTCAACTCACAGAGTTGAACGTTCCCTTAGACAGAGCAGATTTGAAACACTCTTTTTGTGCAATTGGCAAGTGGAGATATCAAGCGCTTTAAGGTCAATGGCAGAAAAGGAAATATCTTCGTTTCAAAACTAGACAGAATCATTCCCACAAACTGCGTTGTGATGTGTTCGTTCATCTCACAGAGTTTAACCTTTCTTTTCATAGAGCAGTTAGGAAACACTCTGTTTGTAAATTCTGTAAGTGGATATTCTGACATCTTGTGGCCTTCGTTGGAAACGGGATTTCTTCATATTCTGCTAGACAGAAGAATTCTCAGTAACTTCCTTCTGTTGTGTGTATTCAACTCACAGAGTTGAACGATCCTTTACACAGAGCAGACCTGAAACACTCTTTTTGTGGAATTTGCAAGTGGAGATTTCAGCCGCTTTGAGGTCAATAGTAGAAAAGGAAATATCTTCGTAGAAAAACTAGGCAGAATGATTCTCAGATACTCCTTTGTGATGTGTGCGTTCAACTCACAGAGTTTAACCTTTCTTTTCATGGAGCAGTTAGGAAACACTCTGTTTGTAAAGTCTGCAAGGGGATATTCAGACCTCTTTGAGGCTTTCGTTGGAAACGGGATTTCTTCATATTCTGCTAGACAGA